>NC_000014.9:64460197-64763228 GCF_000001405.40 Homo sapiens
GACCTCCTGAGAGGGTTGGGTTGGAAGTTGATGACTTACCTTTTAATCTTATACCTTTCTATATTGTTGAATTTTGTTTTTCTACCCTGAGGAAGTATTGCTTATACAAGTTTTTGCCTGAACTTCCTTGGAATTCCCATTTCTGTCACAGCTTTAGCACTGTCTATGTTTAGAGTGCTCAAGAAGGATGGTCATGCAGCATTAGCCTTAGGTGAGCCTCTATTCTGTTGGTGCAGCAAGTATTCATTGAGTTTCTTCTAAATGCCTGGGCTCCACCCTTCCCTACAGACTTTTTATTTTTATTTTTATTTTTTTGAGACAGTGTCTCTGTCGCCCAGGCTGGAGTGCAGTGGCGCGATCTCAGCTCACTGCAACCTCCGTCTCCTGGGTTCAAGTGATTCTCCTGCCTCAGCCTCCCAAGTAGCTGGGATTATAGGCATGAGCCACCATACCTGGCCCAGACTTTCTTTTTCCTAAAACATTAGGTTGGTAAAAACCACAATTACTTTTGCACCAACCTAATATTTTTTTTCCTCCTCTTCTGGCTGGGCGTGGAGGTGGCTCATGCCTGTAATCCCAGCACTTTGGGAGGCCGAGGTGGGCGGATCACTTGAGGTCTGGGGTTCAAGACCAGCTTGGCCAACATGGTAAAACCCTGTTTCTACCAAAAATACAAAAATTAGCTGGGTGTGGTGGCAGGCACCTATAACCCCAGGTACTTGGGAGGCTGAGGTACGAGAATTGCTTGAACCCAGGAGGCAGAGGTTGCAGTGAGCCAGGATCATGCTGCTGCACTCCAGCCTGGGAGACAGAGCTAGACTCTGTCTAAAAAAATAAATCAAATATTTTTCCTTCTCTTCTTGTTCTTTATCTTCTATCTCTGTTCTTCCTCTCCCATTTGTTTCCTTCCCTTTTTCCCCTTGTCTCCCTCCACTGGATCCTTCCAGAGGATGCTGCATCCCACTGGCGCCAGTGCTAAACACTGCTGATGTTGGCAAAGCAGTATTTTTCCCAGTGACCTTGGTTTTATTATTTTTAATTCCCTAGGTCCATGTCAATGTTGTAATACAGTCAATTTTACAGTCCACAGAAATGATAGCGCTGCCTTGAGAGGCATATGGCAAAGGGGTCACAGTGCAGAGCCCCAGCTCTATGGCAGAGAGCCTCACCCACCTCCCTGCCTCCACATCCTCACCATGGAAATAGGAGCACTGTTGGTACCTACCTCGTGAGGGCGGTTCTGGAATTACTCAAACACATCATCTAAGATGCTTTGTACAGGGCCTGGCACATTGTAAGCACTTGTCAGTTCCTGTTGCACAGCATCCTCCAGGCCCTGTTTGCAGAGTTAATTGCTTCTGGTACTTTTTTTTTCCTTTTTTTTTTTTTTTTTTGGCAGGGGGGGTAGGGGGGTTGGGACAAGAGTCGTGCTCTTTTGCCCAGGCTGCAGTGTAGTGACGTGATCTCAGCTCACTGCAACCTCTGCCTCCCGGGTTCAAGCGATTCTCCCACCTCAGCCTCCCGAGTAGCTGGGATTACAGGTTCGCACCACCATGCCTGGCTAATTTTTTGTATTTTCAGTATAGATGGGGTTTTGCCATGTTGGCCAGGCTGGTCTCAAACTCCTGGCCTCAAGTGATCCTCCCACCTCGGCCTCCCAAAGTGCTGGGATTACAGGCGTGAGCCACTGTGCCCGACCGCTTTCTGGTACATTTCTTAATGTCCTGTGAAACTTCACCTGGAATGGGATTTGCTGGGAATTCATTTTGTAGACAAGGGAAGGATGCAGTCTTGTCAGATATGGTGACTTAAGGATCATCTTAAAGGATTTAGGTTTCCTAATATCGCCAACAGCCACATGGGTTTAAATCCTCAATACTGGTAGGGGCTGGGCATGGTAGCTCACACCTGTAATCCCACCACACTCAGCTGAGTTTTGAAGTTCTGTTTTTTGTAGAGATGGGGTCTCACTGTCTTGTCCAGGCTGCTGAGGCAGGAGGATCACTTGAGCCCAGGAGTTCAAGACTAACCTGGACAAGACAGACCCCATCTCTACAAAAAACAAAACCCCAAAACTCAGCTGAGTGTGTGGTGCACGCTTGTAGTCCTAGCTCCTTGGGAGTCTGATGTGAGAGGTTTGCTTGAGCCTAGGAGTTCGAGGCCGCAGTGAGCTATGACTGAGCCACCGCATTCCAGCCTGAGCAACAGAGCAAGACCCTGTGTCAAAATAAAAAAGACCTATAGAAGCATTAGTGCTTGGGGTAACTATTAGCATGTGCTGGCAGAGAAGGTCTAGTGCCTTTACCTTGGTGCTAAGAGTCCCTCCAGATTAGTGGCTTTCCCGTGCCCTTTCTCTTCTCTGGGCTGCTAATGCCTTCCTTCCCCTTATTAGTAATATTACTGATAAACAAATTGTACATTCTCTGATCTCACTTCAGAGGCTGTTTCTGTGCACTGAAGATGTACACACAGTCTTAATTCAAAAGAGATAGCATTTATGTGCTGCCACATTAAACAGATTGCAACAGTATTACTATTGAGTTTGTGTTGGCTCTGTGCAACCCTCATGGTGCCCAGGAACAGATGAAACCACCAGAGACTTGGAGCCTCAGGTTCATTCAATGGTGTCCCAGGGAACGGGGTTGGAGGGCTTATTCCCAGAAGGCCTCTGAAATGTAAGAGCTATTAACAAGGAGTTATAAGTCATTTTTGGTAGCTATAGGCCCAGGCAATGGGTAGAGATCAAGATGGGATAAATGGTAAGATCAGTAGAGTATTGCTCAGATAAATATGTAAGCTATTTTACTGGCACACTGTATCTAGTGATATTAACATGATAAGCTATAGGTAGGATAATTTCTCATCAGATTGCAGAAATACATTTATAGCCTATTTCCTGTTATATAATGAAAAGCTACTAATGGGGTAGTAGACAATGATATGGGTAATAGCTTAAACAGCCTTCGTTGTCACTTACCTGAATTCAGGAATGACAGGTTTCTTTCATGCATGAGGTACTGGATACATTAAACACACACACACACACACACACACACACACACATATGGCATTGAGTTCTAGTCATATCCTAAAGAAAAACTATGGTGCGCTATGTTATTTATAGTACTATACTCTGTGTGAGTGACTCTGTGTGTATGTGTGTTGGTGGAGGTCAGGGATGACTTGTTTGTAATATACCTTAAGGAAGTCTGTCCGAATTTGCCCTTCAAATACTAAATAAATTCATCTCTCACCTCAAACTGCCTTTCAGTTCCCTTTTACTAATTTTGTTTAAAAGAAAGGCAAGTGAAGGCCAGGCATGGGGGCTCACACCTGTAATCCTAGCACTGTAGGAGGTCAAGGCAGGAGGATCACTTGAGCTCAGGAGTTCAAGACCAGCCTGGGCAACATAGGGAGACGCCATCTCTACAAAAAAAAAAAAAAGAAGAAGAACCTGGGCATGTGGTCGCATACCTGTGGTCCCAGCTGCATGGGAGGCTGAGGTGGGAGGATTGCTTGAGCCAGGGATTGTACCACTGCACTCCAGCCTGAGCAAGACCCTGTCTCAAATAAAAATAAAAATAAGACAGCTATTTTACCCTGTCTTCACCTAAATAAGCTCATCTTATTTTTTGCCTGAAACTCTTGCAAACTCCCAGGTCTGCTAGTTTTGAGAAACCTTGGATCTCAATAAGGAATAGTTCTCAATTGCTTATAAGCATAATGGATTTCTTTTGGCTTAAAGTTCAAAACTGGCAACAAGCAGCGCTAGCAACCCATAGAGAGATACGCAGACCATTTCGATAGACGTGTTTGCTGAGTGAACAAGGCTGACTGAATTTTTTTTTTTTTTTGAGGCAGGGTCTCACTTTGTTGCCCAGGCTGGCGTGCAGTGGTGCAGTAGTGGCTCACAGCAGCCTTGACCTTCTGGGCCCAAGTGATCCTCCCTTCTCAGCCTCCTGAGCTCCTGAGTAACTGGGACCATACGTGCACCACCATGCCCAGCTAATTTTTTAGATTTTTTTGTCTCCCTATGTTGCCCAGGCTGGTCTCAAACTCTTGGACTCAAGCCATCCTCCTGCCTTGGCCTCCCAAAGTGCTGGGATTACAGGTGTGAGCTACTGCGCCCATCCCTGAATTCTTAATTACAACTAAACTAGATGCTTATGGATTTTCCTGTTTTACAACTCTTGCCTCTTTTATCTGTAATTTTAAGATCTTGACAGCTTATATTTGGCTTTGCTTTTGTGTCTCAAGAGTTCTTTCCTTGATAAGCCTCTGTGGAAACTACAGAATCTTACAAATATAAAACATTTCCGGAAAAAATACAAAAATGGACACCTGACATTTACACTCCCTAAGGTCGTGATCCTGTTGAAGAAAGGAGATGAACGCGGCTGCTTTTCAGTAGTTCTTCACTTCACCTTACCAGGTTCTTCATCTGGATGCTATGCTATGGGGGCCAGAGGAGGAGGCTGGGATTGTGATGGATCCTACTAGATTTTACAGCTGGAGCTCCCAGGAATGCCCTCATAGGGAATGTCCTGAAGGGAATCATGGGTAACTTGTAAGCTACCTCAACTTATTTTTGGAACTATGTAAGGTATAAGATGGATGGAGCTGGGTTCCTGTGCCTTTCTCACCTTGTCCGCATAGAGATGCAGCTGCTCCTGCAGGCCAAAGTTCTGCACCAATCACCTCCACCTGCTTCCCACTGGGAGACAAAGGTTTGAAAGCCTGTTTGGCGATGAACCACGATGATCTGACACTCAAGCCACTCCTGAGAAAGTCGGGTTTCTTTCTGTTTCCATTTATATATGTAATTTTCGCTTCAAACAAACATGACCTCGCTATTCTATGCACAGTTTTGAATCCTGCTTTTAAAATGCGATGTCTGCCTTGTCTTTAAATATTCTGAGGGGGAGGAGAGGAGATGTGTAATGCGACTGTCTATAATTTGAAACCGGACCTCACTATTTAGCGTCTCAGAAAACGCGGGGTTCATTGCCCTGGTCCCCCCCGCCTTCCCCCGCCCCCCGAACCTTCCGGCTGGCTCTCTTGCGGTCCCCGCCTCGGCGCTGATGTGGTCTGGCAGTGGAGATTGGCGCCCGGGCGGAGCACGATGGGCTTCCCCGCGGCAGGCAGGCAGGCTGCTGCTGCAGGTGGGTCCCGGCGCCCGCGCCGCCCCGCGCCTCCGGCGGTCGCCCCGCCCCTGCCCGCCCGCTCCGCTCCGCTCGCATTGGCGCTGCCTGCTGTCTGTCCCCGCGCGGTGGGGAGGGGGCGCACCCGGCGGCGGGCTCTGCAGAGGGCGCCTTGCTCCGGGTGCGACCGCGGCTCCCTGGAGGCCTGGGCGGCGGGCCCCGCGAGCGCGCCGCCACCTCGGGAGCAGTGTTGGCCAAGGACCCCGACGCCCTACGTAAGTAAAGGCAGGGCGGGGAGCCTGCGGGGGAGGAGGGTCGGGGGCAATGTCCGGTCCGCGGACCGCGGAGTGGGCAAGAGGTGCCCACTGGATACGGGGTATCCGAGCCCTCTGAGGTGCTGGGAGTAAGAACGCGGGAGGTCGCTTGTCCGCTGGAATCCGCGGCCAGGGCGACCCTCATCAGGTCTGCCCACCTATCCCCTTCGCGTTACAGCTTGTCTTAGAAGCATGGGTTGCCGGTGGCTTTTTTCCTTCTTTATCCCTCTTTGAGAAATGTGATTTTGGGTTTCTGGCCATTACATTATAATTCTGCAGACAGCCTGAAGCTGGGTTATCTGTTCCACGCCCCCGGCATTTTCCTTTTTGAGTACTTTATCCTGCGCTCTGTCTCCTGCCATAAGGGGCGTCAAGCCAGAATTCGAGATTCCTTCCTCCAGGAGGAAGCTTCGTGGTCCGTATCTGGTGCTGGGAAAGATGCATTGCTTTCCTCGGGTACTGGCTGCTCAAGGGAAAAAGGAAAGGGGGTGTTTTCTGTGACATGAGACTTGCAATTCCATCAGGAAATGAGCACAGGGACTTTAAGATTTCCTGAGGCGATAAAGCTACCCTTGCTGGTTAAGAGCGAATCATTTGCAGTCTGACATTCTGCAAAGTTTTATTGTCTACAGACTGCATTATTTTCCCTCGTTAGTTAAGTTTCTGTTTGGGTATTCGTTTTATTTCTAGTATGTGAGATACATTCAAGTGAGCTTCTCAAACGATTGTCTTTGCGCAATCCAGGTTAGTTTCCAATGACAGACTCCTAAACATCTCATTTCAATATTTCTATTATGTGGTAATACAGCCTCTGCTTAACAAAAATGCTCAGGTGCTGAAAACTCACAAGAGGTGAGAAGATTTAAACAGTTATCAGCTTAGGTTCTAGTGCTCACTGAAACATTGTGAGGAGAAACACTGTCAAATGTTCATATTTTAGTTCCGTCATTGTTCTAGAATGACTTTATCTTTCTGTTAGAGGCACACAGTATGAAACACCCAACCTAAGATAATATTTACTTAGATCATAAACTGATTTTCAGGGTTCCAGTTCCTTCTACAGTTCATAAAATTATGGGTTACCCAAATGAAACTTCAGTGAAGGATTTACATAAAAACAATATAAAGAATGAGTCCCTTTGCTTATTTTAGGGCATCCACCCACTAAAATTCATAGGATCTTTGTTGGATAATCACCTCCCATTTCCATTCTTTGGTGCCATCATACCATTCTAAGGATTAAATTTTCAATACACCTTTATATTATCTAAGTTTGCCAATTGCATAGTTTGCCAACTTATTTTTGGCTTTTAAATTAGTTCCTGAACCAAAAAAATAAAATATAAAGAATTTCAAAAGCTTGGTTTTCAAATGACAAGAACTCAGTCTACTCGTGGTTCAATTATGAGTTGATAAGTGCCTTATGGTTAAATGACCATTAATCAATTTTTTAATTTTTTTACTAATGAAACACTGCAGATTAGTATCCCCAAACAATTCATTTTCTGACGAAACTCTTAAAGCCCAGTTTCAGAACATAAGCTTTAAGCAACAAGCAATCTTGTGTTAATCTGAGCTCTGTTACAGCTCTGCCGTAATCTCAGCCAAATTGCTTCATCTGTACGTGGTGATACCACCATCTTTGTAATATTGTGGTGAGGATTAGAGATGTATGTAAAAGTGCATGCACTGCCTAATACCCAAGAATTGCTCAATAAATGTCAGCTATTACTACTCTTACTGACTTCCAACTATGTGCAGATTATGGTGGAAACATGTGATACAGCAGATACAGTACTTAAATGAAAATGTCAAAATTGTACAACTAATTTAAGAGTGGGAAATGACAGTAATGCTAAATTTTCCTAAGAATATGTATGAAAAATAGCACTTCCTTGATGGAACATACATTTTTAGAACAGAAACCTTATGTTATAATGGTAAAACTAGAGAGTCAAAGTCTCTAGTTCTAACTCTGGCTATGACCTTATCTAGTTGCATGGCTTTTGACAAGACAACTGCTCCCCTCTGGAGTTCAGTTTTGTCATCTGGCTGGATTTGAGTAATCTCAAATAATCTCTAAAGTCCTTTGCAGCTTTAAAATTATCTATTGAGTGTGATAAAGATTACATCAGCTTGCTTTTCATCCTGCACTTCATTTTTGGTTCTTGTTGTTTGCTTAACTTGCACTTTAGAGTCATAAGCAATTCACACAGACAACACAACTAAAGAACTGATAATATCAGACTTGCAGGGTAATCCAAAATGAAGTTTCAACAAGGAGGATAAAACAAAATAGAATCACACTGAACTCTTTAATAGGGCCAAAGTAAACCCCAATGTTTATTCTCCAGTCATTTCATTAAGTTATTATATGGAAAATATGCCTGGTAGAATCTTATACATTCACTGAAATAGTCTCCACAGAAAATAATAGGCTCATAGTGAAATAAAATACCACTTTCTTTTCTCTCATCAGGTTGATCTTTAAATAAAGCAAAAATTTATCCAAAGAAGGGCTTTCATCAAGAAATTAAAGAGAGAAATTACAAGCCATAGAGAAACTGGGCATTTCTATACTAGAGAAACCACCTAAAACAACTGTATGGAGTAAGATGAAAGGTATGAATATGCCTGGAAGAAATTTTACCTAGTGTGACATTTTTGCTCATCTTTTTGTCACAAAAGGCTGCTAAGGAAGAGAGAATACAGTTTTCTAGAGAATAAGAGTGCAGTGTAAAAATGGAAACCACAATTTCAGAAATTCATGTAGAAAACAAGGATGAGAAGAGATCAGCAGAAGGTAGTCCTGGGGCTGAAAGGCAGAAGGAAAAGGCATCCATGCTTTGCTTCAAGAGAAGAAAGAAAGCAGCCAAAGCACTGAAGCCCAAAGCTGGCTCTGAAGCTGCTGATGTGGCAAGGAAGTGTCCACAAGAAGCAGGAGCTTCTGATCAGCCAGAGCCCACACGGGGGGCCTGGGCCTCACTCAAACGTCTTGTAACACGCAGGAAAAGGTCAGAGTCTTCAAAGCAGCAAAAGCCATTGGAGGGTGAAATGCAACCTGCAATAAATGCTGAGGATGCTGATCTTTCTAAGAAAAAGGCAAAATCTAGACTTAAGATTCCCTGCATAAAATTCCCAAGAGGGCCAAAAAGGAGTAATCATTCCAAAATTATAGAAGACTCAGACTGCAGCATCAAAGTCCAGGAAGAAGCTGAAATTTTGGATATACAAACACAGACCCCATTGAATGATCAGGCAACAAAGGCTAAGTCAACCCAGGATCTAAGTGAAGGCATCTCACGGAAAGATGGTGATGAGGTCTGTGAATCAAATGTGAGCAATAGCACAACTTCTGGAGAGAAAGTGATTTCAGTAGAACTTGGATTAGATAATGGGCATTCTGCTATTCAAACGGGAACTCTAATCCTTGAAGAAATTGAAACGATCAAGGAAAAACAAGATGTTCAACCCCAGCAAGCAAGCCCACTTGAAACTTCAGAAACAGACCATCAGCAGCCAGTACTTTCTGATGTTCCTCCTTTACCTGCAATTCCAGATCAACAAATTGTGGAAGAAGCCAGTAACAGTACCCTAGAAAGTGCACCAAATGGAAAAGACTATGAAAGTACAGAGATTGTAGCTGAAGAAACTAAGCCAAAAGATACTGAATTGAGCCAAGAATCAGATTTTAAAGAAAATGGGATCACTGAAGAGAAATCCAAATCAGAAGAAAGCAAAAGAATGGAGCCAATTGCTATTATTATTACAGACACTGAAATCAGTGAATTTGATGTTACAAAATCTAAAAATGTCCCTAAGCAATTCTTAATTTCAGCTGAAAATGAGCAAGTAGGGGTTTTTGCTAATGATAATGGTTTTGAGGATAGAACTTCAGAACAATATGAAACACTCTTAATTGAAACAGCCTCTTCTCTAGTCAAGAATGCTATTCAGTTGTCAATAGAACAGCTGGTTAATGAAATGGCCTCTGATGATAATAAAATAAACAATCTTCTACAGTGACTTACTCTCCAGAGTCACGGCAGAAAAAACAAGCTTAATGAAGAATTCTTTTATACATTTGTGGCATTTCTTACTCAGTAACAAATGAGAGATTTATCATCTCTAGAACTTAAAAGGTACAATTCCAGCGCAGAAGTGCTAAAGATTAAGTCAAGTTTATAAAACTCTACCACTGAAATGCAGTCACTTCTGGATTGGAGGAAGTCAGCACAGATTGCAGTGTAAAATGACATAACATACAGGGAGTTGCTAAAATGGCATATGGAGATTGGAGTGCTTTGGGGGAGGAAGGTGTATTTATTGAGCACTTATGGTATGCCATAAGCTTTTTAATGACCTCTGATATAACAAAGTCTGGTTTCCTTTTGATAATTCAGCTCTGTGTATAGGCTAACATCACATTAAGTTTTTAAAAACTTATTTTTTACAGTGCACATATATGTTTAAAATGGTGAATAAGGTGAGCTACTTTTGTGAATGTGATTTGTAATTGTTACATTCCTAAGCAGCAGGCTTAACTCAAAAAATACATTGCATTTTCCCAATTTCAGCAGATAGTGTGCAGAATATGCATATTGATATTAAACGTGAGTGGTTTCCTAGTCTTAAGTCTCTTATAAGCGCTATTTGGCCAGGGGCAGTGGCTCACGCCTATAATCCCAGCACTTTGGGAGGCCAAGGCGGGTGGATCAGCTAAGGTCAGGAGTTCGAGACCAGCCTGGCCAATGTGGTGAAACCCCATCTCTACTGAAAATACAAAAATTAGCTGGGCGTGGTGGTGCACGCCTGTAATCCCAGCTACTTGGGAGGCTGAGGCAGGAGAATTGCTTGAACCCGAGAGGTGGAGGTTGCAGGGAGCCAAGATTGCACCACTGCACTCCAGTCTGGGCAACAGAGCGAGACTCCTTCTCAAAAAAAAAAAAAAAAAAAAAGAGAACCATTCACAAATCCTTCAATCAGGCAAATTGTTACTAAGTGCAAAAGTGTAGAAACAGGGAGAGTGGGTTTTTCCCCCGCTTTTCTTTCTGCCTCAACAGATCTGTATATATCCATTTCTGCATGGATTTATCTGTGAAAAGTTAAAAAATGAAACAGCAAAAACAAAACAAGGGGAATATTATTCTTCATCCAGGAGAAGGGAAAATTCCCAAGTAAATTATCACAGATAATATAGGATTCATCTTGCAGAATTACTTCTTTAAGAGCCATATTCATCAACTTCTCTCCAAAGAGGGGAGAGTAGATTCAAAGCCAGCCTGGTAGTAATGGTCCTGGAAAATCCTAATAATCTAGTGCAAATATTTATTCTCGGCCAAAAATGAGCCATGAATGTGGGTGAATAGAAAAGTGAAAAGTTATTGCTAAAGCACATTATAATTTAAATGTCAGTATTCCTTCATGTCTGTGTGTTGAGACCAGTAAAAAGCATTTTACATGAATATTGAAAGTTAACTTTTTCATCACTATTTTCTTTTCTTTTTTTTTTTTTTTTGAGATGGAGTCTCACTCTGTCGCCCAGGCTGGAGTGCAGTGGCGCGATCTTGGCTCACTGCAAGCTCCACCTCCTGGGTTCACACCATTCTTCTGCCTCAGCCTCCCAAGTAGCTGGGACTACAGGCGCCCACTACAACGCTCGGCTAATTTTTTGTATTTTTAGTAGAGATGGGGTTTCACCGTGTTAGCCAGGATGGTCTTGATCTCCTGACCTCATGATCCTCCCGCCTCGGCCTCCTAAAGTGCTGGGATTACAGGCATGAGCCACCGCACCCGGCCTTCATCACTATTTTCAATCCAGATATACTTTACAAAAATGAGAAGGGCTTATTTGCATTTTTATTTACATATTGAAAGGGAAGCATCTGATCTCATCAATGATTGCCATATTTTTTGAAAAAGTAATCCTATTTCAATCTTTCCTTGTGTGAAATGGCCATAATACCAGAGTGCACTTCCCTACCTCACAGGTTAGGATTCAAAGTGTGTATTCCCCCATTGTGTAAATTGAGTGATTGTGTTACTACTTGAAACAGATGAAGTAATAAAGATGAAGTATGAGATGTAAGGTATTTGTTCAAGAGCTCCACTTGGAGGAAATAATGCACATTAGATGATTTTAAATGATCTGGGTGAATTCTTGCATTGTGTATGGATTGCATATAGAAAGTATTTGCTACTTTGTCCTACAGAATCATCTTCATTTCTTTCTGTAAATACATATTGAGACCTCTAACAAAAGAAACTAATCTGACTTGGAAATTGAACCAAATCATGGATATTATTAGCAAGATTCTTTGCTGAAGTGCAAAAATATTTCCCCCAGATTTTCCTACCTTCATGCTTATAATCCGGGGAGGAGGGTGGAAATCCTGAGCAAGATGAAAAGTGTCATTCAAAACACATGACCCAAGAAGTCAATTTCTTTTAATTGTACAACTTTTAAACATTAAAAACAAAAAAGACGAGTCATCTTCTCTGAAAACACTCTTTAACTCACTATATGTGGTGCTAATGGACTTGGACAGCTACCAGCTATCATATTTAAAAGTGAACCATTTTAAAAACCTGACTAAGGTTGGTGCATTTTACAGTGTATTGAAGAATCCTGCCCTCATTTACTGCAAGGATGCCTCCAAGCCAATACACTTGCATTGTAAATGTTTAGTAATCTCATGAACAAGCAAAAAGTATAGTACTTAGCAGTTATTGGAAATATTTTGGGGGATTTTTAAAAAAACAGATAAATGGTAAATATGTGCAATGAATTTTTTGGTTAAGAAAGTAAAATTTTATCTAATACTAGGTTTTTACTTTTTTCACTGTGGTTTGATATATATTTTTGGTTAGAATGTACTGATTGTTTTTATGATAAGATGTATATTTTACTTGCATTCATTCTTAAGAGGTTTCTGTTTTTCTATTGAGAATATCTGTTGAATTAAGTAGGATTTCAGTTAGAAAAAGGAATTCCGAAATTAACTGGTCTCAATCTGATTATATGTGCTACATGGCCAAATCCTATTACAGTGAATTCTAAGGTGATTCAAATTGTTTTATTGTTATAGAAATATGCAGAAATCAGATGGCTTCAGAGTCATAAAATATTTTTCTTGTAATAGTATTTAAGCAATTTGACCTTATATGCAAACGTTAAGTGAATATAAATAAGTTCTGTTTCAATTCATGTCCATTTAACAACATTAAAATAATTATTAGGAACACCACATGAATTTTCTTTACATTTGCTGTGGTATAAATTCTGCTTTTAATGAATGTTTATTTATTTATTAGCCAAAATTCAGTTTCTCTTTGAACCCAGAATTTTGCAAAGCTGGGGGTTGGGGAGGGGGATTATTAGCTACTTGTTAACTTTTTCAGCATATTATCATTCCTCTTTTAAGACTCAAGTATTATTCACTTTGCTTCTTACAACCCAGAGAATGTGAAAATTCTCCTCTATTTTATGTAGCACTATTCACTTAACATTTTTTCAAAGCACTTTATAGGATATAAAAATAGTACCCGGTAACATTTAAGTAAAGGTAGCAGAAAACAAAAGAACTTTCAAACAGAAATTATGTTCCCTGCCACCTCCTCCACCTCAAAGAATAATAAGCATGTGGCATAAATGGAGTTGTTCAGAAAAGCTGTCTGCATAATTTTCCTTCAAGGTAATGTATTTGACAGCATGAAGTTTGTGATGATCTTACTTGGTCTACTACTCAGCGGAGTCTTAGAATCTCTTTTATTTACTTCTGAGAGATTGTTATTTCACCAGTATATGTGAACAGGCTTGCTAAAGGCATTAAAGATATGGATCATGGAGGCACCAAATTTGGCTTCTGTATGCAATCCAGCATTAACTTCATCCATACATTTCTAACTTCATCCATAAATTTCTAACTTCAAGTTACCTTATTTTTTATAGTTAAGAATGTTTTTCGAGGTTTACAACAGAATTTAAAAAATAATTGTTAGGCTTTAGAATCCCACTGTTTGAAAAGATCCTTTTAATGTCAACTTTATTGAAATATGTAGTCTACTTTCTAATTTCATCTGATAATATAGCAGGATTTGATTTTTCTGCCTGCCATTTGTGCATTTAAAAAAAAATCCTCATTTAAGATTTAGAGTTCTTTAGGTTCAAATTCCTATGATGTTTTATTGGGTAACATGAACTCTCTTATACATAATTCAAAATTTCAATCCATGGTATATTTTATGGTACATTTTGAAAAGAAAATTTGTAATGCTCCTTAGTTACAAAAATTAGAAGGAAGCTACATAAAATTCAGGTGTCCTAATTAAATTCAATTTGATTCAACACACGTATTAGGCATAACTCATACCTAACACTATTTGATAAGGGAGACAGGCTCCCTGCCATCCAAGAACTCAACCTAGGGAGCAGTGACAACAGAAACCGGGTTGGGTTAAGGCAAAGAGCCATGGATAATGCTGCAACATGAGTGGCACAGAGGGGAGTACACAGAGAGAGCAATTAATTTGGTGTGGGGAAGGTGGTGATCTGAATACAGCAGCAGTTTGAAAGTGTTCCGTTTTTAAATAAACAGTATGCTTATTTTGATTTGTGACTAGGTGTAGAAAAAAGCCTGCATAGTGTTACATATTTATAGTAGTTCTTTGTAAAAATGTTAAGTGGATGAGCTATTATGAAAGTAAAAGTTTCATTTTTTCTCATTAAAATTAGTACTAAATTACTATGGATCAGATGATAATATTAAATAGTACTCTGTAGAAAAAAGGTTTCAAGTTGAATTAATTTATGTACTGATTATTAATACAGAATAAATGTTATATTGACTCATGTTTATTCAGATCTTTTAAAAGAACTGTGGGCAAACTATGTTCATTTCCTATAACTGTAAAGATCACATTGATGGAACTACTGAGTTCGCACTACCAAAAGTTCTACTCTGCTAATTGGGAATTGGACAGAGATTTTACAACAACACTCCTAAAACAGTCCTTCAGCAAGACAAATATAAACACCTACAATGCTGAACTAATTCAGCCAAAAGGGCAGTTCTGAATTTGATGACATTTGTGAATTTGACAAAAGCACACTGTTTTCATCTCTTGATATACTCATTATTTTCTGCATTAACCTATGAATTGTTCATCTTTATGATTTTTCAAAAGACTAATCAATGTGAAAATGCTAGAATTATTCAGACGGTACATACTAAAGGTGGGTGTTTAAAAAGTTCTGTGTTTACTAAGACACTGATTTCATTTTGGTAATGTTAACACTCTATCTTTTCGTAACCACAGCCCGATGATAACAATCAGGCTCTAGGAAGGACTGTACTTTCCAAATCTTGGAACCAATTTAAAACTTGATAATACCTTAAAAGTCCTAAAACGAATCTGGCTTCAAAGCAAAATGTCTTCTTAATGTACAAACACTGTAATAGGGTAGCTAATATTTCACATTTTGCAGGATTTTTAAAAGTTTTATGGCCGGGCGCGGTGGCTCACACCTGTAATCCCAGCACGTTGGGAGGCCGAGGCGGGCGGATCACAAGGTCAGGAGATGGAAACCATCCTGGCTAACATGGTGAAACCCCGTCTCTACTAAAAATACAAAAAATTAGCCAGGCGTGGTGGCGGGTGCCTGTAGTCCCAGCTACTGGGGAGGCTGAGGCAGGAGAATGGCGTGAACCCGGGAGGCAGAGCTTGCAGTGAGCCGACATCATGCCATTGCACTCCAGCCTGGGCGACAAAGCGAGACTCTGTCTCAAAAAAAAGTTTTATTAAATCTCTTCTTGGTTTAAAAAAAAAAAAAAAGATACACTACACTTCACAAAAGTTGTCCTCACAGGCAATTCTGCTAATCCCTTTTTAGACCTACCTTTAATGCTGACGTCTGGAGTCCCCAACCCTTTTGTGAATACCTACTTTTCTTTCTTTCTTCCTTCCTGAAAGCTTAAGCTTACTGGGGGTTAAGTTCCCGAGCTTAGGAAAGAGAGTATGCGTGTCTGTGCACTACACATTCACAGAAAATCCTCTGCAAAACTGGGTGTGGGCACAATGAGCAGTGAAGGGAAACCTAGGTGAGGAGAGGATGGTGTGGCGCCGCGTCTGGGAAACTCCCAGCCTTAAAACTGTCTCCGTAAACTCCAGCCTATCATAACAATGGGAGCAGTGTCCAGCAGTTTCAGGACTTTAGCAAAACTAGATGCACTTTCCCCACCACTTGCTTTGTGGTGAAACTCAAAAAGAACTTTTGGCCTTGATATGACAGTGCTACTATGGGAGAAGGATTATACACTTTTCACAGCTATACTTGTGGTCTTAGGACCCAGGCCTTCCATTTCTGCACTCCTGGGAGATAGGAAACAAAAGGTGACACCAAAGCAGATGCAGTCATTTCTACACTTGTACCCGAACCTTTTATTCCCAAATCCCTACTCTGACAGGTCACAGGTCTGCTCAGTATGACTACAAGTGGGTTTCTGTACCACATCTGTGATAAAATCACCATCACAATGCAGCTTCAGGCATGCATGTGCTGCTAATCAAATATATATAAATTACAACGCAAAGGTTCCATATGGAATGGCCATTTGCAACATAAGAACTTTAGAATATCACTTCTGTTTAAACAGGTCTTCCAAAACTAGAGTATTTCTGTTTTTGTTTTTGAGACGAAGTCTCGTTCTGTTGCCTAGGCCGGAGTGCAGTGGAGTGATCTCGGCTCACTGCAACCTCCACATCCCAGGTTCAAGCTATTCTCTTGCCTCAGCCTGCCGCTGAGATTACAGGCGCCCACCACTATGCCCGGCTAATTTTTTTCTCTTTTTAGGAAAGACGGGGTTTCACCATGTTGGCCAGACTGGTGTCAAACACCTGACCTTGTGATTCACCTGCCTCAGCCTCCCAAAGTGCTGGGATTACAGGCGTAAGCCACCACGCCCAGCTCAAAACTAGAGTATTTCTATCCTCCTGACAGAATGACTAAGTTAGAACTGCCTCGTACTCTATATGGCTGAGATGCAGAAAATGCCAAAACAATTGGTCACGACTCAATTCAGGTAAAAAAAAAAGTCAAACTCAGTTTTTGATCTTTTATCCAAATGTTCCCTAAATAGCCTTATCAGTAATTGTCCTGATTTCAGGGTGAATTTGTTTAGAATTCTTTAAAAAACCCTCAGTATCTGGCTGTTGTGTTTTTCCTGAAGGATTAACAGTGAATAATGATAATCACTAGGGTTCATCAAACTCTAAGACTTATATTTTTCTGAGTGGTATGAATCTTTTTCTCATTAAGGTATAATTTACATACAGCAAAATCCACCCTTTTAATACAAGTTCTACCAATTTTGACCAAGCCATTAGTTGTGTCACCTCGGGGTAATTTTAAATCTTATTCTGATTTCTATACCACTTGTCTATCTTAGTTTAATCCTGACTAATCAGTGAAAACTGCTACTTGCTGCAGAAATTCAAAATAAGGGCTTCTTAAACCCAGTGTTTAAACCAGGATAAGGAAAGGCAAGGCTGTCACGCACAGCTGTGCCATTGGCACAGCACAACTCTGGGAGAAGCCTTCATTCAATCGAGGCACCCCCTAGCACTGTGTTGTGCATTGTCTGCATGGCCATCATGGTGGCTCTGAGCATAGCCACCAGTTTGAGAGAGCAGCAAAACTGGTATGTTAATAGTGAAATAGGAGATATTTAAGATTTTAAAAAAAGGACTCTTCCCTTTATATGTCTTTCCTCATAGACGTTAAAATATTGTGATAGAGGGGACAGAAACCACTGAGCTCACACCACCAGACAGCACACATGTGAAAAAAGAGCAATGTTGGGAAATGAGAAGTGGTTAGCTAGGAATACTGTTGAGATTCACTCCCCTCGAATCTTTGATCTGCATTTTAAAACCTCTTCCCTTGCCTTTGCAAATATGTTTTCACCTTCAAAAAGTAACAGGTGTGACTTCACTTTCTACAGAACCACTCCAGGTTCTTCAGGTTTTCCTCCCTATATGGTAGTTACCATAAATGCCAGTTCAAAAAAAAATTTTTTTTTAATTACCTGCATATGGTTTGGACTAAGTTTCACATGGCTTCCACTATAGAAAAAATGTGGCAGTGCTAAATACACAAGATCCCATTCCTCAAAGGCCTGCTGGATGCACATAAATCTGACACGGAACCTCCTGAAACTTGTTAATAACACAGACCAGACAAGGGATGACGACCACAGTGGGTGAGAGCCATCTTCTCCAGCCCCCTGGCACAAGCCTCTCCTGTTTCCAGGACAGTGGGAACACACCATTTGTACAGAGAATCTCTCTTGGAGGACTGTCATTCCTTCAGACGTTTGACATGAAAGGACACCATGGTGTTCCAGTAGCTTAATACTTTATTATTTTGATACAATATCACCAAATTGTTTCAATGAAAAACGTTTCAAACAGCGGAAGAGAATGTATCTGAGGGAGAGTGGGCTCATTTTCCAAGTTGGCTTATCAGCTGTAAAATAAACTTAGGAGAAGCAACTGGTGATTAGGTACAAAGTCCTAGGATGATGAGAATAATATTGTAATCAGAAATGAAGGGGGAGGCAGGCTGTATTCACTTAGTATTGGAAGGTGAGAAGAGCTGAAGGTAAGAAAACTCTTAACTTATTCAGAATGGAATGGGTTGGAAAGTATGAGAGAAGAAAGTCAGTTGTTGAACCACAGTTGGAAAAGAAAGTAAATTTCAGTAGGTAACATACCTCATAGATTGTGGATGTACAAAAAATGAACAAAAGGCAAGAAAGGAGCAAGGGAGCGTATTTACTCAAATGTCCTTCAATCTATGTCTTGACCAGGCAGAACACCAAAAACTGAGTGTGATGCCTGATTAAAAGAGCCCAAATTCCAAGGCCTCACAGTTAATGGCTTGGAAAAATCTTCAGAAATGCTCAATGTAGCACAATAATGTGATATTTTAAAAAGTTATCTGCTGAGATATGTACATGTAAATCAGAAGCATCTTGATTAAAGAGGGATGTCAAGATATTGCAGTACCTTATGAAATTTTAAGAAAATTCTCATTAGTCTTGACTCTATAAAGCATGATCCAAAAGTAGCTAAGCCCTAAATAATATTTACTATTAATAGTAATGCTGAATTCAAGTATAATGAACATTTTTTTAAAGGTACACTGGTGCCACCTTTTGGCCAGATTAAAAATTCACAGAAATTATAACCTACAATCTCAATTTCATGAAGAGACCTCTTTGGGGAGACAATTATTTAGTTCAAACATTATATGAATAGATTCAAAACTGTCTTGCTGATTAATACATCTCTGATTTTTAATAATCACATTTTTTCCTTTTATTTCTAATAATCACATTTTTATCTTTTAAAAGCTGGGATCAAGGATAATACAAATAGAATTTAATTCTGAACACATCTCATACTCCAATACTTGCTCTAAACATGACTAGAATAGAAATCCCCCAAATTGGGTTTCTTTGTATTCTTTTATTCCTGACAGCCATCACAAAACTTACTTTAAGGTCTCAGAAGGGTTGGTCAACCTCAGCTCTAATGACATTTTGAGGTACATATTCTGTATTGCGGGAGGCTGTCCTCTGCACTGAGATGTTTAGCAGCATCCCTGGCCTCCACCTACTAGATGCCAGCAGCAGCCTCCCTCATCGCCCACCCAACTGTGACAACCAAAAACATCTCCACATCGTCAAATGTCTCTATGGGGGGGGATAGCCCTGTGTAATGTTTAATTTTATGTGTCCAAATGACTGGGCCATGGGCTGCCCCAATAGTTAGTCAAACATTATTCTGGGTGTGTCCGTGAGGGTGTTCTGGAGGGAGACAAAATCTGAATCAGTAGACTGCGTAAAGAAGATCACCCTCCCTGATGTGGGTGGCTCTCATTCCATCAGTTGAAGGCCAGAATATAATAAAAAAAGAGACTTTCTCTGGCCTGACTGCTTGAGCTGCAATTATCGGTCTTTTCTTCCCTTTGGACCCAAATGGAAACATCAGCTCTTCTTGAGTTTCAAGCCTGCCAGCTTTTGGACTGGAACTTATGCCATAAGCTCTCCTGGTTCTCAGGTCTTCAAATTCAGATTGGAACATCACTGACTCCCCAGCCTCTCAGCCTCCCAACTGCAGATCTTGGGACTTCTCAGCCTCCATAATTACATGAACCTATTCCTTATAATCAATCAATCTCTTTCTCTCTCTCAGTTCTACCTGTTGTTTCTTTCTTTTTCTGGAGAATCCTGACTAATATACCTCAGTTGAGAACTACTATTGTGGATCATGTTACTGGGGGCAAAAGGCGATACAGTAGACTGTAAATAGAGAAGAAAGAAGCAGCTGGGCGCGGTGGCTCACGCCTGTAATCCCAGCACTTTGGGAGGCTGAGGCAGGTGAATCACAAGGTCAGGAGTTCGAGACCAGCCTGGCCAACATGGTGAAACTCCGTCTCTACTAGAAATACAAAAAATTAGCCGAGTGTAGTGGTGGGAACCTGTAATCTCAGCTACTCGGGAGGCTGAGGCAGGAGAATAGCTTGAACCTGGGATGTGAAGGTTGCAGTGAGCCGAGATCACTCCACTGTACTCCAGCCTGGGCAACAGAGCAAGACTCCATCTCAAAAAAAAAAAAAAAAAAAAAAAAGAAGAAGCAAAGCAAGAAACTTCTGGGAAATGACGAAATACTACCTTTCTTTCCAGAGACAGCAGTTGGAAAGCATTTGATTAGGACGTCAATTTTCGATTAACACAGATTATGGTCGGTAAGAATTAGGTCCACAAATGCATTTTTGCATCACACCTCCAAAATGTTACCCAGTACAAAGACTACTTGCCTCAACACTAGGAACACAACATTTGGCAAACACTGATGTAAAATAAGAACACATTCTATAAGCTAAGCTAATAAACTTGTTTTTGATTAAGTCACATTAATTTGTCTTGATAAAATATATGAAATTCATTGTTTCTTGCTCTGTCGCCAGGCTGGAGTGCAGTGGCGCAATCTCGGCTCACTGCAACCTCCGCCTCCCGGGTTCAAGCAATTCCTCTGCCTCTGCCCCCCTAGTAGCTGGGACTGCAGGCACGTGCCACCACACCCAGCTAATTTTTTGTGTTTTACTAGAGACAGGGTTTCACCATGTTGTCCAGGATGGTCTCGATCTCCTAACTTCATAATCCGCCCGCCTTGGCCTCCCAAAGTGCTGGGATTACAGGTGTGAGCCACCACACCCTGCCTTTTTTTTTTTGAGACGGAGTCTCACTCTGTCGCCCAGGCTGGAGTGCAATGGCGCAATCTCGGCTCACTGCAACCTCCATCTCCCGGGTTCAAATGATTCTGTCTCAGCCTCCCAAGTAGCTGGGACTACAGACGCGCACCACCACACCTGGCTTATTTTTGTATTTTTAGTAGAGACAGGGTTTCGCCATGTTAGCCAGGCTGATCTTGAACTCCTGACCTCTGGTGATCCGCCCACCTCGACCTCCCAAAGTGCTGGGATTACAGGCGTGAGCCACTGCCCCTGGCCAAAATTTTTGGCAGAGATGAGGTCTCACTATATTGCCCAGGCTGGTCTCGGACTCCTGGGCCTTGGCCTCCCAAAGTGCTGGGATTACAGGCATGAGGCACCATGCCCGGCAGATACACAACTTTCTAAAAGAATGTTTCTGAAGCAAATTCACAGTACATTAGGTGGATGAGTTTAGCCACACAATGTATTATTGATTTTGGTCTCCTGTATTAGCTATGTGTTACATGTACTTTGAAGATTTTTCAGTGGGTCTTTTTTATTGAACAAGTTTTTATAATCTAAGTTTATTTTAAAGTATAAGTTTATATTTGATCCATTCTGACTAAATGACTTTATTTAGCACAAAATAGAGGAGTTGATGACAGTTAATGTCAATTGCACCAGACCAATACTTAACTAATTAATCAAGTGCAGTACAAATACATACTGAAGCACAATGAATTCTTCCAGGTCTTCAAGACAAAAATCACAGTTTGTAATTCCTTGTATTTAAGACATCCAGGTTTGGGACTGTGCAATCTCACCAGTTTTCAAAATGTCCAACCATACAAACACAGAAGTACAGCAGAGAGAAATCATTTACAGACTTCACTCTTAAGAAATCAAAAATTAATAATTTAAGTGCCACAAATCTATATGTAGTTCAAAATATACAAAGACACAAATTACATTATGAAAATTCTTCACATGGCCCATTTTTACATCAATTACTACAAAAAATGGACATTTATCAAGTATCTGACTCACAACATCAAGAATGTGCCTGTACAAATAAATGTTAACGAAATTACACATTTTTCACACTATCTTTTTCCACGATTAATATGTATTTCCTTCAATTTTCAGTGAAGACTTTTCTAATAATACTATTATTACCTTCACCCCATTTCCTGTCCTCATCTACTATTTAGATCACCTACATCAAAGAAATAAAAATAGGCTGGGCCCAGTGGCCCATACCTGTAATCCCAGCACTTTGGGAGGCTGAGATAGGCAGATCACAAGGTCAGGAGTTCGAAACCAGCCTTGCCAACATGATGAAACCCCATCTCTACTAAAAATACAAAAATTAGCTGGGTGTGGTGGTGCGTGCCTATAGTTCCAGCTACTCGGGAGGCTGAGGAAGAAGAATCGCTTGAACCTGGGAGGCGGAGGTTGCAGTGAGCCGAGATCGCACCACTGCACTCCAGCCTGGGCAACAGAGCGAGACTCCGTCTCAAAAAAGAAAAAAAAACAAAGGTATTTATTTATTGTTTTTGTTCCTTTTCCTTTGTGTAAACAAAAACAATATATTTGGGAGAACTTTCAATAAAGCTGAAATTGACAAAGTTTTATTCCCAATAATGCCAAAGAACTAGTATCCTCCTTACTGAAGGCTAAAAAGAAACAGTGATGATTAAATTACAGTAGAACAGGAATTCTAGCAACAGTATTGTTTCTAGTTATTTGTAAAAAATAACAATGAGTTCTGTCAATTAGTTATTGAATATTAGATAGTACATTACTGCTTTTAAGAACATTTTAGAATTTATAGGCTGAAATACTAAAGTTAATAGGTCTAGCTACAGAATAAATGTCGTTTATATGGTTGATTTTAATCAATAATACTGAGAGAACTTAACACGTTTAATATAAATCCTCACAACACCCCTGTGAGGTAAGTATTGCTTACACCCACTTTACGGATGGGAAATCAGAAAGAGCAAGAAGTAACAATCTCAAGAGTTATAAATAAAAAAATTTTTTGTTTTCTTATAAGGCAGACTGTGCTGAGTTCTGATGATACGCTAATAAGAACAAATACTAAAACAGTCTCTATTTTTCTCCAGAAAACAACTGCGTGAGATTTCAAAAGAAGGAAAAATTTTAAGCTGACTCAAGGGGAAAATGTTTAGTATCTGCCTGATACACACGAAAGTGCATATGACATTTCCAGTTTCAAGCTTGGTAATCATTATGCAAACTGCACTATACTATTAGGATACTGGCTAACAGTATAGCTCCATTTTGTGGAGATGTAGTCAAAAAATAAAGGTTTTAGCTGGAAGAACTTTTTTTTTTTTGAGATGGAGTCTCGCTCTGTCACCCAGGCTGGAGTGCAGTGGTGCGATCTCCGCTCACTGCAACCTCTGCCTCCCGGGTTCAAGCTATTCCACTGCCTCAGCCTCTCGAGTAGCTGGGATTACAGGTGTGTGCCACCACACCCGGCTAATTTTTTGTATTTTTAGTAGAGACGCGGTTTCACTGTGTTAGCCAGGATGGTCTGGATCTTCTGACCTCGTGACCCGCCCGCCTCGGCCTCCCAAAGTGCTGGGATTACAAGCATGAGCCACCACGCCTGGCCTAGCTGGAAGAACTTTTAAAATACAAAGCAAATTTTCTCAGTGAGCAATCATGTCTTTAAAAAATAATACTCAGGGCACAGTGTTAGGCATATGACAGTTACTTTAAAAAATGCCTGCAGACCCGGGCGCGGTGGCTCATGCCTGTAATCTGAGGCAGGCAGATCATGAGGTCAGGAGCTCGAGACCATCCTGGCCAACATGGTGAAACCCTGTCTCTACTAAAAATACAAAAATTAGCTGGGCATGGTGGCACATGCTCAGGAGGCTGAGGCAGGAGAATCACTTGAATTCGAGAGGCGGAGGTTGCAGTGAGCTGAGATTGCACCACTGCACTCCAGCCTGGCGACACAGCACGACTGTCTCAAAAAAAAAAAAAAAAAAAAAAAAAAAAGCCTGCAGAATAAATGAAAACAACAATAACAAAAACTGGGGGTCAGTCCCACACCACTATTCACTGCATCTCTGGAATTCAGCTTTTGGGATTTTTTTTCTATAAAATGAAGTTGATATTTTCCCACTTCCTAAACAGAATGAATGTTTTAAGGAACAAGGAAAGAGCATTTGCTTTGAATTTCTAATATTAAAAGGAACTATAAGAATAGAAATACAGTTAACCACTATTTTCTTAACTCTCAACGAACAGATATATTTCTGCTTTAAATGAGTGTTGTCTATCACGGCCAATCAGCTGCTAGCAAACTCTTACCATTTATCCAAACTCTGCCCTGAGGCACTTGCTGTCTTATCCAACCAACCATGTACAACTCTACCTCCACCCTTTAGCTATATACAAGGATTTCCTGTGTCAAAGAATAATGAGTGGGCCTGGCACGGTGGCTCACACCTGTAATCCCAGCACTATGGGAGGCCGAGGCTGGTGCATGACCTGAGGTCAGGAGTTCCAGACCAGCCTGACCAAGATGGTGAAACCCTGTCTCTGCTAAAAACACAAAATTAGCTGGGTATGGTGGTGCATGCCTGTAATCCCAAGCTACTTGGGAGGCTAAGGCAGGAGAATCGCTTGAACCCAGGCAGCAGAGATTGCAGTGAGCCGAGATCACGCCATTGCACTCCAGCCTGGGCAACAAGGGTGAAACTCCATCTTAAAAAAAAATTAAATTAAAAAAATAATAATAATGAGTAGGCAAACAGGGAAGAATATAGAGGAGAAAAATTATCTTAATAAGAACAATAGAATTTGAATTGAAGAAGGCTAGGAAATATATCTTAACTAGCCTAAAATACAAAAAATCAATGTTAATACTTGTGTTCTTCCAATGAGATGATATTTTTGAGGGCAGTACAAATTTCAATAGTTGCTTAAGTGAATTGGTAGAAAAAAGTTTAAGATTAGACAAAGTTCTGACCCCAAAGAACATACATTTGTTTTAATTACTCCCAATACAATTGATCTTATCAAGTTAGATGTGCTCTCAACACACATCAGTCTTAACCATAGGAGCCTTTACTCACTTGTTTAAGGCAGAAACTCAACTGCCTTACACAATATCCAGTAGCTTTCTTCATTCAATCCTCAAGAAAAACTTACCACTTTGTAATTTACCTAAACTGTTTACCTAGAGAAAACCTTTGTGTCCTTAGAATTAGCTGGATTACTCTTTGAGCTCCCTCCTGATTGGACGCTGATGCTGTTGAATGTGTCAGGAAACGTCCTCAGAAGTGGAGGGAGCTCAAGAGTTTTGTAAGTGGTTAAATTCTAAGGCTCACAAACCAAATTTTTTAGATGTATTCAAATGCCCGTGAAGCTTAGAATTTAACAAGAGGGCAAAAAAAGATGAGTCTGTTTTATTATCCTTGACTATGCGGGGTTTGAAATTTAAACATTTCAGAAACAATTTAGATCTATCCTTTGTGGTGAAGCTTAACCAGCTATTTCCCAGGTATATAGAGCCGGGGAATCTGTTATTTCTTTCATCAACTTTAATTTTCCTGGGGTTTTAGCTTTGTAAGTGTCACCATTATAAAAGAGAGTTAAGTTGATTTATAGAGGAAAAGCTAACATCATGGATCTTAAATGTAGTTATAGAACACTGAATGTATCCACTTTGCTGGTTTTATGGATCAGGAAAAAAGTGAAAACTGTGCCACTGAAAAATTACTTTTTCAGTGATTTTTAGAAAATTAAAATCAACCCAGGAAGCCCCAAAAATCCTGACGCTGAGGGTAGAAACATGATTTATATTTTATCATCATTCTCTTTCAACTCATGTAAACCTCTGGTCATAAAATCTCAAATTACTTTTTAAGGTGTCTAAGAAAACACTCTAGACCAAGTTAACAACCCTGGGGTTTTTAGTCAATGCAGTTCTAGCTCAGTCTCTGTCTCTGCATGCTTATTTATCTATGTGTGTATATCTTACTGTTTCTTAAATATTTTTTAATGTCTCTCTGACTCTTCTCCCTTTAACTGTTTTTTTTATTAAAAATGAGATATACCACATCTGTAATCCCAGCACTTTGGGAGGCCAAGGCGGGCAGATGACGAGGTCAGGAGATCGAGACCATCCTGGCTAACACGGTGAAACCCCGTCTCTACTAAAAAAATACAAAAAAATTAGCTGGGCGTGGTGGCGGGCGCCTGTAGTCCCAGCTGCTCAGGAGGCTGAGGCAGGAGAATGGCGTGAACCCGGGAGGCGGAGCTTGCAGTCAGCCGAGATCGCGCCACTGCGCCCCAGCCTGGGCGACACAGAGAGACTCTGTCTCAAAAAAAAAAAGAGGTATACTCAATGTTAAAAAGTAAAGAGAAGCCATGTAGGTAAGATGTTGTGGAGCTAGTAGTTAAAAAATAAAACTACTCATGATTTGGTATATCTTAAAATAAATTTTTATACATTATAACATATGTATAACATACAGTTATGCATTAAAGTAACTATTAATTTCCTATATGGAAGAAAATATTTAAAAATAATCCTGGTAGGAGTGAATTCATGTGAAATGTAGGCAGAAGTGATAGTTTAGAATATGCTTTAAAACAGATTTCATTTACTTTATATTCAATTTGATTTTACTGATTCTATAACTGGAAAAACTTAGAATTCTATAAATAACTATTTAAGGTTTCCATATTTCTACATTGATTTCTGATTTCTAAATTGTTATTTCGTTTGTGAAAAGTTCACAGTAGTAATTGAATGTTACATTTTAATAGCCACATATTAATATGTCTTATGAGAAGATCTAATATATACAACCTTAAAACCATGGATAAGCTGTGAAGAAAAAAAGTCAATGAAACTTGAGGAGGAAAATAATTTATGAATTAAAAATGCCACGCAAATTTTCTTTTTCAGAATTGGTATAAAAATTCTGAAAGAGAAGCTGCTACTCAACTAGGATAGTATCCACATTTTCTTGTGTGAGCTCTGACTCTAAGGCACAAGGCAAGTCTAAGTGTTCTTGTGACAAGCGAGAACTTTTCAGGGAGACATCAGACCAGCTGTCACAGTATGGCTGAAATCTCTGGGCCAATGCATTACCAAACCTTTGGCATCGGTTATATCTGTAAGATTTACCTTTGTGTGTATACATGTGTTCCAACAATTGGCTCTTTCGAGGGAATTTATGACCACAGATGGTACAGCTCATTTTTCTTTTCCTTGAAAAAGAAAAATTACAGTTTAATTCTACTGGCTCTGTGTCTTTGGAGATCAAAGATACTTGACTGATCTGCAAAGGCTCTGTGGTACCCCGGTTGGTGTGGTCTGGCTGCTGTTCATTCTCCTTAACAATGAAGGAGCTGAGCCTGCGGCATTCAAGGGCCTCGCTGTTTTCATTAAGGGGATGCACTTCACCAAGGTCATTACTTTCCAGAATGGAAGCAGGGACACCGAATGGCAGGGATCCAGACACATGTGTATGGAGATGTTGCCTTAGGTTACTACGGGAATCAAAACGTTCCCCACAGTAATGGCATAAGTGTATTTTGACACTGTTTTCAGTAAAAGTGGGGCCTGTCACCTCTGATGAGGGTGAGGGGTGGCTCTGGGAGATCACAGATTCTGGGTCACATCTCTCCTGCTTGATGGAAACTGGGGGCTTCTGGTGCTCCTCCAGGGCCTGGGTGGCAGGACAGGCCCTCTGCTGGTCTGCAGTGCCATCATCCAGACCAATAGCAAGAGACAACTGCAACTGGGGGTGGTCACCCTGGACAGCAGCTCTGTTTCCACTGTTACTGGAAGGAGCTTCTTTGACCTCCAGTCCTTGTTTGACAACTGTTTTTTGGGTTGTTGAGATCTGAATGCCATATAAATTTGAGGACTGCACAGTCTCTGGTGAGAACACTTGATTCATTTCAGTTGCAATGTGAGAAAGGTAGTCGGCGTGAAGAAATCGAATCCCTTCCTCCAAACGACTATGATCCACAATCTGTTTTGGCCCTTTCCCCGTGTACATAATGTGCAACAAATAGCTGAATATGTCAGGTTGGATGTCAGTTGGTTGTATTTTTATGCATTCACTGTTAAAAACAAAAACAGACCCACAAGAAATGAAACACAACCTAGCTGGCCTTTCAGTTAACAGTATAGTCTGAGACTAAAGCAATTTCTTCCTAAGAAGTTCGAACCTAGCAATCTGCCTTAATAAAACATGGCAACAAAGGCTTAAACTTTCATTTTATACCAACTTTATGGCCTAGCAAAAAGTCTTCATGTATTCAATCTACTGCCTAAAGTTAGGAAACACAGACATACATTCTGAATAGTTCAACATTAATCAAGTGACTCCTAAGTGATATGCACTATACTAGATGCCAGCGGTAGAAAACTGATGAATAAAATAGGTACCTGCTCTTAAGGAATTTAACAGTCTATCAAGTAAACGATCAAAAGAACTAAAAACAGGGACTCAAACAGATACCTGTATGCCAATGTTCACTGCAACATTACTTACAGTAGCCAAAAGGTAGAAAGAAGCTGAGTGTTCACCAAAAGATGAGTGGATAAACACAAGATGGCTTACACACACAATGGAATATTATTCAACCATAAAAAGAAGGAAGTTCTGATACATGCTACAACATGGAGAACCCAGAAAATATCATGCTAAGTAAAATAAGCCAGACACAAAAGGACAAGTATTATATAAAATATCTAGAATAGGCAAATTCATAGAGATAGAAAGTAAATTAGCGGTTTCTGGGGGTTGAGAGGGTGAGATGGGGAGTTATTGCTTAATGGGTACAAAGTTTCTGTTTGGGGTGATAAAAAAGTTTTGGAAATAGACAGTGGTAATGGTTGTACAACATTGCGAATGTGATTATCACCACTGCATTGTATAATTAAAAATGGTTAAAATGGCAAATTTTATATGTTTATAGCCACAATAAAGATATCTTAAAACTTCTGAAAGAACCTATTGAAATCAGCAGGGTGCGGTGGCTCACGCCTGTAATTCCAGCACTTTGGGAGGCCGAGGCAGGTGGATCATCTGAGGTCAGGAGTTCAAGAGGAGCCTAACCAACATGGTGAAACCCTGTCTCTACTAAAATTACAAAAAATTAGCCGGGTGTGGTGGCGCACACCTGTGGTCCTAGCTACTAGGGAGACTGAAGCAAGAGAATTGCTTGAACCTGGGAGGCGGAGGTTGCAGTGAGCTGAGATCATGCCACTGCACTTCAGCCTGGGCACCACTGCACTCCAGCCTGGGTGACAGAGCTAGACTCCGTCTCAAAAAAAATAAAAATAAAAAATAAAAAAAACAAAAGTGTTATATGAAACAAAAATTAACAGCTTAGTGACTAAAAGCATAGACATAGCTTCAGACAAATCTGCATCTAACTTATTAGCTGTATAATCCTGCATGGGCATGTTACTTAACTCAGTCTCAGTTTTCTTTTTCCTGAAATAGGGACAGCAGTAGAATTTACATTATAGGGCAAATACTTAGTGCTTGGGTATGGGATAAGCCTTCAATAAATTTTAGCTATTCTTTCCTTTTTCTTTTTTTTTTTTTGAGACAGAGTCTCGCTCTGTCACCCAGGCTGGAATGCAGTGGCGCGATCTCGGCTCACTGCAACCTTCACCTCATAGGTACACGCAATTCTCCTCCCTCAGCCTCCCGAGTAGCTGGGACTACAGGCGCCCACCACCATGCCTGGCTAATTTTTGTATTTTTAGTAGAGACGGGGTTTCACCATATTGGCCAGGCTGGTCTCGAACTCCTGACCTTGTGATCCGCCCACCTTGGCCTCCCAAAGTGCTGGGATTACAGGCGTGAGCCATGGCGCCCAGCCAATTTTAGCTATTCTTATTTTCATTCTTATTTTCCATTATGGATCCTACACACTGAGTTTAATTACTAATGTATAAAAAATTATTATAATTTGGCCAGGCATGGTGGCTCATGCCTGTAATCCCAGCACTTTGGGAGGCTGAGGCAGGCGGATCACCTGAGGTCAGGAGTTTGAGATCAGCCTGGCCAACATGGTGAAACCCTGCCTCTACTAAAAATACAAAAATTAACCGGGCGTGGTGGCAGGCGCCTGTAATCCCAGGTACTCGGGAGGCTGAGGCAGGAGAATCGCTTGTACCTGGGAGGCAGAGGTTGCAGTGAGCCGACACTGAACCATTGCACTCCAGCCTGGGTGACAGAGCAAGACTCTGTCGCCAAAAAAAAAAAAAAAAAAAAAAAAAAAAAAAAAAAATTATAATTTTACTTCTTAGTGTGACTCCGTAACAAAGAATTTCCAAAATGATACTATAATAAAGCTTATATAAATCACAATATTAAAAATTCTTATTTACAAAAACACATCCTTACCTTGTTTGGTGAATAAATATCATCTTGAAATAGTTAGAAAAAGCAGCAAGCACTGCTCTGTGGGCTTTGAAGTAAACATCTCCAATTGCAACTGTGCAATCACACAGAAAACCAAATTCTCGCTGCATGTTCAGCTGCTGGAGAAGAACAAGGCTATGGCTGGCAGTGTCCATTGTGGTTCTGAAAAAAAGGACAAGATAAATGTAGATAGGTGTGTATGTATATACGCATTATTTTTTATTAATACAAAATTGTCTACAGTTCACACAAACCTACAGAGTAACAAGGAGATCTAAATTTAAATGAAATTATTCAAGTTTTCAATCCTATTACTTTCACTGCAAACACGGCTAACACTAAATTCCTCCATTATGACAACTGATATAAACTCTGCTGAACCATAAAATATGACCCTTTTTCATCTGGTAAGAAGATAGCTTGGTATGAGTGACACATGAAGACAGACCTGTCCTTTTCCATCTATGTGAACACAATGTTTCTAATCTTGTTTCCTCATTAGAAAAATGAAAATGAGATACTGATTCCTGCCTCAGAGTTAAATAACTTATGTGAAAATCATGTTGTAATGGAAACTGCTATTCGATGTTAGCTATAAATGTTAATAACATAACACGGTATCCTGGCTGAGCTAGAGATGTCACTCCTCCTCAGGGATCCTCTGGTGCTCAGGGGATACTGGCTTCCCAACTCTCATCAAATGTTTGGGGGACTTATCATCACAGTAGCTCAGGAACTCTTAAAATAGATGTCAAGCCACATCCCCAATTTACTTGTGGCCCAAGAGCCTCCTGAGAAAGAACTTAAGCTGGCGCAGTGGCTCATGCCTGTAATCCCAGCACCTTGGGAGGATGAGGCAGGAGGGTTGCTTGAGCCCAGGTATTGGAGACCAACCTGAGCAATATAGTGAAACGTCATCTCCACAAAAAATAAAACAATTAGCTAGGTATGGTGGCATGCACCTGTACTCCCAACTACTTGAGGGGCTGAGGCAGGAGGATCACTTAAGACTGGGAGGTCAAGGCTGCAGTGAGCTGTGATCACACCACTGCACTCCAGCCTGGGCAACAGTGAGACTCTGTCTCAAAAACACACACACACACACAAAAGAAAGAACTGATCTCAACTGGATTCAGACGCATATTATAATGTAGGTTCCCAAAGGAAGTAAAAGGCAAGGTGGAACAACTGCGGGGAAGCCTATATGAGGAAGAACATGCAGAATTCTGGCCAAGAAGCCGAGTATAAGCAGCAAAAACATTCAGAAGTGCCCTGGTTTCAGGCAGGTGGCAGACTGTACATCATCTTCTCTACCCTACTGTGGAGAGAGCCCTGGTACTTTAGGCAGAAGGTAGCTGTAGTATAAAGGGCATCATTGGGTGGCCAGGAGAACATCCTTTGAAAGAGCAGACACTGAAAAAGAGAATGAGGTTTCCACACCAGCCAGCCAGACCAAGGTCTAAGGAGGTCAGTGATGTAATGCAGGGTTAGCCGTCTAAAGATTGGCAGTGGCTTGGGCAGCAGACAGCTAAGTGATCAGTAATATAATAAATATAGCTAACATTTTATAGTGCTTCCTATGTGTCAAAAATTAGCCAGGCACGGTGGTGCATGCTTTAGTCCCAGCTACTTGGGTGGATGTGACAGGAGGATAGCTTTAGCCAGGAAGATTGAGGCTACAGTAAGCCATGATCATGCCACTGCACTTCACCCTGGGTGACAGAGCAAGACCCTATCTCAAAAAAAAAAAAAAAAAAAAAAGGCAGACTCTATTAAAACTACATATTTAATGTACTGATGTGGAATAATCCCCAAGTTATATTATTATTATTATTATTATTATTTGAGACGGAGTTTTGCTCTTGTTGACCAGGCTGGAGTGCAACGGCTCCATCTCGGCTTACTGCAACCTCCGCCTCCTGGGTTTAAGCGATTCTCCTGCCTCAGCCTCCCAAGTAGCTGGCATTACAGGTGCCCGCCACCATGCCCAGCTAATTTTTGTATTTTTAGTAGAGACGGGAGTTCACCATGTTGGCCAGGCTGGTCTCAAACTCCTGACCTCAGGTGATCTGCCCACCTCAGCCTCCTAAAGGCATGAGCCACCGTGCCCGGCCTAACAAACTAAAAATCTGTATTGACAATTTCAGCATGTGAAAAACGTGTCTTAGAATCAATGAAATGGTTCATATTGAAGCATCTTAAACTAGCCTGATAAGTTGTCTCAAAAAAAAAAAACAAAACCAAACCCTCGGATCATAAACATTTTCACCAGTTCTTCCCATTATATTGAACTACTGAACCATAGGGAAATGAGACATAGCACACTAATAAGCCACCCATACAGGAATCTTATGGTTAATGGTCTGTTGGTAACAGTTAAATTCTTCACTTATTCAACAGATATTTTTGAAGAGCAATTTAATAAAGAAAAAATGTGTAAAAGCCTGCATTGTACAAGGCGTGGAGACAGAAAAAAATGACAAGATGCTACACTCAAGATTACAGGCTCACAGGAAAGATAAAACATCAAACCATAATTATAATATGAAATAAATGCATTCAGTAGCACAGAGCAGTTAGAGAACATGCTATCAGAGGGAGATAAACACAGGCAACTTGATGGGAAACAAGGCCAGGCAGAAAAAATAAAATGAATAAAATTACTGGGAAGAATATGAATAGTTAGATAACAGAAGGATTCAGCTTGGCATAGAAAAAAAAAGTAACAGAAATAATGAAATGTGGTCAGTTCAAAAAGCATACAGAATATAAGACTAAAAAGTAGTGTCGTGTTTGAAGTGAACTATGTAAGATGTTTGAGTAAGAACAGCATGATCAGTTAACTTACTCTGTGGGAGGGAGAACAGAGCGTGGTAGTTAAAGCTTGAACTAAAATCAGACAGCTTAAAATTTTAGCTCTGCCATTTACTAGCTGCGTGGTCTTGGCAAGACACTTAACTCTCTGGGCCTCCATTTCACTTATAAAATATGGACAATGACAGTATCTAACTTATAGGTTATTTGAATTTAATGATATAATGCACTTAGAAACAGTGGGCCCACAGTTAGTGCCTAATAAATACTAGGCATTATCATCATCACCATCATTAGGCGTGAGTAAAGACTGCTCTAACAGCAACATATAAAAAATATTAGCAAGGGAAAAGGCATGGAGAAAGACTGGCTAGGAGCCTACTATGGTATCAAAGTAATCGCAGTGGGAATGAAGGAAGGAATACAAGAGATACATCAGACACAAAACTGACATGACTTGTCACCACAGAGATCAAATCAAAGGTGAGTCTCAGAATTCCAGCTTGGGTAATTGGAAGAATTCATCCATTCCTTCAGATTACATTTTCAGAGTAACTGCCATGTGCTAGGTGTTGATATAAAGGCAGAGTCCCAGAACATTAGAGAAGAAGTACAGAAACCGTCTTGATAAGAGGTTCTGAGACCCCACCTCAAAAAAAAAAAAAAGAAGAAGAAGAATAGGGGTTTCACTTCAGACACTCTGAGCTCCAAGTGTCTACCAGGTATCTAAGTAGAAATGTTTAGTGATCAGCGGGGACAAGAAGCAGGACAGGGCTCTAGAGAGAGCAGAGCCAGAGAGGGAGAAGAGGCCTCTGAAACGACAAGGCTGAAGTAACCAAGTATGAAAATAATAAAGTAGACTAAAAAGTAGAATGAAATAAGAGGGAAAAAAGCTAAGAATGAATCTTTGGAAAACAGAAAAGACAAAATAAGACAGAGGAGGAGAAAAAAGAAAACATCGTCATTGAGGAAAGGCAATGACCTTGCAGAAAGGAGATGGCAATGGTGCAAAACACTGAAGAGAAACATGGGGGTGAGGCCCATTACAAACATGTCGAGTGTACTGACCAAAAGATTCCTGGTAACCTCTGACAATAGTACAGGAAAGCAGCAAGGGCCAAATATCTGACTGCAGGGGATATTAGAAACCAGAGGCTAGGCCAAGCGCAGTGGCCCACGCCTGTAATCCCAGCCCTTTGGGAGGACAAGGTGAGTGGACCACTTGAGGCCAGGAGTTTGAGACCAACCTGAACAACATGGTGAGACCCCGTCTCTACTCAAAATACAAAAATTAGCCAGGTGTGGTAGCACATGCCTGTAATCCCAGCTACTTGGGAGGTTGAGGCAGAAGAATCACTTGAACCCAGGAGGCAGAGGTTGCAGTGAGCTGAGATCCACTGCACTCCAGCCTGGGCAACAGAGCGAGACTCTGTCTCAAAAAAAAATAAAAAAATAAAAATAAAGAAACCAGAGGGTATAAAGCTTAGACACAGACATGACAGGACAGGACATTAAGGAAGCTGCAGATCAGAAGACCCAAACATACCTCTTCCCTTTACATATGAAAGAAACCTGGAGTAATAAACTCTGAAACTTACATAGAGCACTGAAGTTTACAGAGAACTTTCATATACAATAACTTATTTCTCTACTTCAGATTAGATAATTTCTATTAATCTATCCTCAAATTAAATGACTTATCTGTCATATCTGATCTGTTAAATCTATTCAAGATTGTTTCAGATATTGTATTTTCAGATGTAAAATTTTCATTTCATTCTTTTTTAAAGTTTCTAATTCTCTGCTGAGATTTCCTATTTGTTCACATATACAACATTTTGCTTTACATCCTTGAGCATAGTTATAATAGCTGCTGCTTTAAATCTTCTCTGCTAAATCCAACCTTTGGCTAATTATGGGGTCAGTCTCCACTGATTAGGGTGATTGTTTCTGGATTATAGTCTAGGTATTGTGATTAATACAATTCACTCTAGATTCTGTAATATTCTTCCAAAGAGTGTTTGTGTTTTTGTTTTTTGCAGACAATTACCTTAGCTGGACTTAAACTCCAAGTTCTGCCTCCCCTATGGTGGACAGCAGCTGAAATCTCTGCTCCTTTAGCCTTAAGTGTGCTGTTTGGAGGCTGCTCCACACATGTACAGTTGAGGGGTTTGCAAGAAATTCAAGCAGAGTTTATAAACAGTGTTTGGGGTTCTGCCACTCCAACATTCTTTCTAGGATTTTCTCCTGCACTTTCCAGCTGCATGATCACTGTGAGCTCTGTCCTCTTTTCTTCAAGAGAGATTACAGGTTGTTATTACAGTTGTAGCCACCTCTTCATATCACCAGCTGGGACCTTATGCCAGTCTAAAAGCCATAAAAACAGAAGCTTATTCATTGCTGTTCTCCTCTTCCAGTTGCAGACCTCAATCTAGTTTTTGTAATTCTCAAATGCCATCTATTAATTTTTAAAACTTTTATCAGCTGGGCGTAGTGGCTCATGCCTGTAATCCCAGAACTTTGGGAGGCAGAGGCGGGCAGATCACCTGAGGTCGGGAGTTCGAGACCAGCCTGGCCAACATGGAGAAACCCCATCTCTACTAAAAATACAAAATTAGCGGGTGTGGTGGCACATGCCTGTAATCCCAGCTACTCTGGAGGCTGAGGCAGGTGAACTGCTTGAACCTGGGAGGCAGAGGTTGCGGTAAGCTGAGATCACGCTACTGCACTCCAACCTGGGCAACAAGAGCGAAACTCCATCTCAAAAGGAAAAAAAAAAAAAGTGTATCAAGTTTATAGTTATCTGCAGGAAACTGTCCTGATAGGAACTATTCAACCATTACCCCCTCCCCCAACATTGTGTTCTTTTTAAACGAAAGCAATTTATTAGAAAATAAATAAAAGAATGGCTACTCCATAGGCAGAGCAGCCCTACTCAACCATTACTGTTTATCAGCAGTTCTAAAAAGCTGTGGTCTCAAGATCCACTCACACTCTAAAAAGTATTACAGACCAGTCACGGTGGCTCACGCCTGTAATCCCAGCACTTTGGGAGGCCAAGGCAGGCGGATCACAAGGTCAGGAGTTCAAGACCAGCCTGGCCAACATGGTGAAACCCCGTCTCTACTAAAAATACAAAAAAAAAAGCTGGGCACAGTGGCGTGTGCCTGTAATCCCAGCTACTCGGGAGGCTGAGGCAGGAGAACTGTTTGAACCGGGACCTGGGAGGAAGAGGTTGCAGTGAGCCGAGATCACACCACTGCATTCCAGCCTGGGCTACAGAGCGAGACTCCATCTCAAAAAAAAAGTATTAGAGATTGTGAAGAGCTGTTGTTTATATAGGTTATATTTATCAATATTTACTATATTCAAAATTAAAAGAAATTTTAAAATATTTAAAATAGCAATAAACCCATTACATATTAACATATTTTTTCCTAAAAAATTTTTCAAAAACAAGTGAGAAGGGTGATATTAATTTACATTTTGCAATCCTCTTTAATATCTGGCTTTAACAGATACAGCTGGACTCTCTTATCTGATTCTGCATTCAATCTGTTGTCATCTCTTGTTTTGGTTCAAGTATATTGAGAATCTGTTCTTACATAAGGGAGATCCTTATTGACCCATGAAACCTCCAGTGGCTCCTTGGACTACACTTTGAGAACCACTGCCCTACACTATCTTTTTTTCTTTTAAATCTTGTGAGGTAGTAGAGCAGGTACTATCAGCTCTATTTTATGGCTGAGAAACCACAGGCTCAGAGAAGGCAGGAAACATACCTGAAGTCAAACAACTAGCTATTAAATGGTGCTGATAATACATCAAGACTGAGTTTAAACCCAGGGCCCTTTCTTCAAAACCCCATCTAGAACTTTCAACATTTACACTGTTGGCAGATTTTGCAAATATGTTGAATCAAATAAGGGAGTAAACTTTTCAAGTGTATAAAATGAAACAAATTAAAATCTATTAAAAAAAAAACACCAAGTACACATGAGGTGCATTCAAACTTGTTTTGCATAATAGGAGATCTTTGATGTTGTAATATACCAGATTTTACTTCAAATCAATAGCCCCATTCCATTGAGTTATTAGAACATTTTCTAATACAACCTACTCTGCAAATTATTAGCTAGACTTTTTGTATAGCCTTTGCTCATCATTCTTTGACTGTCTATTTTATTTTCTCTAGTATGTGAAATAGCTAAAGTTTCCCATGAATACAGAAAGAGCTTAGAAGTTACATTTGAGAATTTCTGGTGAGAATTTTAAGATGTGAGAGAAATTATGGAAAAATAAAGTATTTTATTATACTTATAAATACCAGAATCAAAATATGAGTGCTACATTTTTAAAAGTTTTATCTGTTATCAAAGTGATACATTATCATAATAGTTTTAGCATTGATATTTAAGAGATTACAAAAACCTTCTTTACCTTCTAGATTGTAGTAACTCTGGATTACTTCAAATTAAGATGGAACAACTTTATACTAGTATCTATGTTTGTTTAAAGCTGGCTTGATATTCAATACATATCTTTGATTCTTATGTATTTAGAAAAATCTACTGTACTAGACTGGACTCTCAGATCTATGGTAGCCAGCCGGATATCCTGGACTACACAGCTCTTCATTCTCTCAGGCTGTAAGAATCCTTAATAAAAAAGGAACAAAAAGAGCAAGACGACTGTTTCTGTAGGAAAACAGTCTTAGGTATTTTCTCTGTCAATGCTTACCACTGAGACTTTATGATGAATTTTCATTCAGACAAGGAGACAGGAAAGTTGGCAGAGGAATATGTACATCTTTTTTGAGCTACTTACTCATGGCTATAAATACAAAGGCAAAAGCAAAATATTTCAAGTGCCATATGATAAAAGACTTTATATAGCGACTAACTTTTTAATGGAACTTTCACATGACTGTAGAGGTGTGACATTTAATTATGTAGAGAATGAAACAATGTTTGTAGAAATCATTTTATCCTGAAACAGAGGTTCTTATTGCTGACTATACTGTAAAACCTTCTATGCAGAGCTGTATTGATGTCTGAGTCCCAACCCAGGCTTAGCCCAAACAGAATTGAATTGCTAGGGGTGAGGCACAGATTCTTTTTTTTTTTTTTTTGAGACAGAGTCTCGCTCTGTCGCCCAGGCTGCAGGCTGGAGTGCAATGGCGCGATCTCGGCTCAATGCAACCTCCGCCTCCTGGGTTCAAGTGCTTCTCCCGGACTCAGCCTCCTGAGTAGCTGGGATTACAGGTGCCCATCACGCCTGGCTAATTTTTATATTTTTAGTAGAGATGGGGTTTCGCCACGTTGGCCAGGCTGGTCTTGAACTCCTGACCTCAGGCGATCCGCCTGCCTTGGCCTCCCAAAGTGCTGGGATTACAGGCGTAGGCCACTGTTCCCGGCCAGATTGTTTATTTGTTTATTTATTTTTATTTTTATTTTTTTGAGACAGAGTCTCACTCTGTTGCCCAGGCTGGAGTGCAGTGGCACGATCTCGGCTCACTGCAAGCTCCGCCTCCCGGGTTCGCGCCATTCTCCTGCCTCAGCCTCCCGAGTAGCTGGGACTACAGGCGCCCACCACCACACCCAGCTAATTTTTTTGTATTTTTAGTCGAGACGGGGTTTCACTGTGTTAGCCAGGATGGTCTCGATTTCCTGACCTCATGATCCACCCGCCTCGGCCTCCCAAAGTGCTGTGATTACAGGCGTGAGCCACCGCGCCCAGCCCAGATTCTTTTTTTAAAAAGCTTCCCAGGTGATTCTAACGTGACTGCTCAGTTAAGAACCACTGCCTCAGAAGAACACGGGACCAAGGAAACCCAAGAAATTATTTCACACTCTACAATTACATTGATATTTAAGAGACAATAAAAACTTTCTTTACTTTCTAGATTGTATAACTCTGGATTAGTTCAAACTAAGTAAGATAGAACAACTTTATACTAGTCTCTATAAATAAACAATTCCGTAAGAGTGTTCAAAGTATGGAAATTATGTTGACTACATTAAATGAACAAATATAAACAACTGTAATTCTAATTGTAACCTTAAAATATTGGCCAGATTAAGAAACAAAAGTGCTCCATGGCCAGGCATGGTGGCTCGCTCCCAGCACTTTGGGAGGCCGAGGCAGGTGGATTACCTGAGGTCGGGAGTTCGAGACCAGCCTGACCAACATGAAGAAACCCCGTCTCTACTAAAAATACAAAATTAGCCAGGTGTGGTGGCACATACCTATAATCCCGGCTACTCGGGAGGCTGAGGCGGGAGAATCGCTTGAACCCAGGAGGCAGAGGTTGTGGTGAGCTGAGATTGTGTCATTGCACTCCAGTCTGGGCAACAAGAGTGAAACTCCATCTCAAAAAAAAAAAGAAAAAGAAAAAAAAGAATCAAAAGTGCTCCTAAACTGGCAGGATGGGCATGGGTGGGGGGGTGGAGGAACACACTATTTTCAGACTTCTTTTCAAATAGTATTTAGGAAAAAGAAATATTTACTCTCTTACTCCATTACACCTAGATTGGATTTCATAACACCTAAAAATGATACAGAAATTCTAAATCTGAAAATACTGTTTGAGGTAAAATCTGCTGTAATTCCAGACATCTGCTTATTAAGATCTACTGAGAATGTTAGCAAAGAGGGTATGGAGGGGGTAGATGAAACAGGAAGAGTAGTTATGCTCTAGAAACCTTTAATGGAACTGGGAAACGTTAGTTTGGGGCCTCCTGCCTGTTGGCAGACATAGCCAACCTCCAAGCACCTCTAATTCCCATCTAACCAACATTACATTGTAGGATGCCTGATAAAGCCAAGCACACAAGAATACTAACAACAGTAAGCACAAATTGTTAATAGACCTTTAAAAAAAATCAGAACCCGGAGAAAGAAAGGAAAAGATTCCTCTCAGTCCATTAAAGACAAACCAAATTTCTAAAAGAAAAAATAAGGTACTCAAAGGACAGGAGAAAGATGGAAAATTATAATGCTAGTACAGACCTAGAATACAGTACAGGCAAGAGTAACTAAAACTTCTGGATACAAGTAAACCAATACTTCTTTCGCAATGGAAGTATACTCCCATGAACACACTACTCAAGTGGGCTAATAAAAACCTTTGCTTAAAGTGCTTGGAGATTTCAGAAAAAATAAAACATCCATGCATGACTGATTTGTAACCAGAGAAGAAATGAATTAGAAAAATATAAAAAATAACTGAACACTCTAAGCACTTTTTCTCCCAATAAAGCAAAAAAAAAAAAAAAAAAAAAAGAGAGAGAGAGAGAAAGAAAATTCCTGCTAGCAAAGGGAAAGCAGAACGGTAAATAAATGCCTATAATCCCAGCACTTTAGGAGGCCGAGGAGGGTGGATCACCTGAGGTCAGAGTTCAAGACCAGCCTGGCCAATATGGTGAAACCGTCTCTACTAAAAATACAAAAATTAGTTGGGCGTGGTGGCAGACGTCTGTAATCCCAGCTACTTGGGAGGCTGAGGCAGAAGAATTGCCAATAAGGGGGAAAAACTCAAATGTCCATGGATAGTCAAATGGATAAAGAAAACATGGACCAGGCACAGTGGCTCACACCTATAATCCCAGCACTTTGGGAGGCCAAGGTGGGCGGATCACTTGAGGTCAGGAGTTCAAGACCCGCCTGGCCAACATGGCGAAACCCTGTCTCTACTAAAAATACAAAAATTAGCCAGGTGTGGTGGCAGGCGCCTGTAATCCCAGCTACTCGGGAGGCTGAAGCCAGAGAATCGCTTGAATGCAGGAGGCGGAGGCTGCAGTGAGCTGAAATTACACCACTGCACTCCAGCCTGGGTGACAGAGGTAGACTCTGTCTCAAAAAACAAACAAACAAAAAAAACCCCAGAAGTATAAAAAAATTTAATCAATAATCCTGAAACTGATGTTTGTTACAAACACTTTCTTCTTCCTCCTCTATCCCTAAGCAGGTTCAAGTAGCAATATCTTTCCTTTTTAGGGAGAATACTATTCTGGTTATTTTCAAAACCTATTATTATAATAAATACTATATGCGAGGCCTTGTGCTAAGTGCTCTATATACACTATCTCTTAAAATCGTCACTGTGATGACTAATGTATTATTTTCATTTCCATTTTACAAATGAGGAAAAATCCTAAGCTTAGGACACACAATCAGCAAATGGTATAAAGTGGAGATAAAAAGCCAGGTCTGTCTCCATAGCCTGTGCTAATAAACTGGAGCAATATTTTCTTAGCTTTCTCTTCTTAAAAGACTGAAGTTCACATGCTATTTGGAATAAATACACAGAAAAGGGGCACAGGAAGTGGTGCAGAAAGAAGCACTTTATAACTTATCAAGATAAGAGCACCTGCACTGCTTTTTTAAAACAAGGAAAAACCCTGCAATAATATAAAACCCCCAACTCTTTTCTGGCCCTGTTATTGCTAAAATGGACAAGTTGGTCAGGCACCACCTACGGACCATAGCAAATAAATCACTTTGGTTCAGTGGTGGGGAGGACATTATGCAACACTTCCCAGCACAGCCCTGGCCAGGATATTTTACGGCCAAGGCACCTCCTCCCCAGCTAGACAGCCTGGCTCCTTCACATTCCCCTCAGGAGATAGGGTGGAAGCTCACAGCTCCACTTTGTAAGGCATAGAGGGCAGCTGAAAGTCCTGCTTGGCCTCTCTGGGCAACCACAGGCGCCAATAAATCAGCCACAGGCGATTCTCTCATTCCCTTCCCGGCTGAAACAGGAGCAAGATATAATGCAAAACAGCACTGATTGGACTTGAGAGATAAGCGATCTAGGCTTAAATTCTACTGCGAATGACTGTATTACCACAGCCCAGGTAATGAGCCTGTTTCCTCAGGCTTGTAACATGAAGACAGTACCATCTCCTTTTTGGTAAAGACACAAAGTTCATCTACGAAAGCAGCTAGTATGATACTTGGCCCACTGCAAGTACTCAGTAAACAGCGGCCAACTTGAGCAGAATCCATCTCTACTACATGCAAATAAGACATTCAAGGTAGGACTGGACAAAAAAGGTGTTAGCAGGTTACGTGGGTTCCTTTCTGTTTTCTTCCTGACCACACCTTGATATTTCACTGACTGCCAGCTCTCAGAATTAATCTGTTCCATGTCATATCCCATCAGTGTTCTGTTCCCTATTAAGGAGTTGATGTCCGATAACGGATTCACGATTTACCCTTAACTAAAATATATCCAGATTGTTAAAGAAGACTTTGATGCCTTAACATAAGGAAGCAACCAATGCTGCAAATAATAGAGAACAGCAATGAAACTTTCAGGGGTGGCTGGGGGGTGTAGGCTTTTAGTTCCAAAAATACACCATAGGCGGCCTACCTCACCTAGAAATACCATCAAACCCACACAGTGGCCATGCCTGACTTCTCCATAACCTGAATCAAGCCAAGTATATATAATGACCTCCGCCGGATACATTCTCTACAGGTGAGTGGGGTAAACTGGCACTGCGGTCCTGGCATGGTGGAGAGTGCAATCACCAAGGTGTCTGGAGCCTTGGAGTCTTAGCTATCAAGAGGTGTAGCTAGCTCCAGCTACATCACGCTCTTCAGGCCTGGTGTCTTCTCTGTAAAACGAGAGGGATGAAACAGATTTTCTATAAGGCACCTCTCGGCTCTAAAATTTAAGATTCCAAAGTGTACTTTACATACATGACAGAATCTTGTGAGAGGATCAACAGCTCTGCCAGGACTTGAGTCTCAAGAGAAAGAATGCCAAATTTAATCCCTTGGGGTGATGCGGGCGCTAACTGTTGAAACATGCTAGGTGCCGTCAGGTTCCAGGTACTACGTTGTGCTATGCGCTGCCTCCGCAACTGGTAACAACTGATTACTCCAAATACTGAGTGCCAGAGAAGACGGTGATAAGATGGGTCAAGCTTCAAAAAGAAAAACCGGATATGCTTAGAACAAGATAAACATAATTTGAAGATAGAAAAGGGGGGGATGTCTTCTTGCCCTAGAAACGAGGTAATCACAAGCTGGGAGTGGAAACAGTAGCCGCAGCGTCCTCCCAGCATCTGGAAAGTCGCCCGCTCGTAAGAGGGGTCGGCGCTACCCGAGGGAGGCCGCAGGCCTACTGGGGTTTCCTGCTGGGGGTCGCACCCGGACCCGCGGCCGGGACGGCTCTGCACCTTCGCGGCACCCCGTGTGCCACCCTGAATCAGGCCCCGGCAGCCGCTCCTACGAGCAGCAAAGGGTGGTTCTGGGTATTGTCGGCCCAGCGCTCACTCGCGGATGTATTTTCCTCCTGTGCCCTGCCTGACATCTCAATCGGACCAAAAACACCCCTCTCCCCAGCTACTTGCATCTGTCCCGCGACTGGTGCAGCTGCAGGCCGCCGCCCTGGGTGGCTCGCGGCAGGAGGGACTGAGCCCGGGGCAGCCCACAGGGGCAGGACCGCGTCGCTTACCCAGATGCCGCCGCGGCGGCAGGCCGACTCCTCCGTGCAGGAGGGGCGGGCTCCCAAGCCGCGCACTGCAAGCAGTGGCGCCGGCTCACGCACCCCTCGGCCGCCTCTCGCGCGGCTTCCCGCGCCGGCAGCCCGCGATGGCCCCACGTGACCGCGTGTCTGGTAGCAGGGGAAAGAGGGGCGCCAGGGCCGGGGTGTGCGTGCGTGCGTGCGTGCGTACGTGCGCGCCCTCCCGCCCGCCCGCCTCAGTGGCCGGGCGGGGGTCGGCCCGCGCTCTGAGTGCCGCCGCCACAGTTCGCAGTTGTGACTCTGTAGGCGGAAGCATAGGGACAAGCCTGAGCGTCACAGGCTCCCCACAAACAACCGCGTGACCCGGGGACTTTCCCCAGGGTGTGCAAAAGCACAGGCACCCCCTCAGTTCTGGGGTGAAGGTGGGGGTGGGGAAGGATGCGCCCGCGTGTTCGCTGGGGAAGGGATGAGGGCGCGGGGCCAGGGAGGCCGAGCCGCGGGAGCCTGGGTGGAGAGGCGGACTGGGCGAGGTGGGGCATGGCGGGGGAAGTGACTCAGGGCCAGAGGCAGCAGGCCCACGGAAGGTGGGGTCGGGGGGGCGCGGGGACTGGGCGACCCTGAACCGACGGGGCAGGGCGAGGTTGCCGGAGCACTCGAGGCGGACCGCGAGTGACGGCCCAGCTGCTGGGCCCAACGGGCAGGGGTCTGACATCTGGACGGAGTGGGAAAGCAGCCTCGCATCCTGCCCTGGGGAGTCGGGAGGAGCCCAGTTCCATCCAGCTGTGCAAACAGGAGGAGGAGGAGGTCCCAAGCCTACCCTTGAGAGGGGCAAGAGGGGTGGTCAAGCCGCCGCCGCCGCGACGGCCCCCGCGGTGCGGGTTGCGCCAGCCTCCTCGGAGCTCGACGCAGAAACTTGTTGCAACAAACAGGCGACCGCGGGTGCCCCTAGCAGCCAGCGGCAGAGTGGGTGGGCGGGCGAGAGGGAGGGGAAGGCTGGCGGACGCCGCAGCGAACTGGTGGGCAGACCCGGAGTCGCCGCGTAAGCGGGGCCGGCTCAGTGCGGTGCGGCAGGCGCGGCTGTGCGGCAGCGGAAGTCCTTTGTTGCAGCACAGTCCCTGGCAGAGCCAGAGCCTCTCCGCGCAGCCCAGCCCGAGCGCCGAGCGCCGCGCGCCGCCGCCACTGCAGCTCGCGGCCCCTTCGCCTTCGCCCGCCTTTCCCGCGGCTGATTTGCCTTAAACTCCCTAAAATCTCCGCAGCTCTGGTTCCTGTTGCGGCCGGTAAGTATTTGCCAGTTGTGGGGCTATTTGCGCAACTTTGGCCCAGGCCGGAGGGCGACGGGCCGCGGGCCTGGCGGAGTGCGGGGCCGGAGGGGCGCCGATCCGTGCGGGGAGCCGGAGCGCGGCGGACGCGCTGCGAGGACCCGGTGACGGGCGGCTGCCAGGCCGCCTGCTTGTTGCCGGCGCGTCAGGTCCCGGGCGTGCGGCCTCCCTGAGTCGGAGGCGAAGCCCCTACGGAGACTAGTTCCCAAATTAGTTACCTTCTTTTCTTTCTTTCTCTGCCTTTATTTTTTTCGAGGGGGGAGGGGAGGTGTAGACGGGAGGCGGGAGAACCCGGTTGATTGACGTGCCTAGAGCCCGCTTCTCTCAACTTACAGCTGCGGCTCGGCGGCGGGTGGGAGGGGAAGTGTCCCGGAGCCCGAGGCTGCAGACTTGGGCGCGCTCCGAGGGAGGAGGCGTAAGATCCGTGCAAATTCTTGTTACGCTGTTTCCCACCCCCTCTCGCCGGCACACACGCTTTTTGTTCAGTAAAAAGTGGAAGGTCTGAGTTTGGGAATTTTAAGTGGAAAAGATCTGTTTCTTGGGAAGGGAGTGCTTTCGCTTGCAGCGGTGGGCGCTTACTAGAAGTTCGGTAAATGTGTTGGATGCAGATCGGGAGTCGTTACTACTAAAGTATGTAGGCAGGGTCTGAGCTCAGCCACCCCACCCAGTCTCCCTTTCTACCTAAGCAACGCGTGTACATGATCTGAAGGGTTGACATGACATTTTCTAAATTGGGCGAATCAGGAAGAGGTTGATGAAAATCCTTGACGTTTTCTGGGGATAGGACATTTGTGTGTGATAACGTTCTTAAGTCGAATTTCAGTGTGGCAGTGCACGCAGATTCTTCATTGGTGTTAGTGTATTTCCATACGGTATGTATCAGTACAAGAAATAGTGTTCCCTTTGACACTCGAACCCAAGGAGTGGTCCGAGGCTTTTTGAGGCAACGTAGGATCAATGTCTCTGAAGCAGATTTGGTGAAGGATGCAGGTCTCATAATTTACAGAGCAATCACAGCCTTCTTTGAAACGGAGAAATTAGATTCTATGAAATTTTGTCAGTGCAGATAGATATGATGTGGAGAAACGGGGAAAATTGAGTACAAAAAGATGAGGCTTGAATGATGGCTGGCCAACATTTGCTCAGAACCTCAAAACTTTGCTTTTGAATCACTTGCTGGATATCTAATAAAGTCTCAATAATAACTGGATGACTTTGGGAGCTAGAAAGGGGGTTCCTCCTCTTAAAGAAACAGGAAACTGGGCCGGGCGCAGTGGCTCACGCCTGTAATCCCAACACTTTGGGAGGCCGAGGCGGGTGGATCACCCGAGGTCAGGAGTTCGAGACCAGCCTGGCCAACATGGCGAAACCCCATCTCTACTAAAAGTACAAAAATTAGCCTGGCGTGGTGGCGGGCGCCTGTAATCCCAGCTACTCAGGAGGCTGAGGCAGGAGAATCGCTTGAACCTGGGAGGCGGAGGTTGCAGTGAGCCGAAATGGCGCCACTGCACTCCAGCCTGGGCAACAAGAGCGAGACTCTGTCTCAAAAAAACAAACAACAACAACAACAAAAACAGGAAACTGAAGCATAGTAGAGGTGAAATGCTTTTCCAAAGGTTAATAAACATAACGTCTACAGTAGAGTCTTCAGTTAACCTCTTACATTCGTTTTATGAGCAAGCAGGCTTTCTCCATTAATACCACATTTTCATGGTATTGAATAACTCAGGTTGAACAGTCTTTCCTGAAGCCTTTCTATTCTTCCCACTCCTAATACGATGGCCTACTTTTTTGGGGTTTTTGTGGGGAAGGGACTGGTGTATCATTGTCAGAGAAAAGAGAAACCATATTTAACCAGGGCCTTAGCAGGGCATGAGCACAGTCACAGCCACTTGCTCTTGACCTTGTGCTTTGATTTCAGTTTAACACTTCTAAATTTTTGTACTGCTTCCTCATTCTCCTCTTTTGCCAGGCTCTGGGGAAGATATAGTTCATCGACCTTTTTAAGAGTATCTCGTTTTCTTTGTAGCATCATTTCCCTTTCTAATGTGCAGGAGAAAAGAAGTACCTGCTTTCAGACTTGCCCTCTAGCCAGGAAAAGCACTAAGCCTTTGGTGCAAAGGAGAGGAAACTATTTGGTATAGAAATACAGAAAAATTTCCATAGATTTTTGTTAATAAGCTGCAATCTGTTGTCTTCCCAAAAAAAATGAGGTATATTTGAGAAACATCTTCTTGAGAGGTCACTTTGGTCTCTATAGAATGTTTTCTCCTGACATTTTCTTCTGTGCTAGTATCTCATGCTAAAATGGTGAAATTATTTTTTCTCATATTCTTATGTGAACCAAATTAAGGGTTACTCGTGTCTATTTTTTCTCAAAATGGAAATGTTTTTTATTATAAAATCCATGCTCTTTGAAAAATTCAGCCTGTATTGAAGTACATAAAATACAAAAATGAAAGTCATTTTGACTCCCACTCCCCAGAGATAATCACCATGTACAGTTAATTCCTTGTTTAAAACGAGAGAAGGCAACATTTGATCACAGCTGTGTGTGCCTCACTCTGCCTGGGGATGGCCTGTGGTGATTCATGGACTCATGTTCTCTGTTCACATTACTCAGGTTGGTAAGAATTGCCAGGTAGAGGAAAGGGGAGTGTTTTGCATTGGGCTGATTTAAAATTATTTGATTAACTGGGCTGCTATTTTAGGTTTGTCCTTATTAAATACTTACTGTATCATGGTGGGCTATTTTTCATACTTTGTTCATGTTAATGTTGTTGCCCAGCCTCTGATGGATTGATTTACAGCAGCCAAACACATGAAAACAAAAGCAAACCCTCACCTTTATAGAGAGTTTCATAATTTATAATTAGGAAGGAGTGGGTATACTTGCCATGAAGACCACTGCCAATATATCCCTGTGCTGATATGGGATGGGGTTCCTCTTGATCAGCACCAAAGATTGCATGCTGAACATATGGAAAGGAAATTGGACGAAAGAAGGGTCAATGACCGCTGTTTTCAGATGTGGCATGGAAGAGACTGATACTGGGGAGGAAGCGGCAGGGTCTCACTCCTTAGCCATGTGTATTTAAGAAGAATGAACTGTGAAGAAGTTGATGATGATCTAAAAACAGAGCCCCAAAATAGTACATAGAAAGTTAATTACAACATTGGTTATTTGAGAGTGTTGGGGACGTGGGTGGTTTTTATACTACTCTGTCTTTGAATTTAAAATAGTTTTCAAAATAAAATTTGAAGATTAAAGAATTAACCAGATTTTCTTTTGTCTATATGAGATGCATGCAGTCGTTTTTAGAGATGAGTTCCATCCCCACTTTGAATCTGAAGTATTAGAAGAGGCATGCTCTGGTGGACAGTGGGGAGTTAGCAGATGGAAGGGGATTTAGGGAAGGGACTGGACATTCTTCCTGCAAGATGGAGCAGTAAGAGAATGATGAGAGCTTTTAGATTCATGAAAAAGGTGACTCTAGGAGGCTTAGAATGTTCCAAAGGGGCACTTCAGCTAATAGTCATATTCAGAAGAGTGTTGTCTGGTTTACACAAACTGAAACTTAGGGCTTTGAATCAAGAGTCTCAGCTTCTACTTACAAGATAAGCAGTTTTGGGGAAGTCAGCCACTGAACCTGTTTCTTCATTTGCAAAATGAGGATAATAAAAATACCTATCTCAGGGTGGTTGTGAGATCAGTTGTATAATGTATGGGAAAATGCTTTAAATTTTAATTTTAATTTTAATTTCCAACCACTATATAAAAGTTGCCATGATTGAAATAAACAAAAAATTGATAAGCAAAATAAAACTTACCTGTTTAAACATTTATTCATTCAAAAACTCATCAAGTATCAACTAAATGTCAGACATTCAGTAATGACTGAGATACTGCCCTGATGTCAAGGAGCTTGCAGTAAAGCAGGGGAGCCAAATAATTGCAATATCTGCCTTAAGTGTGGTAACAGAGCATCACAGTTGGGATGATGCATTATTGGTACCATATTGTTGTATGTATAGGCTGTTTTGGCAGCACAGAAGAGGCATCTGCCTCACCCTAAGATCAGAAAAAACTTCCCAAAGAGGCCAGGCACAATGTCTCTCACCTGTAATCCCAGCACCTTGGGAGGCCTAGGCAGGCGGATTGTTTGATCTCAGGAGTTTGAGACCAGCCTGGCCAACATGGCGAAACCCTGTCTCTACAAACAATACAAAAGTTAGCTGGGCGTGGTGCCGCATGCCTGTAGTCCCAGCTATTCGAGAGACTGAGGTGGGAGGAACGCTTGAGCCTGGAAGGGCGGAGGTTGCAGTGAGCCGAAATTGCCCCATTGCACTCCAGCCTGGATGACAGAGCCAGACCCTGTCTCAAAAAAAAGAAAAGAAAAAAGAAGTCCCAAACAGAGTGAGCTAGACATTGAAAAGGTTCTAAGCAAAGGAACAGCATGTGTGAAATGGCAAGGCTTTTGGTGTGTTAGGTTATTTGGGATCGGGGGAATCTTAAAGCTTAAAAATGGAGTTAAGTTTCTTAGAATGAACATGCATTTTATGATTTTTTAAAATTGGTTTCATTTTGTTGAATTTCAATTATATGATTGTGATGTTTTCAGGATTTTGGTTTGAATTAAACAAAACTGGAGCCACAAAATTGGAAACAATACAATTTTTTTTAAAATGTGTAGGATCTGGCCGGGTGTGTGGTGGCTCACGCTTGTAATCCCAGCACTTTGGGAGGCCAAGGCAGGCGGATCACGAGGTCAGGAGATTGAGACCATCCTGGCTAACATGGTGAAACCCCGTCTCTACTAAAAATACAAAAAAAAAAAATTGGCCGGGCGTGGTGGTGGGCGCCTGTAGTCCCAGCTACTCTGGAGGCTGAGGCAGGAGAATGGCGTGAACCTGGGAGGCGGAGCTTGCAGTGAGCCGAGATTGTGCCACTGCACTCCAGCCTGGGTGACAGAGCGAGACTCCGTCTCAATTAAAAAAAAAAAAAAAAGTGTAGGATCTGCTCAAAGAAGGAAACTGGGTAATCCCTCCCATCATCATAGAGCTGTCTCACCAGTTATTCATTCAGTAACACTTACTGAATACTTAATATTCCAGAGAAATGAAAAAGCCAAAGTCCTCGCCTTAAAGTTGCTCACAATCTCATGGGGGAGACCAACACATAATTATAACCAATTCTTATTTAGCACTTACTCCATGAGAGATATACTTAACAATAATTCTTCAGAGGTAGAAAGGATTACCATCCCTTCTTAGAGAATTGAAGCACAAATTGACTAAGCAACCTTCTCAAGGTCACACACTTAATAAGTGGCAGAGCCAGAATTTAAACCCAGGCAGTCTGGTTAGTTTGTGCTTTAACACCTACTTTATGTAGCTGTTCTGATTATTAAAATACAGTGTAAAAAGTGCAAAATAAAGAGGTAATACACAATGAGATCAAAACCTAAAATAGTGGGAGAGGAAGGTGTTACAGAGGCTTTCTGCAGGAGGTGATAAACTGATTTTTAAATGATATCTGGGAGGTTCAGACCCAAAGAACCAATCGGCATGAGTAAAACTGCAGGGGAAGTAAGAAATTTATGAAGTATACTGGATGTGTGTGGAGGAGGGTGAAGGTGGTGATGAGCAGTTTTATGTTGCTTGAACATGAAGTTTGAAGCAGGCAGTAACTAAACATGTAAGACTAGATGGGTGGGCATGGAGGGCTTTGTATGCCTCAATAATGATTTTATACTTTAGTCTGAAGATATGTGAGGGGAACCATGGTAGAATAGTGTGATATGATTTTTCTTCTTCATGAATCATCTTCAAAACAGCATTGCTCTGGGAAGAAAAAGATTACCTGAGAGTGAAGGATTTGAGAGACTGGTTGAGCCTATTTTAATAACTCAGGAGTGATAACAGAGGCCTTGCAAGAGCAGGAAAGGTAGGGATGGAGTAGATGGGCAGATTTGAGAAATATTTAATGGGAAAATTGGCAACACTTAATGGTTGATTATGAGGGAGAAGTTATAGGTAGCTCCCAAGTAGTCTAGGTGATTGGTACATAGTGGTGGCAGCTGAGACAAAATACAGGGAGGGGCATTTTTAAGTGGGTTCCAGACAAAATCTGAGTCCACAGAATTAGTACTTTGAAATAGAAGTCCTACAAAACGAACCCTAAGAATATGAATGCCATGTGCAATAAGGGATTTCCTGGTGAAGCGTTTTTAGCTGAGAAAAGCCTACTGTTTACACAGTGCCCTCTGGTGGTCAGAAGATGCTGTGCTGTCTCGTTAGGATGAATGGATTAAAATGTACTTTTCCTCCTCTGCTTCTGGAGAGGGAGAGAGGAATATTCCAGAAGCCACTGTGTTCCTTCTGCTTTCTGTGTGGGTAAGTTCATTTCTTAGAATATAATGCAACTGAACTACAGGAACATCTCACTTATTTGTAAGTTATTTGGTTGGCAACCTCAGCTATCCAGTGCCTTGGCCTGATGCAAAAGAGGAAGGAAATATGATCGCCTGTCAGCAAAATTCAGGAATTAAAACTTTACATCTTATGAGCATTTCCCTAGATCTTCAGAAGATGTTGTGCTCCCTCTTTAGGATGAATGGATATGTAGATTCAATTTTCAATGAGTTTTTGTCTAATTTCACAGCCAAGAAGAGATTGAAATGGTGGGCCACAGGAGATCAGCACACCTTTCAGAAGTGACAGTTGTTGGCTTGCAAGTAAAGAGACAGAAAAATACTAACTAGCCAACAAAGCCCAATCTCCAAAAGCATAACAGTCTGAGGCCATTTTGTGTAGGTGCAAACCCTTGCAAATTTGAACAACTACTATGTTTCAGCAAAACATAATTGTTTCAGAGGAGAAAACAGCCAGCCGGGTGATGCTATATGTGTAGGCTGCAGTTAGAGTAGTATGAAGAGCCCTAGACCAGGATTGAGGAGACCAAGGTCTTATCCTGACAGCCACTAAAACTAAATGTGACTTTGAACATACCACTTAACCTCTTAGGGCCTCAGTTTGCTTTTTGATCTATAAAGCAGTGGGTTGAACTTGATCATTTCATAAAATTCTATAAACTGTAATTATGACATTAATTTTTTTTAAATTGTACTGTGCTTGGATTGAAAAGGCAAAGGAACATTTGTCATCTCTAATTTATTTAAGAGTCCTCTGAGAAGTATGATTATCCCAATTTTATAGATGAGAAAATTGGGCTTAAAGAAGTTCCCGCATAGCTAAACTAGTGGTAGAGTTTGTATTCAAACAAACAGTATATGCTCTCTGGCTTCTTTTTTAATTCCTTCACTTGACAAGCACATATTAAGTGTCAACTATGTGGGAAGAGTGTGCTAGGCACAAGGAAAACAAAGGCCATTAAGCCTTGTCCCTGTCTTTGAGGCTTCAGTACAGTAGGCATTGCTGTATCACACTGCTCCTTGGATCTCTTGTCAGTGCTAATGATACAAGTAATACTACTGCACTGTTAGGCTTAATATATAGCTCCATTATGTCTTTAGGGTGTGGGTATAAAACTAAGCCACCATTTATATTATTGTTTCTATGGGAATATGTGTTTCAAGTTCCAAATAAATTAAAAATAAAGTTTTAGGATATAACCCAGTTATAATTGCAGAACTTCCTGTACTAAGTACTGAATTTGGAGTCTAATGCACAGCCACCAGTGCAGATAGTGCATAAAATTTTCTAAACTTGATCGTGTTTGTCACTTAAGTGCGTTGAAATAAAACCTCTTATCTTTGGGAGCCTCTACAACTGGTTATTCCTGGAAGTTTCAAGGAGAAACCTAGAGAATGTAATAGAGATTGGACCCTATACCCTGCAAGATGGTATTCTAGGAAAGAATTTTGCCAATGTGACATTATTTTTATAGATGGCAGAATCTTTAAGGTCATGATCTTGGGCTTAGAGTCATATTGCCTGTGTTCTAATCCCATGAAGTCCTCTCTTTGTGATATTACAAAGGTTATATAACACTGTATGCCTCTGTTATTTAATCTTGAAAATGAGTCTTATAGCAGCATCTACTTTGTAGGGTTTGTTACGAGGATTAAATGCTAAAATGATACTTATATATGCATACATACACATAAAATGATACCTATATATGGATACATACACAGATATGCACACATACACACATACATGTATATACATACATGTATATATGCAATATATGTGTGCATATCTCACACATATATATTGCATATATCCATATATATCCATATGTGTATATGTGTAATGTATCTGTGAGAGATATATATACATCTCCCTATACATCTGCCTGGAATAGAGCCTGGCATATAGTGAGACATAACAAATGTTAGCTATTCATATTATTATTGTATTACAGTTGTCATTTACTCTACTTTGATAACCTTCATCTACCAGTCCAGTAAAGCAAATCTACCTTCTGTCCTGTTACATTTCCAGCCAAGCTGCTGTGTACCCTCCTCAATTATTTACATACACATCTATATAAATACTCGAAATGCCTCACCCTTGCTTTCTGTTTATCCTACTCATTCATCAAGGCTTTACTCAAATCCTACATCCTTCCTAAAGCCTACTATTTTGGTATAATTAACGCTTTTCTTCTAAACTCTTGCTGAACTTTATTCAATATAGTTTATTTTTATTTTTATTTTTATGTTTGAGATGGAGTCTTGCTCTGTTGCCCAGGCTGGAGTGCAGTGGCTCAATCTCAGTTCACTGCAACCTCTGCCTCCAGGTTCAAGCGATTCTCCTGCCTCAGCCCCCCAAGTAGCTGGGATTACAGGCATCCACTATCATGCCCGGCTGATTTTTGTATTTTTGTAGAGACAGAGTTTCACCATGTTGGTCAGGCTGGTCTTGAACTCCTGACCTCAGGTGATCCACCCACCTCAGCCTCCCAAAGTGCTGGGATTACAGGTATGAGCCACCGCACCGGCCTCAATATAGTTTATTAAACTCCTCAAATTGTTTCTTGGTTTCAAATTTAATCCCTCATATACAGTTATCTCTATTGTACACCATCCTTCTCCACCCTCCATTTCAATGCTCTATCCAGTGTTAGGAACATTATGAGTATTCAATAGATTCTGATATTCTGATGTTAAAATGTAAGAATCCTTTCATTACATTTTAGACTTTTAAAATACTCTGTAATCCTCAAATCCATATGCATACATACATTCAACCTATAAGACATAGAAATAGGTAAAAGGAAACATATATACATAAATCTTCCTTGAGATCCAGAGGTAATTGTAAGTCAGAGATTGGGGTGCTGAATTGGGACTGTGATGCTAGGCTCTCTAGACTTTCACTGAGGCTAAGCGAATCATCTTCAAATGCCTCATTGGTGCTGCAAGTCTGTGACACAATTTAGAGGGTGATTATTTGCCTCACAGAAACACTTTAAAATTCCTTTAAGTTACTTCTTTATTCATTGGATATGCTTATTTATAGACCCTTAAATTATCATTTACCAAGGCTGGAGCAAGAGAAACTTCCAGCAAAACTGTTATTTCCAATTTGAGAGATCTAGCAATGGAGGAAAAATATTTCTGAAATCTTACTATGTCAGTGAGAAATTTACTGAAATAGCTTACACAGTATAACTTAGGGAACACATCTATTGAATAAGACTAGATTGACATGTATGGATAAAGCCACATTACAGATAAAGAATTCAGATTGGGGTAATCACTTGCTCAATAGCATCCAACCAACAAACCCTGTATTAAGGACTCATGCCCTGTCCTTGTTTAGTGTTCTTTCCGGAAGACCATACTGTATAGTACCAAGGAAGTGCCATATATAGAGGTTATTACTATCTGGGTGGTCAGGAGTCCTTAGTCCTAGTATGTGCTTCAGCACAGTTAACTATACCCTGATACATTAAAAACCATGTATCTTTGCCTTCTATGGAATAAGAATGTTAGACTAGATTAGATCTCTCTAAGCTCTAAAAATGTATGATTAAATTACTTAATATGCTTAATGTGCTTGGTGACTGTTTTTAAACTTGAGATGAGCCGTTAAACTTTTTCAGACTAAAATTTTAAAAATCCAGTATAAAACTTTTTGGATCACCTAACTCCTTAATTCTTGCTAGAGTTCTGCACAGTGGGTATCCTTCTAGCCTTAGTGTAACTCTTGGCATTATATAGCTTGTTTTCCTTATCCAAATGACATTAAGTCCTTTGAGTCACATTGGAGGTTCTGCTCTCAGACCTGAGCCCTTGACTTCTAGTTGTGCTAAACTTGTCCTACCAGTGATGCAGCTAGTAGTACAAACAAAAGCAATCACAGATTTCAGTCGTAAAAACAAGAACAGCTGAAATACAAGCTGTCCATTTACTTAAAACCTTTTATAGGCTTTACTAGAACATAAAGTTCATTAACTTTTTTTGGCAGCATTAATAAAGAGGTCAAAAAAATGAAAAAAGAGCAAACTCCTCTTGGAATTTGAGTGAAATTATAATTTAATGAAAGTGAATGCCTCATAATTTTTTTTTTTTTTTTTTGAGATGGAGTCTTGCTCTGTCGCCCAGGCTGGAGTGCAGTGGCACAGTCTTGGCTCACTGTAAGCTCCGCCTCCCGAGTTCCCGCCATTCTCCCGCCTCAGCCTCCCAAGTAGCTGGGAATACAGGTGCCTGCCACCACGCCCGGCTAATTTTTTGTATTTTTAGTAGAGACAGGGTTTCACTGTGTTAGCCAGGATGGCTCGATTTCCTGACCTTGTGATCCACCCGCCTCCGCCTCCCAAAGTGCTGGGATTACAGGCGTGAGCCACGGTGCCCGGCCTCAAAAATTTTTAATGAAAAAATTATCTTCAAGAGATAAGCTAAAAGTCTCACAGGAATTTAGATCCCTCCTCCCCTGCCGCATACTCCTCTACCTGTTTTTGGTGTAGTAATCCTTCTTAAAGCTTTTCTGGGCTAGGCACAGTGGTTTATACCTGTAATCTCAGCACTTTGGGAGGCTGAGGTGGGAGGATTGCTTGAGCCCAGGAATTCGAGACCAGCCTGGGCAACATAGCAAGACCTCATCACTACAAAAAATATACAAAAATTAGCCAGTCATGGTGGCGTATGCCTGTAGTGCTAGCTATTCAGAAGGTGTGAGGTGGAAGGATTGCTTGGAGAATGAGTACCCATATTAAAGCAGGAACAGAATGCTATTGAGGACATTCTGAGCTATGATGGCATGCCAGCCTGGGTAACAGAGTAAGACCCTGTCTCAAAAAAATAATAATTAAAATTTAAGAAAAAAGCTTTTCTGAATGAGGTGTAACAAGGACAGAGTTTCTGGTACTAATGTGTCAATGATTGCTATTATAAGTTACTGTGCCTAAAATCAGTTTTACTCAGAACTTGGACATTTGCATAATAATGTTACTTAAACTACAATTCTAGGTCAGCCTAAAAACTGTTGTGTTAGGATTAAAAATTAGACACAGCATTTGTTCAGCTTCCATTTGTTCAGCTTCCAGCTCTATAGGGGGAATATAGGAGTATAAACATGGATGCAGTGGGATTCACACTGTGATCCGTCTGACTGAGAGCACTTGTTCTTTCTACTACAGCATGATGCCTTCTTCTGTAGAGTGGGCGCTTTGCAGAATACGTGTTGAATGAAATCACTGATCTAGGAAAAGTAAAAATTCCTCAAATGAATACAGAATACTTGTGCTACTGCTGATGATCAACACTTTATACAGTGCCTGGTATACCAAAGGTAGTCAGTAAATGTTTGTTGAATGAATAAATGTGCATTAAAATGCTATAAGTGCTCTTATTTAAATGTTTTAGTGTTTTATGTTAATAAAAGAATATGTATTTTTACTCAGTTGAATTGTGACTATAGCTATAGATGTGCCTATCATATTGATCTTCTATGTAGTTGTATTAATTTTGGTTGCTGATGATAAAACTGCTGCTCATCTAGATAAGAAAGGGTCTTTGGAACTTCTGTGCTCTTTATATCATTATTTCAAGCCTGGACTATTTAATACTTGAAAGTTTTTATAGATTAACTACTGGCTTTCTAATGGACTGTTATTTGGAAGGAAATTTTAAGGTTATCAACTCAAACTTACCTGATGCTTAAATAAGCATCACCACCATTACAACATCCACTATTACTTTCATTATTACATGCCAAGCACGATGCATTTTACACATTGCCTCTGTGAATCCTCATATATGATACTGTATTTGAGGTATTATCCCTACCTTTTCAGTTCAGGAAACTTAGGGTCAATGAGGATAAGCAAGTTCCCAAAAGTGGCAAAGCTAGATAAGAAGCCAGGTCTGTCTGATCCTAGGCCCATGCTCTTTTCACTTATTATACTGTCCTCAATAGCATTCTGTTCCTGCTTTAATATGGGTACTCATTCTCCAAACAAGTTTGTTTCATTCTTGAATTACTCTTATTAATAGAAAGTTTGGTTTTTTAGAAATAATACCTATCCCTCTGCCTCTTACTCTATAGTTTATTATTTATTAAATGTCTCTCTGAATCCTAGAAAAATGACTATAGACATAGAAATTTCATCCTACTTAAAACGGGCTTGGGTCAACATTTTTGTGTATTTTTTTCATCTTTTTTCCCCCCACCTTTTGAATAAGGTTGTGGCGTGGATTTGTTTTATATAATTCTAACATAATTATGTATCCTGTGTTTATTTATTTGGCTCTCCATCTTGAACATTTTTCCCACTTCTGTAGTTGCCATTTAGAAATATATATATATATATATATATATATTTTTTTTTTTTTTTTTTTTTTGAGACAGTCTTGCTCTGTCAGCCAGGCTGGAGTACAGTGGCATGATCTCGACTCACTGCAACCTCCCTCAGCCAGGCTGGAGTACAGTGGCATGATCTCGGCTCACTGCAACCTCCCTCTCCCAGGCGCAAGCAATTCTCTTGCCTCAGCCTCCCGAGTAGCTGGGTTTACAGGCATGTGCCACCACGCCCGGCTAATTTTTATATATTTTTTAGTAGAGATGGGGTTTCACCATGTTGGCCAGGCTGATCTTGAACTCCTGACCTCAGGTAATCCGCCCACCTTGGCCTCCCAAAGTGCTGGGATTACAGGCATGAGCCACTGCGCCTGGCCCAGAAATACAATTTTTAATTCACTGCCACATGACAGTGAATTCTGGGGCGTAGATTTACCTTAAGACTCCTTTTTTTACTAGGCATTCAAATGAGAAGTAACTCATTAATGACTATCTTTGTGCATACATTGCTTTTTGTATTTAGATACATACTGAACATGATTCCTCACAGCTTTTTACAGATACCTGAGTTACAGAGGTTTGAAATATTGTACTTACTTGAAACTTGATCTGGCTTCCAGAAAAGGTGCAGTGGTTGCAATTTTAAGAAGGCAGCAGGTTTCATCATAAGCCATCTTCATTTCACCAGTCCTGTATCTCTGGCTATGGAACTTTATGTCTTAGAGGTGGCAGGATGGGCATATAGGTAGTAAAAGGGGCGTATGACCCATATGTGATCGCTGAGGAATGGATAAAAAGCAAATAGAAGTACGTAAACGTAGATACCCTTAATTACTACTACAGAGCTTGAAGAGTGAACATTTTATTTCTCTAAACAGCTTGTTACATGTTCTTTTTAAGTTCAGTCAAATTGCATAGGAACTTATTTTTAAGTAGAAGATAGATTCTGAAGCTTTATGTATACGGATTAAAAATTGAGGCTAAAATTTGATCTTATTTTAACTTTATAATATGATAGGATTTCTAGTGCTTTTAATACTTCCTCTCCTTTCTTCCTTATCCAAAGTCAGCTCCCTACACTAAAAATACTTAAATGCCCACTAATATTGTCTAATGTTAAATGAAGAAAACTAGTTGCAGAGAGGTATATATATATATATATATATATATATATATAGTATGATACCATTTAGGTTAAAAAACACAACAAAAGCAAAACTATGTGCCTGGCATCTCATAGGTACTCAATATGCTAACTATGTACATGTGCATCTCAACAAATCTGAAGGTATATAATCCAGAGTGTTTGGAGGGGTTACCTCTGAAAAGAGGTGTGTGATCTGAGGTGTGTTTTTATTCTATATGCCTCTATGTTTGAATTTTTTGCTACTTTTTTTTTTTTTTTTGAGATGGAGTCTCGTTCTTGTCACCCAGGCTGGAGTGTAGTGGCACAATCTCTGCTCCCTGCAACCTCCGCCTTCTGGGTTCAAGCGATTCTCCCGCCTCAGCCTCCCGAGTAGCTGGGATTACAGGCGCCCGCTATCACGACTGGCTAACTTTTTTTATTTTTAGTAGAGACAGGTTTTCACCGTGTTGGCCAGGCTGGTCTCGAACTCCTGACCTCAGCCTCACCCTTCCAAAGTGCTGGGATTACAGGCATGAGCCACCGCGCTCAGCCTTACTTTTTTCTTTTAACAATTAAAAAAAAAAAAAAATAGAAGAGGCCAGGTGCAGTGGCTCACACCCACAATCCCAGCACTTTGGAAGCCCGAGGCAGGAGGATCGCTTGAACTCAGGAGTTCAAGACCAGCCTGGACAACATAGCAAGACCTTGTCTTTACTAAAATATTAAAAAAAAAAAAACAAAAAAAAACTGAATGTGGTGGCATGTGCCTACAGTCCCAGCTACTCTGGATGCTGTGGCGGGAGGATTGCTTGAGCATGGGAGATTGAGGCTGCAGTTAGCTATGATCATGCCACTGCACTCCAGCCTAGGTAACAGAGCGAGACCCTGCCTCAAAAAAAAAAAAAGGAAGAAAACTTTACACTCTAAGGATAAATAAAATACCTTCTCAAATAAACCCACTGCTTCTTTATACCCTGAAATGCATGTTGAGCAACATGAGACACATTCTAACTCTATAGAATTATTGCTTCTTTGATAATTCAAGAAAAGACAAAGGCACTGATCAAACTTGTTTGGTGCCATTTCTATATAATCTAATAAGGTTGTTGTTGTTGTTGTTGTTGTTGTTGTTTTGAAACGGAGTCTCGCTCTGTCGCCCAGGCTGGAGTGCAGTGGTGCGATCTCGGCTCACTGCAAGCTCCGCCTCCCAGGTTCATGCCAGTCTCCCGCCTCAGCCTCCTGAGTAGCTGGGAATACAGGCGCCCACCACCACGCCTGGCTAATTTTTTTTGTATTTTTAGTAGAGACAAGGTTTCACTGTGTTAGCCAGGATGGTTTCGATCTCCTGACCTCGTGATCCGCCCGCCTCGGCCTCCCAAAGTGCTGGGATTACAGGTGTGAGCCACCACACCCAGCCCTAATAAGGTTTTTTTAAATTTTTATTTTTGGGATAGAGTCTCACTCTGTCACACAAGCTAGAGTACAGTGGCGTGATCATGGCTCACCACAACCTCAAAATCCTGGGCTCAAGCCATCCTCCTGCATCAGTCTCCCGAGTAGTTGGGACTGCAGGTGCATCATCATGCCTGGCTAATGTTTTTTTGTTTTGTTTTGTTTTGTTTTTAAGGCGAGATCTTGCTATGTTGCCCAGGCTTAATAGGGTTTTTAAAATAGATTATTTTAACAACACATGGCCAATCTTGTATCATCTATTGCTCCCCACACCCACCCCATTTATTTTTAAGCATATCTCAGATGTATCATTTCATCTGTAAATACTAAAGTATATATATCCAAAAGATAAGGATTCTTTTTAACACAATCAAAATACCTTTCTCACACTTAAAAAATGAGCAATAGCTCCTTAGTATTAATCATTTAATAAGTTTTTCATACTTTACAATCTAATTGTTAACTTTCAGTTTAAGTTGCTGTTTTATTTACTTTCATTACTCATATCCTTCAAGAGTTGTTTTCTTTTTTTTTTTTTCTTTTGAGACAGAGTCTTGCTCTGTCATCCAGACTGGAGTGCAGTGGCGTGACGCAACTCACTACAGCCTCTACCTGTCGGGCTCAAGTGATCCACCCACTTTAGCCTCCCAAGTAACTGGGACTACAGGTGATGCCACCACACCTGGTTAATTTTTTAAACTTTTTTGTAGAGAAGAGGTCTCACACTATTGCCCAGGCTGGTCTCAAACTCCCGAGCTCAAGCAATCCTCCTGCCTCGGTCTCCCAAAGTGTTAGGATTACAGGCGTGAGCCACTGCACTCGGCCTCCTTCAAGTATTTTTAAATTAATGTCTTTTTTTCTGTTCAAATTTAGTGTACATGTTCCCCCCAAGAGTTGTAATGAAACTAAAACTGTCTTTTGCTTTTGATGCCTTTGTTCAATATGAAAAGCCTGAATAAATGGCTGGATGTCTTCATCTTCAAATTTAAAAAATGATTCAAGTATATATTATTGAGTTTTATTAGAATGGAAAGCTCTTAATTTCTTGATTGTAATAGCAGTCATGCAAGTCACAAATCATGATAAAAGTTAATTTTGTCAAGTGCTTTTCTATATCTTGTTTGACTTTAATATTTTTGTTTTACATAGGTCTCTAATTAACAGAAGATGGCAAAGCCCAGCCACAGCAGCTATGTCCTTCAGCAGCTAAACAACCAAAGAGAATGGGGTTTTCTCTGTGACTGCTGTATTGCAATTGATGACATTTACTTTCAAGCACACAAGGCAGTTCTAGCTGCCTGTAGCTCCTATTTTAGAATGTTTTTCATGAACCATCAGCATAGTACTGCACAACTGAATCTCAGCAACATGAAAATTAGTGCAGAATGTTTTGATCTCATTTTGCAGTTTATGTATTTAGGAAAAATTATGACAGCTCCCTCCAGTTTTGAGCAGTTTAAAGTGGCAATGAACTACCTACAGCTATACAATGTTCCTGACTGTTTAGAAGACATCCAGGATGCAGATTGTTCTAGTTCAAAATGTTCCTCTTCTGCTTCCAGCAAACAGAACAGCAAAATGATATTTGGGGTAAGAATGTATGAAGATACTGTGGCTCGAAATGGCAATGAAGCCAACAGGTGGTGTGCAGAGCCAAGTTCAACGGTAAATACACCACATAATAGAGAGGCTGATGAAGAGTCTTTACAATTAGGTAATTTTCCTGAGCCACTATTTGATGTATGTAAAAAAAGTTCCGTGTCCAAATTATCTACTCCAAAAGAACGTGTGTCAAGACGCTTTGGGCGGAGTTTTACCTGTGATAGCTGTGGATTTGGCTTTAGCTGTGAAAAATTATTAGATGAGCATGTGCTAACCTGTACTAACAGACATTTATACCAAAACACAAGATCTTACCATAGAATAGTAGATATTAGAGATGGAAAAGACAGTAACATCAAAGCTGAATTTGGTGAAAAAGATTCTTCCAAAACATTTTCTGCACAGACGGACAAATACAGAGGAGACACAAGCCAGGCTGCTGATGATTCAGCTTCAACCACTGGAAGCAGAAAAAGTAGCACAGTGGAGTCTGAAATAGCAAGCGAAGAGAAAAGCAGAGCTGCTGAGAGGAAAAGGATTATTATTAAGATGGAGCCAGAAGATATTCCTACAGATGAACTGAAAGACTTTAACATTATTAAAGTTACTGATAAAGACTGTAATGAATCCACTGACAATGATGAATTAGAAGATGAACCTGAAGAGCCATTTTATAGATACTATGTTGAAGAAGATGTCAGCATAAAAAAAAGTGGTAGGAAAACTCTAAAACCTCGAATGTCAGTAAGTGCTGATGAAAGAGGTGGTTTAGAGAATATGAGGCCCCCTAACAACAGCAGTCCAGTACAAGAGGATGCTGAAAATGCATCTTGTGAGCTGTGTGGACTTACAATAACCGAGGAGGACCTGTCATCTCATTACTTAGCCAAACACATTGAAAATATCTGTGCATGTGGTAAATGTGGACAAATACTTGTAAAGGGTAGGCAGCTTCAGGAACATGCTCAACGATGTGGCGAGCCCCAAGATCTGACCATGAATGGGTTAGGAAATACTGAGGAGAAAATGGACTTGGAAGAGAATCCTGATGAGCAGTCCGAAATAAGAGATATGTTTGTTGAAATGCTGGATGATTTTAGGGACAATCATTACCAGATAAACAGTATCCAAAAAAAGCAGTTATTTAAACATTCTGCCTGCCCTTTTCGATGTCCTAATTGTGGCCAGCGTTTTGAAACTGAAAATCTAGTGGTTGAACATATGTCTAGCTGCTTAGATCAAGATATGTTTAAGAGTGCCATCATGGAAGAAAATGAAAGAGATCACAGACGAAAGCATTTTTGTAATCTGTGTGGAAAAGGATTTTATCAGCGGTGTCACTTAAGAGAACACTATACTGTTCATACTAAGGAAAAACAGTTTGTTTGTCAAACATGTGGAAAGCAGTTTTTAAGAGAGCGTCAGTTGCGACTGCACAATGATATGCACAAAGGCATGGCCAGGTATGTCTGTTCCATTTGTGATCAAGGAAACTTCAGAAAACATGACCATGTACGGCATATGATTTCTCATTTATCTGCTGGTGAGACTATATGCCAGGTCTGCTTTCAGATATTCCCAAATAATGAACAGTTGGAGCAGCACATGGATGTTCATCTGTATACATGTGGAATATGTGGAGCAAAATTTAATTTGAGGAAAGATATGAGATCACATTATAATGCCAAGCATTTGAAAAGAACCTGAGTGATTTTCTACTGTACTAATGTTTAGATGATAGCAGATAAAACACCAAAGCAAAGGATATGAGCTATTTAGGAATTGATTATATAAGATGATTTGTTAGAAACAAATTTCAAGGCCCTTTTAACTTTAATATTTTTGTTTAGGATTTTAAGTATCTACATTTAGGTATTAAATGTTTATCATTTTTGTTGTTTCTTAATAGAATTATTTGTTTTTAGTTTTTCTTAGCTATGATTAAAATTTTTAAATGTAGACTACAAGTGGTTGTTACCCATTCAATGACTATTAAACTTTAGTTTTTCATCAATAAGGTGATGACTTCACTATTTCTATGTGTTTTTTTTTTTTTAAGGTTATCCTGTGAAATTTTAAACCCAGAATCATTGGCCATTTCTGTTTAAATTTTAAAAATTCCTTAAGTAATTATTTGAAACTATCCCGTTTGCTTTTAGTGAGTTAACTACTCTTTATTCCCCCTTATTAATGAAATTCATATTCTTAAATTGACAAGCTTATTAGGCAAGTTAGGTGCACTGAATCTAACCTTTAAGGTTGACATGGGCTCAAACTTGGCCTAAAAAGATTGATGAACCTGAGGAAATTTTTATAAATGAATATTTCCTATAATTGATAAAATATTATCATTTAATTATCACATTTAAAACTTATATTAAGTGTAAATTCCAGTGGCTTTACCTCACTTGAAAAATTAGTGGGGATAAGCCATTTTGTTTTGTGATATTAAATTTAACTATGATAGTTAATTAAAAAGACATATCTTGTATTCATTAAAAATATTTTAATTTAAAATATTCTGATTTCTAAAGTGTGTTAGCTTATCAATTATTTTTGTTTATAAATAGACTTTAATAGCTCTCTAAGAATATGACCTCTAAAGGAAAAGATGATTTTTTACAATACATACTTCTGGAACTTTGAGATTTGAGAAAGCTTCCATGTATATTGATAAATCTAATAAAATAAAGAGATCAATTATAAACCTGGTTGTTCTATAAAAGTAGAGTGCACAAAAAAATGTCTTGTGTTTTATACTGTCTAAGATTTGGAGGAAATGTGGCAAATTGCAGTTTATCGCCATATTTTATTATCATTTTTTTCTGTAAAAGACTATAAAACTTGAGGATTATAAAATAATCACAGAGTATATCAATGGAAACAGTTTATCATTTTTTCAGTTAAAGTAGTAGTATTGTTAGTTGTTGCTGACACAGGGTCTACATAATTACATGTGAATTAAAACATTGGCAAAACTGACCCACCAATAAACACATCTATTGAATAGAATGCCTTTTAATGTGAATTACTTGCAATGTAGTACCCTTTTCATAATGAAAGGGATTTTAATTAACTCCTAATTTTAAAAATATAAATTTGTGATTCTGAACACTAATAGCATTGCTCTTTTTGTTCACATCATATTTAAAATATGCAAATCATATTTTGTATACAATTTACATAAAAGAACAAGTTGCCAAAAGAACTGAGAGACATACTGGTGAGTACAGATTTAGTTGAAAGCATTAGAGCACCATGTGAGCTCAGATTTGTGGGGATATGTTGAAGTGTTAAGTAAGGATAGGAACAGCACAGGAACCAAGTGCAGAATTCAAATAACGGGAAGTAGGCAGGGGACGGGTAGAATACACACAAAAATTAAAAATTTAACAGCAAAAGCAGGAAAAGTGATTCATCTTACCCTTACTTAGATACAATAGTTTATCAAGTAATTAAATTTGAAATCCAACTTAAAATGAAATGTGGTATGTATATTACTGATAGGAACCAGATAAAAGTTCTCTAACCCAGAGACCATCAGAGAGTGGTATAAAGAGATCAGATAAACCAAGTTTCCAAACTACAGTATATAGTATCATAATGGACATAATTTATTTGAGATCACTTTTTTCGTGACTCATCAAAATTTTTCTTGCAGTGGCTTTCCCCATTGTTAAAGAATAGGGCTTTTTCTAAATACTACCACTTTTTGAAGAAACGATTATCTATTCCATTAGGAAGGGGGCTTAATTTAGTCTTTTGATATGTACTAACAGCTAACAATTAGCAAGCAAATATATAAACTTTACTCTCTAATTTTACATGACTGAGATGTTTATAGTTTTAGAAAGCCATACCTCAACTTATTTTTTATTTTATTTATTTATTTTTCTTTTTTGAGACGGAGTCTTACTCTTGCCCAGGCTGGAGTGCAGTGGTACAATCTTGGCTCACTGCAACCTCCACCTCCCAGAATCAAGCAGTTGTCTGCCTCAGCCTCCTCAGTAGCTGGGATTACAGGCGCATGCCACCACGCCCGGCTAATTTTTGTATTTTTAGTGGAGACAGGGTTTCACCGTCTTGGCCAGGCTGGTGTTGAACTCCTGACCTCGTGATCCACCGGCTTCAGCCTCCCAAAGTGCTGGGATTACAGGCATGAGCCACCGTGCCCGGCCACCTCAATTTTTTTTTCTGAGTTTCATGTTACACAGAACATACCTTTTTGTTTTGGAGCTAGCTACAGGGAAGCACAGGCTTCTCTAGAGTGGAATGTACAATTCTTATCAAGGCAAAAAGTTAAAGACTACTTGCTTTTTAAAATTAGGGAGAATGAAAAATATCCAGCACTTTTCCCCAGCCCAGTTCCCTAATATCTCCTTCCTCTCCTGGGGCAGAGCTGCAGAGCTGTCATTCCTTGCTGTTGCTTCTTGCCCTCCCTGGGTGTGAAGGTAATGAAACAAGTGTGTTGAAGCTGCCAGATCTTCTGCCTTTGTAACTTAGGTGTTCAGGTTCCAAATCTAAAAATGAAAGGAGAATCTACACAGATATATAGTGGAATCAAATTCTCTTTCTGTCTCATGAACACCATGAGACTCTTTTGCTTTGGCCCTTTTATTCTACACAGCAAGAAAACCCAGAGGAATGGTTAGCAAGCTTGCCATCAACTATAGTACAATACAACTTGCATGTTCTACGATTCCTTAGTAAACAGGACTAAGAATCTCAGAAATTAATAGAGCACAACCAAGGCAGCAGTAGATTAGGACTCAGAAATGCGTCTTCATCTCCCCCATGTTTTTAAGGTAAAAATATTCAGAGGCCAGGTGTGGTGGTTTGCATCTGTAGTTCCGGCTACTCGGGAGGCTGAGGCAAGAGGATTGCTTGAGTCCAGGAGTTCCAGACCAGCCTGGGCAACATAACAAGACCCTATCTCTAAAAAAAAAATTTGTTTAATTAGCAGGGCATGGTGGCATGCAGCTGTAGTCCCCAGCTACTCAGGAGGCTGAGGTGGGAGGATCAATAGAGCCTAGGAGTTCAAGGGAGCAGTGAGCTATGATCATGCCATTACACTCCAGCCTGGGTGACAGAGTGAGACTCCATCTCTGAAAAAAATTAGAAATGACGCACATGGGTTAAATGGTATATGGCAAACTAACAGTTTGAGTATGGACAAAAATTCAATTAGAAGAAAGGATCCCAGAGGGGCTAATAATTTAAAAAAAAAAAAAGTTTGCTAGAGCAGTCAGGACACTAATTAAAAGGAAAAGTAGAGGCTGGGCACCAGCACCTTGGGAGGCCAAGGTGGGTGGATCACCTGAGGTCAAGAGTTCGAGACCAGCCTGGCCAACATGGCAAAACCCCACCTCTACTAAAAATACAAAAGTTAGGCCAGGCGCAGTGGCTCAAGCCTGTAATCCCAGCACTTTGGGAGGCTGAGGTGGGTGGATTGCGAGGTCAGGAGTTCAAGACCAGCCTGGCCAACATGGTGAAACCCCATCTCTACTAAAAATACAAAAAAATTAGCCAGGCATGTTGGCACAAGCCTGTAATCCCAGCTACTTAGGAGGCTGAGGCAGGAGAATTGCTTGAACCCAGGAGATGGAGGTTGCAGTGAGCCAAGATCACACCACTGCGCTCCAGCCTGAGTGACAGAGCGAGACTCCATCTCAAAAAAAAAAAATTAGCCAGGCGTGGTGGCGCGCACCTGTAATCCCAGCTACTTGGGAGGCCAAGGCAGGAGAATCTCTTGAACTTGGAAGGTGGAGGTTGCAGTGAACTGAGATCATGCCACAGCACTCCAGCCTGGGCAACAGAGCAAGACTCCATCTCAAAAAAAGATAATAATACACACGAAAAATCATGTTTTACTGTAGCTGAAAAATATATGAACAGGATATAAAAATTGAATAAAAAACATTTGAAAATTATAGGTGAGATGAGTAGGGATTAAAAATAATATGACTATAATTATAGAATGCCTATGGAACAATTTTATGAACATGCCAAGGATATGCCTAAATAATTGAGATTTTTGTAAGTAATGATGAGAGAGGAAAAAGTAATTGAGATATTATCTTTTATATTCTAAAAAAAAGTAGGAAGAGAAGCTGGTGGTGGTTGACAACTTTTTCCCTGGTTAAACAATACTCATTTCTCTAAGTCAGTAGTTAAGGAACTTTGTATTTAATAAATTTCTGGAAAATCTTCCCCAAAACCAGTTTAGCCATTGTAATATTTAAATTAAACATAAAACTTGTGTCGTTGTTAACAAAAAGCCAAATCACTACCAAAAGAAAAAAATCTGAGTGTATGTGCACACATGGTTAAGAATAAAGAAATCTGGTATACCTAATTTTAACTGGGTTTTTATCATGAATTAAAAGTTAAAACATTTTTCTTTTCTTTTTTTTTTTTTTTTTTTTGCCATTCATCTATTTTGATCAGTTAGTTCCTCAACTTTCCTTACTACTCCCATCTCCTTTGTAACATATACTTCTCAGTAATAAATGGCCAGTGCTCTCCAGACATCCTAGCATCAACAACTTCTGGGATTGCAGGGTACCAAAAAGCTCTGGGGGAACATACCCTTGTAGAATCCCTCCCACATCCTTGATAACCTGAGGTGCAGTAAACTGGGGATGATAGGATGAATGCCAGGAAACTAAAACAAGTAGGGTTATATTTGGTGTTAAGAACTTGAAATTGCATCCCATATTTGGAAACCCATGATCCATCCATCCTAGGGCTCTCACTTAATAACCCCAGCATCCATTTATTTAGCACTCTCTATACTCTGCAAAGTGCTCTACATACATAATTTTAATTAATCCCCACAGCCTTATGAGGTAAGTATCATACTAATTTTCCAGATGGGGGACTGAGGTTCAGAGAGATTATTTTTCCTAAATCACACAGAAACTATGTATCTTAGAACTGGAGTTTGAACCTAGGTTTCTGACTTCTACATTCCTGTACTCCACCTATCAAGAAGTACAAAGAAGGGCCTTTTCAGCCTAGAAACACATGTGATAAAGCTCCTATGAGATTGTGCTCCTTGTTCATCTGTCATCTGCTGTGCTGGTAAGGTGGCTAGTAATAGTGGGTACCCAATTAACATGCTGAATAATGTGAAAACGTGAGTGGAAAACAAAACTTTATTTAAATGGTTGATTCAGAATGATGTTTTAGAAATAAATATTAAATGCTGTTATGTTTTGATTTTCCTTCATTTAAACTTAAAACAGTTAGTGGTACTGTCAGCCTTTTTGAGGGGCCCATAGTAGGTGGGCTCAATTAAAAATTAATTTGAATTCAACTTCCACATTTCTATGTCTGTGACCTTTTCTTCCTTTATTTCCCCTATTCCTGTCCTTTATGTTTTAATCTCTCCCGCCAATCTCCATTTCCTTTTATTGGTTATAAGACTGTTGAGTTGAAGGACTCAAATCATTTGAAAATAAATATTCCCAAGAAAAAGCAGGATAACAGAATAACCAGTTTCCTCTTTTTGCCTTAACAGATTATGTGGATAAGAAATTCATCATCTTAGCCAGGCACAGTAGCTCATACCCATAATCCCAGCACTTTGAGAGACTGAGTTGGGAGGATTGCTTGAGCCCAGGAGTTTGAGACTAGCCCTGGCAACACAGCGAAACCCCATCTCTACAAAAATTTAAAAATTAGCCGGGCATGGTGGTGCATGCCTGTAGTCCCAGTTACTTGGGAGGCTGTGGTCAGAGAATTGCTTGAGCCTGAGAGGTCAAGGCTGCAGTGAGCCGTGGTTGTGTCACTGCACTCCAGCCTGGGCAACAGAGCGAGACCCTGTCGCAAAAAATAAAAACAAATAAATTCATCATATCTTTGACTAATAAACAGAAGAACCCCCTTCCCCAGTTACCATAGGTGATTGATTTGATTAAGATTTATAGAGCAATCTAAGTTTGCCTAAAAACAAATGTTGGTTAGTCTAGCCACTTATAATTCAATTTCCCAAAATACCTATGGATTTTTAGGGTAAACTTATAGAGACAGTTTTACTCATAAAACAAATGAAAGATAATTTCAGGAAATGACACATAGCTGCATAACCACCCTAACCTAGCAGCAAACTTTAAAAAAGGTTATTTAATGGTTTAAGTGAAACAATCTCCCTCAATCTAATATTATTTTAACTTTATGCGTCTATTACCTTATTTCTATACTACTATGTTAAACCTACTACTTTAATGATCTGGCTACCGTCTGCCAAATGTCACTTTTCAAGTGAGAACAGAAGAATGAGATTGTGAAGATTCTGTGGACAATGTCTATATAATCATTTAAGTGTTAAATATAAACTAAATGACAATAGCAGCTTGTAAATTAATGCTAATTCTGGCTGGGAGCAGTGGCTCAGGTGGCTCATGCCTGTAATCCCAGCACTTTGAGAGGCCGAGGCAGGTGAATCAGCTGAGGTCAGGAGTTCGAGACCAGCCTGGCTAACATGATGAAACCTCTCTACTAAAAATACAAAAAATTAGCCGGGAGTGGTGGCACATGCCTGTAGTCTCAGCTACTCTGGAGGCTGAGGCGGGAGAACCGCTTGAACCTGGGAGATGGAGGTTGCACTGAGCTGATATCGTGCCACTGTACTCCAGCCTGGGAGACAGACTCCGTCTCAAAAAAAAAAAAAATTAATGTTAATTTTGAACAAACTTAATATCACTTACATTTATATGCACACAATTGGTTGAATTTAGCATTAAGAAGTTTAAATCTTACTTAAGTTGTTCTCTTATTCAGGAGAACCAAATCACTGAAGTCAATTAGTAGTGTCAAAATTGCTCATTCTTTCCATCAAAATCTACCACAGATCACTAAGGGACAGAAAGCCATTATAATTTCTCATTATCCATCTCAATTGCTGACCAAAAAAGATAGTATGAAGATTACAATTAAATACTTGGCTCTGAACTGAACATATCAATGTACTAATCATTATTGTATTAAGTGAAAACACAGGAATGTCTAGGGCCAAGGGATGACCAAAATTTAAAAGATTATTTCATATCAGAGTCAGGGATATTAATAATTTTATGTGAGAAAATTTGCAGTTTGTTTTCTCCTATTTGAGGAAGGAACAGTTAATTATACAGCTTAAAAAGCCCCTACTTACTTAAAAAGTTAACATGTTTTTATTCTCCTTAAACTAACTGCTCATATCAAACACAATCAGGAGAGCTCATTTTTAGATGATAGAAACATTAATTCTAAGCATCCAGATTATGAACCATCTTTTTTTTCAAATGCTTATGTTTAAAAAATTTTAAAAAAATTAAGGATCTTATTATGAGGGAAAAGCACTGTTGCCAAAAATATAATTTTACTCAGAATCACTAGGGCAGATTAGGAGGCTTATAAGCCTAGGAATTTGCAGGAAAACCCCTCCTCTTCTTTTGTGCGTGTATGTGTGTGTGCGTGTATGCTTCATTTTCATTTGCAGAGTGGCTGAAGACAGTAAAAAGAATATGAACTTTAAAAAAATTGTTAGATTTATGTTTCAATCAGAGATTTGTCATTAACAAGTTAAAGTACATTGTAAAATCATTTTATTTGAAGGAAAACACTTCTTAACTGCTTCCTTCCTCCCTACTTTCCTCTATTTGTCTGACCCCTATCTTTTTTTATGTTATATATTTATATGTCCTGCTGATAGATTAATAAGAACATCTTATATTTGAATGGTACGAGTTACATTCGGGAAATAATTAAATTTAAATTCTAGGGGCTATGCTTGTGTTTCTATTCTCTGTTCTGTTAACAGTGTGTTGGCCTAGTGCCAAAGCCAAGAAATTCTGATCTAAGAATTATGTTGTATCTTGTAGAGCAGTCAACTTGTAATATTATTTTTCTTGAGTTTTGTCTTTTTCTGTGTGGCAGTGGTGAAATAGGGCCTTCTAAACCTGTGGAGAAGTGAGAGATCTGAATTTGGAGAGGACATGGGGAAGAATCAATCTTCAACAGATAATCTTTAAGTACAGACCCAGGAATATCAGATCTGAAGTGGCACCATCTTTTCTGTCTTCCTGACAAACTTCCATCAACCCAAAAAGTTCCAGTTGCAAAGATCCAAGAAAACTCAGTAAAGATCACTTTGGAATCACTTTGTTGTAACAAAATTGATTCATGGTGACTCTAATATTTGTGTAAATCTGCTGAAGAAAAGTAACTAGAAAATTCATACAACATCAGTGGTTACAGCTATACTAAAATAAAACTTTATATGCTAATTATCTTCAAGGGTCTTTCTAAAATAAAAGGGGTTGTTAGGCTACTGCAAATATAAAGAGACATAATCACAAATCTATTTATATAGATATAAATAATTCTAAACTTAAAATCACTAGAATTATAGCTTAAATATTATGAAATGTACTTAGTCAACTTAAAAACTTACACCAAAAATCTGTAGTTTAGAGTGTAAGAAGTAATGGGTACAGAGAAAAAAAATTTAAGACCAATATTTTAACAGGATAATTTGGTTATTACTCACTATAGTAAAACACTTGCCCTTCTTCCTTTTCCACTGTATATGCCAGTCACAATCTTGATCATTTATATGAATGAAACTCCCTTTTAAACCTGTTAACTTGAAGGAGAACAGAAATGGTATTACTTCAATAGTGGTAGATTTCCACAAATCAGACACATTATTTTCTTCTGAACTTGGCAATATAACCTAATAAGGCAGAATAAGTTTCTGTTAAAATACTTATTCTCAATATTTATGTATAAACCATGCTTCTCAGCTTTCAAATTTCAAGATAAAATTTAAGTATTCAGTAAAATGATGGTTAACATGTTTTAAAAAATCTTTAATGGAGAAGTTAAATATTTGGTGAGATTTTAGTCTGGCTATAAATGCTTTGTTTGATATATATATGTGCACATATATATATTACTTAACCATATGAATTTTATTTCCTTATTCTGAATATACTTGTAGTTTTACTTCTTTCTGTTTATGTACCCAATTCCTTATGATTATTTTGTTTCTTCTGCAATATCAAGATGTTATTTATTTTGAGAAATGCTTATTTTTATGACTATTTATTCCAATGTTTTAACAAGAAGCACAGAGATTTATAGTATTCTTAATAGTATGTGCAGAAGTTACATCATTTAAAAAACCCTTGCTGTAAAGTAGGATAACTTGAATATTCATTCTAATAATTAGACTAAGTGAAAATCTGAGAAAGAGTTAATTGCAATGTGATAGTGGGTAGAAAGGAGAGAAAAACCCACTGAAGGGTTCAAATACATGTGAATTCTACTGCTTTAAGAGAAATAAAACAAATAAGCCTAGGGAAATATTAGAGTCTAAAAAACCCTAGAGTTAATCTCTTTTGGGAACATAAGGAGGTATACAGAACTGCAGACCTCTAAACATAAGTAGGAAAAAGAAAAATAAAAGAATATTACCAATAATTAAAGGTGCCAGATCAAAATAGTAATAAATCAACAAATAATTTTTGATTGACTGGTGGAATTAGATTTACTAAATAAAAATGGCTTAAATTTTGACTGTACTAACTATAAATGTAATGAATTATAATAATTATAAATGGTATAAATGCATTCTACAATGTGATTATTTTCTGTATTTTAGTATATAGTATAAAATGGAATTATTGGGTTAAAGTACTTTTATTACATTTCTTAATCCATTGTTTTTACCTAATAAAATTTCCTCCTCTATATTCCAAAGTTAAATTGTCTGTATATTACTTTTATTTATACTGTATTTTTTCCAATCTGGCCATTTAAAAAAATTATTAGTTTGAAAATTATTAACTCCTTCCATCCTCTAATACCACAATAATAAAGTATCTGATATAGCTAATTATGATGTTCTCAGGTAGCTTAAGATGTGCACAAAGAGAATTAGCTAAAATTCTTATTGCCAGATCCTGATTTCTTTCAATATAGAAGAATGATCTGTTACTCAGCCTGGAAAGTAGTGCCAAGATTATAGCTCACTGTAACCTCAGACTTCTGGGCTCAAGGGATCCTCCCACCTTAGCCACCCTAGTAGCTAGGACTATAGATTCCCACCACGATGCCTGCTAATTTTTAAAATTTTTTGTAGAGATGGGGTCTCCCTGTGTTGCCCAGGTTAGTCTTGAACTCCTGGGCTCGAGTGATCCTCCTGCCTTTGTCTCCCAAGTGCTGGGATTACAGGTATGAGCCACTGCATCTGGCCTGGATTTCCTTCTTAATACACAAAGAAATAATTATTTATAAATATCCATTGATAAAGTGTTTAGCTCTTTCAGAGGCTTAATTCATTTTTCAAGTAAACACAATTTACTGTCAGAGAAATAACTACTTTGCCAGTATAATTCATTTTTTTTTCAGTTTAAGAATTAAATAAGTATTAACAATAATTGCATATTGAATCTGATTCTCCAAGTATAGGACAGCCTCACTTCTTCCAGATTATTTCAATCTATTCCACAAGGGTCTATAAGGTTAGCACTAAAAGTTGAAGTAGGTATAATTTGTCTGCTGTTGTCATAGATTAACTTCTCTTTTGGAAAAAGCCTTCCAGGTTCAGGTCTCTTACCCTTCCATACCAGGCATGGAAATGTCTTACCCCAGCCTACTGTGTATCTACAGCTTAAGTGTAACTTCAAGACTGAATTTTTTAAGACTCAAAGAAACAAATGGCAAGTTTTTTCCTGTAGTGATAGGTGAAGAAATATTTTAGGACACAGCACTTTGTAAGAATTATAAAATGGCAGTATTTATAGAGATCTTAAAGATAATCATTAGTTGAATTTCAGTTTGCTCAAGGGCCCTCAAATTAGAGGCTGTTATTCCATCTTTTCTTCAGGCCAACATTATCTCCTTAAGATAATCTACAACCCTTGTGAAGGTTGTTCCTGGGTAGAGACTGAGAGGATTTTAGGAAAATTCACGAGTTGGGGTTTTTTTCCCTAGTAATTCTGCAAAAATGTATTATTGCTCAGTCTCCTTAGGGCAGGTCTAACACCCAGGCACATAGTTTTAGGCCGTATCTTATTCACCTTTGTATCTCTAGTACAAATATTTTCAGATATGAATTTGTTTCAACTTTTGGTCTCTGCAGTGTCATTTAGTACAGAAATATAAGAGGTAGGCAGTGTATCTTCCTACTATAAAGAAAAAAACTAAATTTTTTTTTTGTTAAATAATGTGTCTCAGGTCACTTTTAATAAATACTAAGCTAGTGATTTACTACTGCTTTCCAGGCACTCTTCTGGGTGCTAGGAATTAATTACAGAGGATTTGACATATGTTAAAGCTCTTGTTTTTTCCACCATTTAATCTGTGGAGCCTTAGTCTTTGGATTTTAAAAATACTTTGAAACACCCTAGTATTTATAATCTGCCAAAGAGAGAGTTCACTTGTTGAAAATCAGCAATAATTTCTATGTAAGACTAATAGACTTTGTTTCAACTGTTGATATGGTTTGGCTGTGTCCCCACCCAAATCTCACCTTGAATTGTAGCTCCCATAATTCCCATGTGTTGTGGTGAAAGATAATTGAATCATGGGGGCGGTTTCTCCCATACTATTCTCGTGGTAGTAAGAGCTGATGGTTTTATAAGGGGAAACCCCTTTTGCTTGGTTCTCATTCTCTCTTGCCTGCTGCCATGTAACTGGTGGTAGTGAGTAAGATCTGATTTTTTTTTCAGCATCCAAAATCTTTTTATTAAGAGGGTAGGATCCAAGGTTAGTTTTTGTAGCCTCGGCTGGCCTGTCGGCCTCTGATGCACTCGAACTTCCAGCCCTTGGAGCAGACATAGGGTTTGGTGTGGCTGTGCGGGGTTCCCGGGCCTTGCTGAAATGCTGGTACACCTTTCGGCCCTTGCAAATACTGGAGAGCAGGACAGTACCGCAGCCCTCGGGGGAGTCCACCCCTTTTGCTTGGTTCTCATTCTCTCTTGCCTGCCGCCATGTGCCTTTCGCCTTCTGCCGTGATTGTGAGGCCTCCCCAGCCATATGGAAGTGTGAGTCCACTAAACCTTTTTTTCCCTTATAGATTACCCAGTCTCGGGTGTCTTTATCAGCGGCGTGAAAATGGACTAATGTAGCTGTTAATAGTCAAGTTCTCAAAATCAATTGTAAAAGCACAGTAAGGAAACTTAGAAAAATTACTGATAATTCTACCTTCTAGATAACCAATTTTGATGCATTTTAAATCTATATTAGATTATCCTACATATAAGAAGATACAAGTTTCATATATTTTATTCACTTAATTATACCAAGAACATTTTTCCGTGTCATTAAAAATCTTGTAAACCATTTTTACGGCTGCGTAAGAATTCATCATATGCATGTACTATAATTTAGGTAATCTCTTATTTTTGGATATTTAAACCATTTCCTTTCTATTATCATTAACATAAATAATACTACCTGCATTTTCTATTATTTCCTTAGAATAAATCCCACAATGAGTAATGCTAAATAAAAGGCATGATCATATTTAATGTAAAGAAAAAATATTGGCCAGGTGTGGTGGCTCACTACTGTAATCCCAGCACTTTGGGAGGCTGAGACTGGTGGAGAGCTTGAGCTAAGGAGTTCGAGACCAGACTGACCAACATGGCAAAACTCCATCTCTACAAAAATACAAAAATTAGCCGGGCTTGGTGGTGCATGCCTGTAGTCCTAACTACTCCGGAGGCTGAAGTGGGAGGATCGCTTGTGCAAGCTGTGAGCCTGCCACTGCATTCCAGCCTGGGTGACACAGCAAGTCCCTGTCTCTTAAAACAAACAAACAAATTTTTAAAAACCCAAAATACAAATACAGTGTCTTTTTTGGGAAAAGCTTAGGATGCCTCTTAAACTATGGAACATACAAAACACAAGTTAGGGCAGAAAAAAATATACATGGCTAATGAAAATGTGGGTATAATTGCTACTGTGGTTTCAGAAACCTGTGTTAAAGATGAATGTGGTGGTCAGATTGCAAGATGTGTTTGTAATATCTGGGCACAGAGGTAGCACAGTTATTGTGCAAAAGAAACTATTCCTCTGAAGCTCTAATTTTAGTGATTCTATGTGAGAACTCTGGCCTGCTTGCTCTTTTGCAATCTTGGTTTGCTTGAGGTGTGTTGAGGGCTGACTGAATGCAAGAGATTTAAAGAATTTGTGTTTCTCACATTCTTTGTTTCAGTTGTAGCTGAGACTGTATCTCTAAGTCATATATCATCAGTTCTACAAAGAATATGCATTGCTTCCAGCCCACTAATTCCCTTTTCTAAAAAAACAAAGAAAAGAAAAGAAAGAAAGAAAGAAAAAGAAGGAAAGAAAGAAAGAAAGAGAAAGAAAAGAAAAGAGAGAAGAAAAACTCAGGCCTGTAATCCCAGCACGTTGGGAGGCCAAGATGGGCAGACAATTTGAAGTCAGGGGTTCGAGAACAGCCTGGCAAACATGGTGAAACCCTGTCTCTACCAAAAATATAAAAATTAGATGGACGTGCTGGTGCACATAAGTAACCCAGCTATCTGGAAGGCTGAGGCACGACAATCTCTTGGACCAAGGAGGCAGAGGTTGCAGTGAGCCACTGCACTCCAGCCTGGCGACAGAACAAGACTCTGTCTCAAAAAAAACCAAACAAATACCCCCCACCCCCAAACTACACAAAAGACAAGAATTTCCAAGAATAAAATCAAGAGATCTGTACTCACAATTTATGACAGTTTCAATTAGAAAAGTCTGGGTTTTATCCTTGTTTTCCTAATATTTTCTTTTCTTTTTCTTTTTTTTTTTAGACAGAGTCTTGCTCTGTCGCCCAGGCTGGAGTGCAGTGGCGTGATCTCAGCTCACTGCAACCTCTGCCTCCCGGATTCAAGCAATCCTCTGCCTCAGCCTCCCAAGTAGCTGGGATTACAGGCGCCCACCACCAGGCCCGGCTAATTTTTGTATTTTTAGTAGAGACAGGGTTTCACCATCTTGGCCAGGCTGGTCTTGAACTTCTGACCTCGTGATCCACGCGCCTCGGCCTCCCAAAGTGCTGGGATTACAGGCATGAGCCACCGCGTCCAGCCTTTCTAATATTTTCTTTAAAACGTCCCCTTTTTCAAAATTTTTTCAAATTCATGGAAAAGAGGATAGGAATTATGGTTAAAATTAGTACTAACTGATGACATTAACCGATTAATAACCAATTATGTTCTTAAAAACTGGAAATGATATACACCACTAGATAAAATAATCTTAAATGTTCATTGACTTTATAGAATTCTCTCAACATTACTTTTTGGTCACAGATAACTTCTGGGTTGACAAAAGCTTTTCTCCAGCGCCATTTCATACAGCTTTTACATGGCTGCACATCACTAGCCTGCTTTAAAGGACGGTGCTCCCAGCCCAAAGCCTCAGGAAAAAGACCATGGCTCAAAAAGCTCTGAGATGTATCCTATCCACCTGAAGAGCCTATTGCTTGCCTGTATCCCTCCCTTCTAGTGACACTAATCTTCTGTACAGAAATCCTAGTCCAGCAAACATTGCTCTCATCTTCGCCCATACACAACCTATGTAAAGAATGGCTTTCCTACTCTTTGCTGGCGAACTTCAGCTCCCGGATTAGGCATGCCACCTCTTCCAGGTAGCTCTCAGCAACGCACTTTTCCATCAGCCTGGGTGTGCCCCTCTGTGTTCCCATGGCGCTTTGCTTTCAGCGCTTCTCCCAAATTATGTTTACCTGTTTATTAGACTCTCCACCTCTGAAGACCAGGCCATTTCATTTGGCTTTTTACTGCCACGTAGTAGGTACCTGTTCAAGCTTGATGGAAGGACTTCCCCAGCCTCCCCACACATATTATGTAAAGTGATCGCTGTCTTTGCTTCCTCCTGGAGACCATTTATTTTATTTTTTTGAGACGGAGTCTCGTTCTGTCGCCCAGGCTGGAGTGCAGTGTCGCAATCTCGACTGACTGCAACCTCTGCCTCTCGAGTAGCTGGGACTACAGGCGCGCGCCACCACGCCCGGCTAATTTTTGTATTTTTAGTAGAGACGGGGTTTCACCATGTTGGCCAGGCTGGCCTCGAACTTCTGACAGCAAGTGATCCACCTACCGCGGCCTTTCAAAGTGCTGAAACTACAGGCATGAGCCTCCACACCCGTCCAGGAGCCCATTTATATGGGAGCCTGCTTCTAAAGATTATTACCTGGTGCCAGGGTATTTTCCAGACCTGTCCTCACATTCCTGTTAAACAGGAGGAAGTGAATCGCGCTCCTTTTCATCTACCTTCTCGGAGGGTTTATGCCTCCAATATTAACCTCAGCACAGCCAAAGAAAATCATTCCATTCCATTGAGCGGAGTCAGAAACATGACTAGGTCACGATCACAACCCCGTGTGTGCCAGGGTGACCGAGACTGGGTGACTTTATGGTGTTTCAACGTGTGGGTTTTGACTGATTATATTATGGGTTTTCCAGTCAAAAACTCAAAGCAGTGGATAAAGCACTTGCGACCTAAAATAAGCAATGGAATGAACAGGAAGGCGAAACCAGAGTTTAAAGCGGCAGGACAAACAGGAAAAAGGAAGAGTGAGGCAGGAAGGGTTTAAATGCAGGCTCCTCGGAGGACAAGTCGCCGCCACACCCCTGTCTGCCGTCCCGCCAGCCGCCCTCACGCGGCGCGGGAAAACGGTCGGCCTCGCCCTGGGCTCAGGTTCTCTCCGCCCGCCAGGCAGTGGGGTTTTTTTTTGTTTTTTTTGAGACGGAGTCTCGCTCAGTCGCCCAGGCTGGAGTGTAGTGGCGTGATCTCGGCTCACTGCAACCTCCACCTCCCGGGTTCAAGCGATTCTCCTGCCTCAGCCTCCCGAGTAGCTGAGACTACAGGCACGCGCCACCACGCCCAGCTAATTTTTGTATCTTTAGTAGAGACGGGCTTTCACCATGTTGGCCAGGATGGTCTCGATGTCTTAACGTCGTGATCCGGCCGCCTCGGCCTCCCAAGTGCTGGGATTACAGGCGTTAGCCACTGCGCCCGGCCCCAGCCAGGCAGTTTTAATCGAGCGCTCACAACCACTGAGACGCAGTGAAGCACCCACCATAAAATCCCAGGAGGCCGACCGCCGGTTCAGACTTTTTCTTTTCTTTAATCCCCGTCCAAGGGATCCGCCCTCACCCCCCACCCCAGCCACCCCAATTCCCTATTCCCTCCCCTTGGACGGCGCCGGGGAAAACAAGCTGCTCGAGCTTTATTTCTTCGGTGCAACCAACTCAGAATGAATTCCTCCGCCCCTGCGTGCTCAGTGAGTCGGCACCCTAGCAGTGAACTGCATTTAAAACCTCAGGAATTGAGCGAACTCTCCCAGTGGCTCTCCTCACCGGGATCCCCTTCCACGCCTCCTCCCCGTGCCGCGCCTCAGTCCGCACTGCTCATTGGCCGCGTGCCCTGCCAATCCGATGCACGTCGGCTAGGGCAAAGACCGCGAAAAAGCGCGTACACCTGGCTCTGGGAGCGCGCGCCTAACGCCAGCCAGCAGCAGGAGGCGCGCGAGGCACCACGGCCTGGCGGCCGAGAGTCAGGGAGGAACCTCATTTACATAACGGCCGCCCCTCTGTCTCCTGGCGGGGGCCGGAGTCCCGCCCCTCGTCCAACTTGAAATCTGTTGGGTCACGGGCCAGTCACTCCGACCTAGGCAAGCCTGTGGTGGAGCTGGAAGAGTTTGTGAGGGCGGTCCCGGGAGCGGATTGGGTCTGGGAGTTCCCAGAGGCGGCTATAAGAACCGGGAACTGGGCGCGGGGAGCTGAGTTGCTGGTAGTGCCCGTGGTGCTTGGTTCGAGGTGGCCGTTAGTTGACTCCGCGGAGTTCATCTCCCTGGTTTTCCCGTCCTAACGTCGCTCGCCTTTCAGTCAGGATGTCTGCCCGTGGCCCGGCTATCGGCATCGACCTGGGCACCACCTATTCGTGCGTCGGGGTCTTCCAACATGGCAAGGTGGAGATCATCGCCAACGACCAGGGCAATCGCACCACCCCCAGCTACGTGGCCTTCACGGACACCGAGCGCCTCATCGGCGACGCCGCCAAGAACCAGGTGGCCATGAACCCCACCAACACCATCTTCGACGCCAAGAGGCTGATTGGACGGAAATTCGAGGATGCCACAGTGCAGTCGGATATGAAACACTGGCCGTTCCGGGTGGTGAGCGAGGGAGGCAAGCCCAAAGTGCAAGTAGAGTACAAGGGGGAGACCAAGACCTTCTTCCCAGAGGAGATATCCTCCATGGTCCTCACGAAGATGAAGGAGATCGCGGAAGCCTACCTGGGGGGCAAGGTGCACAGCGCGGTCATAACGGTCCCGGCCTATTTCAACGACTCGCAGCGCCAGGCCACCAAGGACGCAGGCACCATCACGGGGCTCAATGTGCTGCGCATCATCAACGAGCCCACGGCGGCGGCCATCGCCTACGGCCTGGACAAGAAGGGCTGCGCGGGCGGCGAGAAGAACGTGCTCATCTTTGACCTGGGCGGTGGCACTTTCGACGTGTCCATCCTGACCATCGAGGATGGCATCTTCGAGGTGAAGTCCACGGCCGGCGACACCCACCTGGGCGGTGAGGACTTCGACAACCGCATGGTGAGCCACCTGGCGGAGGAGTTCAAGCGCAAGCACAAGAAGGACATTGGGCCCAACAAGCGCGCCGTGAGGCGGCTGCGCACCGCTTGCGAGCGCGCCAAGCGCACCCTGAGCTCGTCCACGCAGGCGAGCATCGAGATCGACTCGCTCTACGAGGGCGTGGACTTCTATACGTCCATCACGCGCGCCCGCTTCGAGGAGCTCAATGCCGACCTCTTTCGCGGGACCCTGGAGCCGGTGGAGAAGGCGCTGCGCGACGCCAAGCTGGACAAGGGCCAGATCCAGGAGATCGTGCTGGTGGGCGGCTCCACTCGTATCCCCAAGATCCAGAAGCTGCTGCAGGATTTCTTCAACGGCAAGGAGCTGAACAAGAGCATCAACCCCGACGAGGCGGTGGCCTATGGCGCCGCGGTGCAGGCGGCCATCCTCATCGGCGACAAATCAGAGAATGTGCAGGACCTGCTGCTACTCGACGTGACCCCGTTGTCGCTGGGCATCGAGACAGCTGGCGGTGTCATGACCCCACTCATCAAGAGGAACACCACGATCCCCACCAAGCAGACGCAGACCTTCACCACCTACTCGGACAACCAGAGCAGCGTACTGGTGCAGGTATACGAGGGCGAACGGGCCATGACCAAGGACAATAACCTGCTGGGCAAGTTCGACCTGACCGGGATTCCCCCTGCGCCTCGCGGGGTCCCCCAAATCGAGGTTACCTTCGACATTGACGCCAATGGCATCCTTAACGTTACCGCCGCCGACAAGAGCACCGGTAAGGAAAACAAAATCACCATCACCAATGACAAAGGTCGTCTGAGCAAGGACGACATTGACCGGATGGTGCAGGAGGCGGAGCGGTACAAATCGGAAGATGAGGCGAATCGCGACCGAGTCGCGGCCAAAAACGCCCTGGAGTCCTATACCTACAACATCAAGCAGACGGTGGAAGACGAGAAACTGAGGGGCAAGATTAGCGAGCAGGACAAAAACAAGATCCTCGACAAGTGTCAGGAGGTGATCAACTGGCTCGACCGAAACCAGATGGCAGAGAAAGATGAGTATGAACACAAGCAGAAAGAGCTCGAAAGAGTTTGCAACCCCATCATCAGCAAACTTTACCAAGGTGGTCCTGGCGGCGGCAGCGGCGGCGGCGGTTCAGGAGCCTCCGGGGGACCCACCATCGAAGAAGTGGACTAAGCTTGCACTCAAGTCAGCGTAAACCTCTTTGCCTTTCTCTCTCTCTCTTTTTTTTTGTTTGTTTCTTTGAAATGTCCTTGTGCCAAGTACGAGATCTATTGTTGGAAGTCTTTGGTATATGCAAATGAAAGGAGAGGTGCAACAACTTAGTTTAATTATAAAAGTTCCAAAGTTTGTTTTTTAAAAACATTATTCGAGGTTTCTCTTTAATGCATTTTGCGTGTTTGCTGACTTGAGCATTTTTGATTAGTTCGTGCATGGAGATTTGTTTGAGATGAGAAACCTTAAGTTTGCACACCTGTTCTGTAGAAGCTTGGAAACAGTAAAATATATAGGAGCTTAAATTGTTTATTTTTATGTACTACTTTAAAACTAAACTGAACATTGCAGTAATGTTAAGGACAGGTATACTTTTTGCAAACAAATGCATAAATGCAAATGTAAAGTAAAGCTGAAATTGATCTCAAAGTTACTGTCTTGGAGTTTTCAATTTTCCTTCCTTTATATTTTACCCATATTCGTCTTTTAAGATGTTAGTATGATGTGAAATTTATCTAACCAATCTTGTTTAATTCCCAGATGAGGGTGCTGCCTTGAATTCCAACAACTTAAGGGGAGAAGAATCTGGGTAAACTTCACCCACCCTTAAATACAGAAACCTGACTTGGGGTCTTCCTAGTGTACTCACACTCCTACAACTTAAGTGTCCAAATGAAAATTCACCTGAATATTCCAGGAAAATATGAGCTATATTCTGGGGTTAAATGTAAAATGAGCCTTTAACAAAAGCTGGGCAGAAGTTGTCTTATAATTGCCAAAGGAAATATGGAAACAAATTAATTTTGTGACATACAGGAGCCTGAAACAAGAGACAGCAGGCAAGCTTTCAAGTGACTTAATAGTGAGTATAAATTTAGTCAAACTTGTTTAATTTTCTAGTAAAACAGCTCAACTTCTGAGCTTATGGCAAATTCTAATAACATGTTTCCCGCAGTTAGAATTACTTGGGTAGGGAAACATAATTATTATTATTTTTTTCTGGTTTGGGGATCATAACGTTTTTGCAATACTTGCCTTAAATCACTACGATAGATTTCTTTTTTAAAAGGCAAACTGTACTAGATAGTCTTGTATTTTGTTAATATACAACTTGTCCATTTTCCTCCATATCCAATTTGAGATTGTTATAGATAAGAATATTGCAACCCTTTGGTGATCCACTATCCTGGACTTAATCTTTAAAATTCACATCCTTCAGAGAAAGGAATTCATTTTTATTTTTTAGTGAAATGACATGACTACTCTTTTCTTACTCTCTTTAAGGAGAACTTGAGAGAAATTCAGTAAAACCAATAGGAAAATGCATAGTTAACCTAATGTTTTTACTGCACATAGACGTTTTGATATCTTTCCACATGATGCAGGTTTGCTTCATGCTGCTCATAAGACAATAGTTATGAAAGCTTTATCTTCAATTTAGTAGTGGACCCATCTGTGTCATTCAGAGAGATTAATTTTATGAATAATGGAATGAGTAATAATTTTAAAACTAGCTAAGAAGTTAGCCTAAGAATACTGGCCTTTGGTAATGACCCTTTCATACAAGAGTTGACTCTTAAGTACACATAAGGTGTTTTTTTTTTTTTCCTTTTTAGCAAGCCTCATTTGGGTAGGGGGGAGGAAGATAAATAGCCAACAGTGAAATTGCTTCAACATAAAAACCTTTTTTTTTTTTTAAAGGAAACTGCTTTTTATACTCTGAAAAGCTAAAGATAACTCCAATTTATCAGTGCTGGTGTCACATTGGTGGAAATTTTTCAGCAATGAGCATTTAAGGGTGTTTCATGGACTACAGGCATAAATATGTGACAAACTACTATGGTACTACAAAATCAGGTTAATTGTAGCTTTAGAGTGACGTTTACTGTGAGTTTTACCAAGATAATACCCATTCTGTTACCCTTTTATTAGTCCTTTATTTGTTGAAAGTGTTCATTCCTTGCTCTAACTTCAAAATATAATGGAGTCCTTCTGTAAATGCAGTTTGGTATGACTCATTTTAGACCTCACTTAAGAGATTAGTTTCTAAAGTATCAGAAAATGACCATTGGTAGTTTTTGATCCTACGGCCTGACCTCCGGTAGCTTGCTATAATACTAACATCAATCTGGGCAGATACTTCATTTTCTATTTTGAAAAGTAATTTGTAAAACTCAAATTCTTGAGTTTTACATTCTTGAGCATTCTTGAGAGTGTTTCTTATTTAATTCTCTCTTTTCAAATTTACCAAGATTTGCATATTACCAAGATAAAGCCACCAAAGTAGCCATTCACTTTCCAGGGGTCAGTTGAAACTTGTAACCTGATAACTCCTGGGAACTCCTTAGCAGATGTTAGATCAGCCATAGTCAAATAACAGTGGAAAAAGTACTTGATGTTAGGATGGGGCTAAATTACAGTTTAAGGATTCTCCGACAGGCACTTATCTGAAATTCTTTTTTTTTTTTTTTTTTTGAGACGGAATTTCACTCTTGTTGCCCAGGCTGGAGTGCAATGGCTTGATCTCGGCTCACTTCAACCTCCGCCTCCTGGGTTCAAGCGATTCTCCTGCCTCAGCCTACCGAGTAGCTGGGATTACAGGCATGCACCACCACACCTGGCTAATTTTGTATTTTTAGTAGAGATGGGGTTTCTCCATGTTTGTCAGGCTGGTCTGGAACTCCCGACCTCAGGTGATCCGCCCGCCTTGGCCTCCCCAAGTGCTGGGATTACAGGCGTGAGCCACGCGCCAGCCCACTTACCTGAAATTCTTATCTGAATGTTTGATTAACATAGTTGTCCCTGTTTTGAGGGAACAAATATAGACACCTGTCAAACGAAGACATAACTAGTTGTTTACAGTATTTGAGATGTGTGAAATTTCAAAACAAACTCACTTTAAATTTTTTATAGTATTGATTTGATATGTATAATGAAAATGCATTAAAACTTGTACATTAGGAGATCTTAGTACAATTTACAACTGTTAATTTAACATGTATGTGTAATATTATGTTACCCATTCAATATGTAATGGAGACTTAATGAGTATTTCTTTTTTATGTATAATCTTAAACAGTAATACAACCTGGCTATCTAGATGAAATCAGAAAATCTATTTTTATGATTTTCCAATAGTGGACCTATAACATATTCTTACTTTTAACTGAATGTAGTTTATAAAGGTTGTGTTGTGAGGCATGCTCCTCTTGCTTTTGAACACGATTTAAATTGAAGTTTAAAAATATCTCACATCCGTATGTCTCAACTGTTAAGGGAATATATATGTTTGGATTCAGAAGCAGGAATATTCAATTGTGTAATGTATAAATAGGTGTGAATAAACTTCTGAATTAGTTACAGAATTAGGAGCAGAATTTAATTCCTCGAGGAAAATTTTGGATCTTTAGAAAAAGCCCAGTTTTGTTTTGTTTTCTGAGACAGAGTCTCACTCTGTTGCTCAGGCTAGAGTGCAGTGGGGCCTCCTCAGCTCCCTGCAACCTCTGCAATTCTCCTGCCTCAGCCTTCCGAGTAGCTGGGATTACAGGCGCATGCCACCACACCCGGCTAATTTTTGTATTTTTAGTAGAGAGGGTTTCACCGTGTTGGCCAGGCTGGACTTGAACTCCTGAGCTCAGCTGATCTGCCCGCCTCGGCCTCCCAAAGTGCTGGGATTGCAGGCGTGAGCCACTGCGCTTGGCAAAAGCCCAGTATTTATTATTTTTTTTGAGACAGAGTCTTGCTCTGTTGCCCAGGCTGGAGTGCAATGGCACGATGGCTCACTGCGACCTCTGCCTCCTGAGTTCAAGTGATTCTCCCACCTCAGCCTCCTGAATGGCTGGGACTATGTAGTAGAGACAAGAGTTTCACCATGTTGACCAGGCTGGTCTGGAACTCCTGACCTCAAGTGATCTGCCCGCCTTGGCTTCCCAAAGTACTGGGATTACAGGCCTGACCCACTATGCCTGGCCCCAGTGTTTATTCTTGATATAGCTTTTTATTTTTATTTTTGAGTTGGAGTCTCCTTCTGTCGCCCAGGCTGGAGTGCAGTGGAGCAATCTCGGTTACTGCAACCTCCGCCTCCTGGGTTCACGCAATTCTCCCGCCTCAGCCTCCAGAGTTGCTGGAATTATAGGCACCCACCACCACGACTGGCTAATTTTTGTATTTTTAGTAGAGACGGAGTTTCACCATGTTGGCCAGGCTGGTCTTGAATTCCTGACCTCAGGTCATCAGCCCGCCTCGGCCTCCCAAAGTGCTGGGATTACAGGCCTGAGCCACCGCACCCGGCCTTGATGTAGCTTTTGAAATGGAAATATTTTAGGGTATATGCAGTTCTGAAATTTAATAGGGTGATGCTTAATGTTAAAATGTCTTTCCCTTAGAACATACCAAGATGTCATAGGCCCTTTCTTCCCCTTCTTTCAGTGTAGATTAGGTTGTCTGTGAATTGAAGGTTTAGTAAATAAGCAATCAAAAATGGAGCTGCTGGCGCGGTGGCTCACGCCTATAATCCCAGCACTTTGGGAGGCCGAAACGGGCAGATCACTTGAAGTCAGGAGTTCGAGACCAGCCTGGCCAACATGGTGAAACCCTGTCTCTACTAAAAATACAAAAATCAGCCAGGCATGGTGGCGTGCCCCTGTAGTCCCAGCTACTCAAGAGGCTGAGGTGGGAGAATCGCTTGAGCCCGGGAGGCGGAGGTTGCAGTGAGCGGAGATCGCACTACCGTATTCCAGCCCGGGCGACAGAGTGAGACCCTGTCTCAAAACAAAACAAATGAACAAACAAAAAAACAGGAGCTGCCATCTGCAGATGTATAGTGTCAGAAAAAAAAATAATTTTTCAAAAATGGAGTTGTTAATTCAAAATTTTGCATTGCTGTTTTCTTCTGTGGAAAGTTAATTTTTTAAGGTAGAATTACAACACTATAAAAACCTGTCCATTGGCCGGGCGCGGTGGCTCACGCCTGTAATCCCAGCACTTTGGGAGGCCGAGGCGGGCGGATCATGAGGTCAGTAGATCGAGACCATCCTGGCTAACACGGTGAAACCCCGTCTCTACTAAAAAATAAGCCGGGCGTGGTGGGGGCTCCTGTAGTCCCAGCTACTCAGGAGACTGAGGCAGAATGGCGTGAACCCGGGAGGCGGAGTTTGCAGTGAGCCGAGATCATGCCACTGCACTCCAGCCGGGGCGACAGAGCGAGACTCCGTCTCAAAACAAACAAACAAAAAAACAAACCTGTCCATTATCTTTTTTATAGAATTAGCATGAATTATATTCAGTTAATGTCTTGGACCTAAAATCTGGGACCAGCAATTTAGTTATATATTATATGCTCTTAGATAGTTATATGACCTTAAGTTTCTCTTAATTAGGAAAAAAAAAAATTCCCTCACAGGACACTTGGAGTTATCAAATATTTAGAAGTTACCTTCATCCCTACTAAATATCATCAATTGTGTTTATTCTTCTTTACAGGGACAATCATATTTCCAGTTTTGGTTGTGAGTTTCTAATGTCATTTAAAAAGAAACCTAACTGGTGAAAAATGTACCTTAGGAAATCGGTGGGTCACTTTTTAAAATAAGTACTGTAATGATTAAGAGATGTAAAAACAATCTTTTCTTCCTCCTTTTGTTTGGGGTAAAGTGATAGAGAAGTATAAGATTGTCCCTTCAGAGTTACTGAAACTTTCCTTTAAATATTATGTCCCTCTATCACATGCGAAATAACTTCTCCTTTAATTTTTAAGTAGTTATTGTTTTGGGCTCTCAACTTTTATTTTTACCTAAGTTTTGTACATTAGACAGCCTAAGTTTATTCTGTGATAAGATATATAGATCTTAAGTTTTCTATCAGCACTTCTCCACACATTATTGGGATGAACTGAAGAGGTTTACTGACCACTAGTGTGGTCTTCCCGGTAATGATTATGTAGTGATTGGATGCCATCCAGATTCCTTGGTCTGTCTGCATCTTTTCTTGAGCTTTACCTCATTATTTCCCTGTCCTGTCCACCCCAAGTTATGTTCGCTACTTGGTGAAAAGCTCTTGGCATATGGGATAGTCTCCTTTTCAAGCGTGTCATCTTGTAGTAAGAAAGCCTTGCCTGCGGCCAGTATATAAGTGGGTTTCCATATACCTGGACCAACTGAACAGCTGCCAGAATGGACTCAAGTGAGCAGAACATGAATCTAGATGATTACTATTTAATCACTGTAGCCAGTGATTGTGTATTACCAAGTAGTGAGACTGGGAGGGTGGGAATAGAAGAAGCAGTGGGATGACTACTGACATAACTTAAAAGTTAATGGGAGTATATATCCACTACTTATGAGCCTCTCATACCAATTAAGCTGTGGTGATACAAAAGAATATACTAGGCATTCCCAATCATGTTGCATCATCTAGCATTGCTCACTTAGAGCTGGGAGGAAAAAAATCAGCCAGAATCAGCATTATCAACTCCGTTGCAAGAAGGAATTACAAGACACATGATTTGAAAAGTGTAAATGTAAAAATATCAATTGAATACCCATTGACACTAAGCAAGTTTCTTTGTTTTTGAGCAACACTAATTTTGAGTACTTAAGACTGGTGCTTTACACACACCACTCCAAAAATCCACATAACCCCTGATTTGGTGTTTTCAGAAGAAAGATCAGAATAGTCTTGTCCTAGATTCCACAGCTTGTTAAGCAGCACAACTGTTATGAAAACCTTATTTCCGTACCCATGTTCTCTTCCACGAGGCTACCCTGCTTCCCCACCTCAACCCTGCTCTCCCCATCAACCTAGGTTCATCCTGGATTTGAACTTAATAATAGTGCTAATCATGAAAGTTAGGAAGAAATGGATCTTTCTTCCCTATAGGACTGAATGTAGTTACTCCAATTAAAACAGTAAAGTGAATAACTTCATGAAGTTCAAGGTTGGAATGCCATGAAGAATTATGCCCTGGGCGGCTTTACAATGGATAGGCCAATACGTCGCCACGGCTTTTAAGACTGGGAAACGGGGCACCAGGCTGGGCTTTAGAAATCGCTGGAGAAGCCTGGGTGCGGCCGCAGCCCGCGCGGCCTAGGACGGAAGCGACGCCCCGCCCCGCTCCGCGCCCCGGGCAGCCGTGTGCAGGCGCCTGCGGGCGGTATCCTCGGCGACGCCGTATGGCTTCCAGGGCGAGGCCATGTACCGGGTGCCCGAGTTTTATGCGAGGAGGAAGCGGTTAGGTGGGCAGACCCCTTACTTGATGGATGTAAGTGCAGCCTTGGTCGCCCCCATACCCGGGCTGGGCGCAAGGCGGGCCCTGCTGCCCCCAACCGGCGCCGCGCCCCTCGCCCTCCTCCAGAGGCGGGTCGTCGCCTTCGCCCCGGGCTGGCGGTTCTCAAAGACACCTGGCCATATTTGCCTAGAAAAAAAAAAAACTCTGGTGTATTTGACAGATGGTCAGAATTGAATTCTGGCTCCCTGCGCAGGTAGTTAGATATTTACGAAATCCCACCTCACCACCTCTAATTGGTTGGTTGCAAAATAGGGAGACCTACTGCGGGGGAAGCAGCCCCGCTCTGGATAGAAAGGCTGGTGGGTGCTAGCTTCCACGGTGAAAAGGGTGTACTTAACTTTTTGCCACTGCCTGTAAAGGGCAGGCTCAGTGTTGGAGCCCGGAAGTCTCCAGAACCAGACAGCTGAGGCTGTCCTGGGTATCAGTTTATTGTCTGAATTTCAATTAATTGGTAGATTGCTATGATGAGCTATATGTAGTCCCAATTTCCTTCCTATCTTTCGCCCTTCCCTTCCTCCGCTGCTTCTTTCCTCTTTTCCTACTTTCCTCCCTTCCTTTCTCCCTCTCCCTCCTTCCTGCCGTTCTACTGAAGCCACACCTAAAATCAATCAAAGCGATAAAATCCTAGCTTCAAGTTTAACGCTTTAGGATTCTACACTCTTACTGAAAGTGTAAAGAGGGACTAGTAGGAACCATTGTTTTTTGTTTCCTTCTTATTACTTAAAAGATGTGTTAGTAAGTAGGAATTATTGTTAAAGGTTTATTGTGGCATATGGATTGTAAATTGAGCTTTTAATTATTTTTGCTGCAATCATTTCGTTTTACAGCAGTTGGGATTACGATTAGGGATGTGGTACTGGAAAGATGAAACCAGAACTCTTGAATTCAGAAGGTAAAATTTAACAACACTTTATTAGAGTTTTTATAAAAATTACATGTGCCTGGGGGAAAAAAAAGCAACAGAAGAGTATAGAGAATAAATACCCACTGAACCTTTGCCATCTGGAAGGAAACAATCATTTCAGTGAACAGCCTTTCTCTGAACGCTTACCAGCTGCTTCACATGGACCAGACACTGTGCTAATGTTTACCAACTCTTTGAAACAGCTGCATGTTAACCAATTTACAGATGAAGAAACTGAGGTTTCAAAGGGTTCAGCGACTTGAGGAAAATTAAGTGACTTAGCCCAATCACACAGCTCAGAGGTGACTAAGATTATTTAAATGTAGGTCTGTTTGATTTACAGAGTCCATGTTTTTAATTATAAAATTGCCTTTTTGAGTTAGAGAAATATAGTTAACATTAATGGGAACATATTATATCTGCTGCAATAGATGGTGAATCTCACAAGGTAAAATTACTAAATTAGAAAAAACTGATTCTAATCTCTATGAAAAAAGACACTGACTCTTACAAGTGTATAGCTAAATTAATACTAGACACTATCTGTTGTGCACTGATTGTGTGCCAGATATTTGCATATTTTTCCAATTCTTAAAACAACTGTGGAAAGTGAACATTAATGTCCTCATTTTATAGATGAAGAAACAAGGCTCAGGGAGATTAAGCAACTGAACCAAAGTCATACAGCCAGTAAGTAGCAGAACTGATAGTTTGAACCAAGATTTGTCTAATGCTAAAGCCCTTTTCATGTACTCGCTGTCTCCCTCAACTAGACAGTAAGCTCCTCAGTGGCAGGAACTATCTTATTCATCCTCAGGTCTCTGGAGCCAGCTACAGAACTTCTTCAGTAGGTACTCAACAAATATTTATTGAGCATGTTCAAAGAATCTGCTAGATTCAAGCAGAGGAAGAATAGATGCAGGTGATCCATTAGAAGACTAGTTGTAGGATTACAGATAATTATACAAGTAAGCAATAGCGAGAGTTAGAATTAACTCCAGGTTGGTAAAAATAGAAAGGCAAAGGACTAAGAAATACTTAAGAGAGGATTGACAGGATGTTTGGATAGGATTGATAGGATGTGGGGATTGGATGTGAAGGGAGAGGGAAAAGCAGTTGTTTAGATTGGCTCCTAGGTGTCTGACTTGGGTGATCAGGTGGCTGGGATTGCCCTTCACCCATATACAGCATTGAAGTGACAAAACTGGTGGCTGGGTGTGGTGGCTCAAGCCTGTAATCCCAGCACTTTGGGAGGCTGAGGCGGGCAGATCACCTGAGGTCGGGAGTTTGAGACCAGCCTGGCCAACATGGTGAAATCCTATCTCTAATAAAAATACAAAAATTAGCCGGGCGTGATGGCGGGCACCTGTAATCCCAGCTACTTGGGAGGCTGAGACAGGAGAATTGCTGGAATCTGGAAAGCAGAGGTTGCAGTGAGCCAAGATTGAGCCACTGCGCTCCAGCCTGGGCGACAGAGAGAGACTCCATCTCAAAAATAAATAAATAAATAACATGACAAAACTGGCCATGTTTCAGGTTGCTATGACTTGTTCACATTAATACGTCTTGGGCTGTTGGACAAATGGGGGCTGGAGGTCAGGAAAGGAGTTGGCTAAGCAGACATACATAGTTACACTAGATGTTTATAGTTACATTATAAATATAATGACATGTTTCATGATAATTAAACAAATAATTCAAAGGCTTAACATTTTATTAGAGTCAAAATCAAAAGTTTACATTTTATAGAATATGTATTTCAGTATTTCTGAGTAACCCGTCACTTCAAAGCAGTAATTTCAGTTTTCTTTCTCAGGTTTGCCGCAGAAGATTCTGTCCAGTGGCTCCTGAAACATCACCCTCAGTGAGTGTGAGACAGACAGTGAGATAGCTTTGGGATTAGACAGACAAGATAGTTACAGAAGTCAAAATACATGTTAAAGCACAAGAGAATGTGTGTATAAATATTAAGTGCCAATTTTTTTTTTTTTGAGATAGAGTCTCACTCCTGTTGCCCAGGCTGGTGGACAGTGGCATGATCTTGGCTCACTACAGCCTTGACTTCCCAGGCTTAGGTGATTCTCCCATCTCAGCCTAGTACTCACACCACCATGCCCAGCTTGTTTTTTGTATTTTTAGTAGAGACAGTTTTTCACCATGTTGCCCAGGCTGGTCTCGAACTCCTGGGCCCAAGTGATCCACCCTCCTAAGCCTCCCAAAGTGCTGGGACTACAGGTGTGAGCCACCGCATCTGGCTGACAGTATTTTTCAAACTAATTTTCAGTGCTAATCTAACGACCCACCCCAAATGGTGCTATTTCATGTTTGAGCCTACTAATAAGTTCGCAGCTATCAGTTTCATATCATCTTTCATATTCGTGAAATATTCATATTCATAAACTAGAGTTTCTTTTTGTTTGTTCCCAAATTGTTCTTAAACTGTGGTTTGATTTGATTTCCACTAATTTTGGAGAATAGCTACGTGATGGTATGATTTAAAATGTAGGTTATATGACATAATACAAAAACATGAGCAAAAGAGGCCAGACACAAAAATGTAAATACTGCATGATTACATTTGTATAAAAGTTTTGACAAATAGGCAAAAAATAACTTCAATGATAAGAGGAAATAAAAAATAGTGGTCACCTTCAGGGGGTTATCAACTGGTAGCAGTGGGAGACAGTATAAGGAAACCTTCGGAGGTGGTAGAAATGGTCTATATGTTGATCTGGGTGGTAGCTTTATGTGTATATACATATTAAAAAAATTCATCACGCTGCACACTTTAAGATTTATGCACCTTACTACGTGTAAGTTATAACTAAAAAAAAAAAAAAAAAACAACAACTCCAAACCCCGGACTACGTGGAGTACACAAACTGGGGGGCCGTTAAGGGAGTTGGAAAAGGAATTATTATGAAGAGCAGATCGGGGTGAGCCAGCCTGTTTTTGGTAGAGCTGCTCTGTGTTTAAGTAACTCAATGTGGTGAGCCTTATAGTATCAGGATTACCTTGGGCATCTACCTGCTCAGGTAGAGGAAGGCAGACCCTTGTATATTTTAGGTCAGAGCTGGTATTTGGATTCATTGGAAATATAGGTATTGGTTCCCTGTTAAAGTCTGAGCAAATCCCATCACAATTGTTTTTTTTTTTTTTTTTTTTTTTTTTGAGACGGAGTCCCTTTCTTGTGGCTCAGGCTGGAGTGCAGTGGAGCGGTCCTGGCTCACGGCAACCTCCCCCTCCCGGGTTCAAGCGATTCTCTTGCCTCAGCCTCCCGAGTAGCTGGGATTACTGGCATGTGCCACCACACCCAGCTAATTTTGTATTTTTAGTAGAGACAGGGTTTCTCCATGTTGGTCAGGCTGGTCTCTATCTCCCGACCTCAGGTGATCCACCCACCTCGGCCTCCCAAAGTGCTGGGATTACAGGCGTGAGCCACCACACCTGGCTTCATCACAAATTTTAACAGATAGTTCAAACCTATCTGTTACAGATAGTTAGTTCAAACCTATCTGTTCAAACCTAAGTCAGAGAGGACTCTTGAGCTGGAACATGCTTTTTCTGTCAGAGACAGTGCTACTGGAGACTTTTGTTACTCCAGTTGGTGGTGAAGAGGCCAGGCTGAGGCAGAGGTGGTTGAGAGTAGACAGTGGTAGGGATGGAAGCTGCAGAGGTAGCAGGCGTGTTCAGTGACTGCTCTCATACCTAGCAGGGCGAGATTAGAACTAGCCAGACAAGACAATTATGCAGCAATCCAAGAGGCAGGTGACTAGGACCCAGATGAGCTCTGGCAGGAGAATGGAAAGATAAGCAGGGGTGGGGAGAGCCAGTAAGTGTGTGGAGTGGGTAAAGGGCAACAAGCTTATTTTTTTAAACGCATACTATTCGAGGTGCCCTGTAGGACCCCCAGGTTAAGAATCCAGTAGGCAGGAGTTTGGCCCTTAGGAGAAAGGCAAGTGCAAAATTAGGGTGGGAAGTGGAATGATTGAGGCCAGAACCCTAGGAAATACCTACTTAAAAAAATTATGAAATATATTATTTAAAATCATACTATTTAACCGTTTTCTTGTTTGCCTAGAGAATACTCGCCAGTGGCGCTTGCAGCTACAGCGTTTACCCCGAGATAACTTTGCCATGAAATGTCTCACTTTCCTTATTATTTTCTCATCATTCTAGTATATTGACTTTGGAAACAAAAGACATTCTGTTTATAGCATTCGGTTTTTAGTGGTATTTCCATTTACAAAATACAGTAATTGTCTATCGCTGAAAATTTCAAATCCTGGAAAATATAGCATTCCTACACATGATGTTAACATCGTTCTCGAACAGTTGTTAGCCGAAGATTCAATTGATAAATAAGATTTTTCCGAAATAGACGATTCTGATGATTGAGATGATTCTGATGTTAGTTCTGTTGAGAAATAACTCTAAGAATAGTTTTGTATTTTATTTTCATGTGGAAAAGCAGTCAGATTTGCTTCAGCCTCAAAGAGGGTGTTTATGTAAAATTAAATGAATGTTGGCAGTGAGCTACACTTTTCTTTTTTCTAAATAGGAAAAGGATTAAAAACATCAGTGAGTACCTGTAGTCCCAGTAAGTCGGGAGGTTGAGGGGACAGGATTGCTTGAGACTAGGAATTTGAGGCTATATTATGCCATGATCACACCTGGGAATAGCACCAGCCGCTGTACTGCAGTCTGAACAACATAGCAAGACCCCGTCTCTTAAAAAAAAATTGCAAAATACTAATAAGCAAAAACAAAGCACAGTCCCACCCAGCAAGTAACTGTTAACATCTTGTGGTATACATGTATAGCTTTCCAAATCTTCTTCTGATTTTCCCCTCTCTCTCTCTACACACACCACTCTCTTAACATTTTGCATTTCCATCATTTCATATCTTTTTCCTCATTAAAAAATTGTACATATATACTGAAAAACAAGTATATAAATGTACAAAGCAGAAAGTGAAGATTCCACCACAGTTGTATACCCAAAGACCACCAGTGCACCAATGTTAAGAGTTACCAAGTTATTTTTATTTTGTGTTTTCAACATACTGGTTACATTTACTTTACATTTTGTGACTGATAATTCCAAAATCTGAAGTCTTTGTAGATTGATTTTTTTTTTTTTTTTTTTTGAGACAGCGTTTCACTCCCATTGCCCAGGCTCACTGCAGCCTCTGCCTCCCAGGCTCAAGCAATTCTCCCTTAGCCTCCCAAGTAGCTGGGACTACAGGCAGATGCCACCGCGTCTGGCTAATTTTTTGTATTTTTGTAGAGACAGGGTTTTACCATGTTGCCCAGGCTGGTCTCAAACTCCTGAGCTCAAGCAATCTGCCTGCCTCAGCCTTCCAAAGTGCTGGGATTATAGGCATGAGCCACTGTACCCTGCCTTGCAGGTTTGATTTTGTTGCCAGTTTTACTTTTCTTGCAGCATTATTTTAAAAACTTAAAAAAATAAGTATAAATAGGCTGGGTGTGGTGGCTCACACCTGCGATCTTAGCATTTTGGTAAGCTGAAGTGGGAGGATTGCTTGAACCCAGTAGTTTGAGACCAGCCTGGGCAACATAGTGAGACTTCTGTTCCCACAATTTTTTTTTTTTTTTTTTTTTAATTAGCTGGGCCTGGTGGTATGCGCCTGTAGTCCCAGCTACTTGGGATGCTGAGGTGGGAGGATTGAGGCTGTGGTGAGTCATGATTGCGCCACTGTGCTCTAGCCTGGGTGGTAGAGTGAGACCCAATCTCCAAAAAATGTGTGTGTGTGTGTGTGTGTGTGTGTGTGTGTAAACATTTAAAACTTTTTATGTTATTTTAGAATTTTAGAGACAGGGTCTCACTTTGTCACCTAGGCTGGAGTGCCGTGGCATGATCTTAGCTCGGTGCAGCCTTGACCTCCTGGGCTTAAGCGATCCTCCCACTTCAGCCCCCACTGCGCCCACCCGCCGCCCCCCAGCAAAGAGCTGAAACTACAGGGACATGCCACCATGCCCAGCTAATTTTTCTGTAGAGATGGGGTTTTGCCATGTGCCCAGGCTGGTCTGGAACTTCTGAGCTCAAGCAATCTGCCTGCCTCAGCCTCCCAAAGTACTAGGATTACAGGTGTGAGCCACCATGCCTGGCCCATTATAACTTTTTATATTAGAAGATTTCAAATATATAAAGGTAGGGAAGATGGTGTAATGAACCCCAACAAACCCTTAACAGCATCAAGAAGTACCAAATTAAAGTCAATTTCATATCTATACCTCTGTCTACCCTGCTCCTCAATTATTTTGAAGCAAATCCCAGGCATCATATCATCTGTAAATATTTCAGTATGTATCTCAAAGAATAAGCACTATCTTAGAAAACACAACTGATGTAGGTTGGGAGTCCCAATATATAAAATAAGAAGAAGAAGGGGAAAGAGAAGGAGAAGGGGGACAAACAGGGGAGGAGGATACAACTGAATTACTATTTATATACCTAAAAATACAAATGGTAATTCCTTAATATCATATATTCAGTTATAGTCATTTGGTATTCAAATGTCCCCTGTTGTCTGCTATTTTTTAAGTTTGTTTCAATCAGTCTTTAAAATAAGGTTTGTACATTACAATTGGCTTGATATGTCTTAATTATTGTACACATTTTAAGCCTTTGATAGATATCTTCATACTGCTCTCAAGAATAGGAGACAGGCAAAGAAAGAGGAATTGGCCAAAGACAGAGAAAGAATGGGCTGGGGGCAGTGGCTCACGCCTGTAATCCTAGCATTTTGGGAGGCCTAGGTGGTGGATCATGAAGTCAGGAGTTCAAGACTAGCCTGGCCAAGATGGTAAAACCCCGTCTCTACTAAAAATATAAAAAATAGCCAGGTGCAGTGGCAGGCGCCTGTAATCCCAGCTACTCAGGAGGCTGAGGCAGGAGAATCGCTTGAACCCAGGCGGCAGAGGTTGCAGTGAGCTGAGATTGTGCCACTGCACTCCAGCCTGGGTGAAAGAAAAAAAATAGAGAAAGAATGATTAGAAAGGTCAGAGGAAAAACCCTGATACAGATAGGCCTCAGGGGCAAAAGAAGGTTCTCCAAGAAAGAGGATTGGGCAGGGAGGGGTCAGCAGTGTCACAGGCTGGAGAGTTCTGAGGAGGGCAAACACTGCAAAAAGGCCTGTGGATTTAACAAATTACGGATCCATAGGGACTAGGTGAGAAGCAGCTTCAGGAAGGCTGTAGGGTATACATCAGATGACAGTGGTTACAGGTGAGAATCTGAGATAAAGATGAAAAAGTAGCAAAAATAGAGTACTCAGCTGGGTGTGGTGGCTCACTCCTGTAATCTCAGCACTTCGAAAGCCTGAGGTTGAGGGTCGCTTGAACCCAGGAGTTTGAGACCAGCCTGGGCAACATAGCAAGACCCTGTCTTTACCAAAAATGGACAAAATTAGCTGAGCATGGTAGTGTGTGCCTGTGGTTCCAGATACTTGGGAGGCTGAGGTGGGAGGATCACTTGAGCCCAGAAAGTTGAGGCTGTGGTGAGCCATGATCCTGCCACTGCACTCCAGTCTGGGCAACAGAGTGAGACCCTGCCTCAAAAAACAAATAAACAAAACCCCCAAAATAGAGTACTCTTGCTTTTTTGGTTTGTTTTGTCTTTTTTTTTTTTTGAAATGGAGTCTCGCTCTGTTGCCCCAGGCTAGAGTGCAGTGGTGTAATCTCGGCTCACTGCAACCTCCCCATCCTGGGTTCAAGGGGTTCTCTTGCCTCAGCCTCTTGAGTAGCTAGAATTATAGGCACGCGGCACCACAGCTGGCTAATTTTTGTATTTTTAGTACAGACGGGTTTTCACAATGTTGGCTAGGTTGGCCTCAAACTCCTGACCTCAGGTGATCTGCCCGCCTCGGCCTCCCAAAGTGCTGGGATTACAGGTGTGAGCCACTGTGCCCAGCCCAAAATAGAGTACTCTTATCAGTAGGTTTACCAGTGAATGAAGGAAAGACATAGTAGCCTTTAGTGGATCTGGGACTAAGGGAAGGTTTTGGGGATTTTTGTTAGTTTTGATTTAAAGGTAGGAAAATCTTGAGTGACTTTGTTATGGCAGAAAAAATAAATAAACAGAGAAAGGAAGGTGGGACTGGGATCAAGATCAGAGGTCGGGGTTGGAAGAGAGAGCCGCGGCTTTTCCACTGGGTGGTGGGAAGGAGGTAATGCAGACAGCTTGGGCATTTGGAGGTACAGGCAGGGATATCCATGCTGCCCTGCTTACTGAAAAGAAACCAGACCCTTCCAGGCTACTATCGAAAGGAGAGTCTGTTGTTAGTGGTGCTGTGGAACCGAACTCTTTCCCTGGGATTGCTGCTCTGCTTTGGGCTCGCTTACCAGGAACTGCTGCCACTGCTACACTGGGCTGGGCACCAGGGCTGAGGAAAGTTGCATTCACCAGAGCGGCCTGATCCAGATATGGGACCTGGATTTCCTGAAGTCCAGTGGACAGAGGAGACAGAGAAGGCTTCCCAAGGAAGGTGATATCTAAGCTACGACCTGAGGAAAAATAGGAATTGGCAAGGTAAAAGGCCATTTGATTTGGGGAGGAAGAGAGTGCATTCTAGGGAGAAGGAACATGGGCAAAGCCCAGACCTGCAAGGGCATGGGCCATAATGTGGGGACTGCAGGTGGTTCATTAGGCTGGGTATATGGTCCCAGACAAAGTAGATTTAAACCAGGGCCAGATTATAAAAGATCTTGCATACTGTGGTGAGGAATTGGAACTTTATTTAGATGGCACAGGGGAGTCATCAAAGCAGAGAAGTCACCTGTGATTAGAATTGCATCTTAGGCCCGGGTGTGGTGGCTCACGCCTGTAATCCCAGCACTTTGGGAGGCCAAGGCGAGGAAATACCTGAGGTCAGGAGTTCAAGACCAGCCTGGCCAAAATGGCAAAACCCCATCTCTAATGAAAATACAAAAATTAGCTGGGCATGGTGGTACGTGCCTGCAGTCCCAACTACTTGGAAGGCCTGAGGCAGGAGAATTGCTTGAACCCAGGAGGCGGAGGTTGCAGTGAGCTGAAATCACGCCATTGTACTCCAGCCTGGGCAACAAAACTAGAATCTGTCACAAAAAAAAAAAAAAAAAAAAAAAAAAAAAAGAACCGCATCTTAGAAAAGTGGCTGGGCCAGGCACAGTGGCTCACGCTTGTAATCCCAGCGCTTTGGGAGACTGAGGCAGGCAGATGGCCTAAGCTCAAGAGTTTGAGACCAGCCTGGGCAACATGGCAAAACCCTATCTCTACCAAAAAATACAAAAATTAGCCAGGCATGGTGGTGCACACCTGTAGTCCCAGCTATTTGAGAGGCTGAAGTGGGAGAATCATCTGGGCCCTTGAGGTAGAGGCTGTAGTGACCATGATGGCACCACTGCACTCCAGCCTAAGCAACAGTGAGACCCTATCTCAAGAAAAAAAAAAAAAAAAGAAAGATGACTGGCTCAAAGATGGAAAATTGTTTGCGGGGAGATAAGACTGGAGGCAAGGAGATCAGTTAAGAAGCAGTTACAGAAACTCAGTTGACAGATGGCTAAAATTAGGATGGTGGCAGTGGAAAGAGAGGGAAGTAGCTTAAAAAGATTAAGAATTTAGTGATTAGTGAGCCATGAGGAGTGAGGGTGATGGAGGAATCAAGGAAGACACCATTTTCCAGCGTGAGCACCTGGTTTGATGGTGGTACTTATTTACTGAGATGGAGGAAACAGGAGGTGGGAATACACAGTAAAGGGGGAATGTGTTTATTTTGGACAGACTGAGTTTGAGATGCCTCTAAGACAGCTGATTGACAGTGTTCAATAGACTGATGTGTCACTTTATAAGTCTGCAGAGAGATCTGAGCCTTGAATATAAATTTGTGTGTTATTGGTGCTAGTGAAGTAGATGGAATTATTCAGAGGGAATGAGAAGAATGACCATATGAAGCTCTGAGAGGGCCCTCATTTAGGGAAGGAACATGCCTCAGAAAAGGAGCTTTAGAAGGAGACCAATAAATTGTAGCCAGAGAGAGGGGAGGAAAATAGAGTGTCCTGAATCCAGACAATCTGTTTCATAAAGTAACATCTTGATCTCAGGGGCATCAAGTTTTATCCCATCAACTTAAGACCCTGAAAGTTCTGAGGTTTCAGTCCTCTTCCACCTGGGGTAGGCCAACTTTTATACCCACTAGCCAAGAGGAGTGCTAGACTTCTAGGTATTCTGAAGCTCAGATCAAGAAAAGATGATCCCTTTCCCCTCCCCCAGCTTGAACTTCCTGACTTCTCTCCTGGTCAAATGAAACAGGAAATCTTACCCTCAGAGACAACCTAGCTCCCTACTCATAGGCAACTCTTGCCTTACTTTTGCAGATTGTACCCTGATGGGGATGACTATTAGAATACAACAGGATACCCTAACCTCCATGCAAGAAATGCCAGGGAAAGGGTGGCCATTATTTATTAATAGGTAGTTAAGGAAGAGCAGTGGAGAATGGTTTGAAGGGAGACCTGGGTTCACATCCTAGCTCTGCCCCTGACTAGATGGTTATCAGTTGTCAAGTTACTTAGCCTCAATAATTCTCAGCTCCTTAATCTATAAAATGAAATAATAATGCCTCGTGAGAAGTAAATGAGGGTGCTGGTATAGTTCATCAGCATGCATGCCCATTTCTTATTTGGTAAAGAGATAATACCTTTACTCACAGGCATCATCTAGGTTGGCCCATGAGGCAGACTTTTCTCTCTGACATAGTACCTGCTATCCTTTCTCTTCTTGCTTCAAGTGCCCCTATTCCAAAGCTGGCAGAGAACCAGCAGTCTGCCTGAATGTTTGCCAAGGTCATGGACTCCCCTGAGGACATAAAACCAAGGAAACCCTACTCTTTCGTCATGGCCTGAGAGAAGACTCTCTGAGAACCATCAAAGAGGTCTAACTTGTGTGGAAGCCAAGAGTGGTCCAGCCCTCTGCATTTACGTGATGGATTCTAGAGAGAAAATATGAATTTCTTTCCTGTTTACTTCAAGGCAAGGGGAATGACATGATTATATTGTAATATTAGGGAACTACATCTACCTTGTACTCTGGGAGATAGTAGGAGGGTATAGGCTAGCTAGCCCAGACCGTGGTTTGGGCACCAATCAGAGGTTCAATTCACAGCACAATTTTCAATTATTGGCTGGGCGCGGTGGCCCACACCTGTAATCCTAGCACTTTGGGAGGCCGAGGTGGATGGATCACTTGAGGTCAGGAGTTTGAGACCAGCCTGGCCAACATGGTGAAACCCCATCTCTACTAAAAATACAAAAATTAGCAGGATGTGGTGGCAGGCACCTGTAATCCCAGCTACTTTGGAGGCTGAGGCAGGAGAATCGCTTGAACCCGGGATGAAGAGGTTGCAGTGAGCTGAGATCACGCCACTCCAGCCTAGGTGACAGAGTGAGACTCAGTCTCAAAAAAAAAAATTTCAGTTATTACTAGTGTTGCTTGTTGGTGATTCCAAATGCATTGTGAGCATAGGCTGCTTTCAGGGCTATGGCAGAGCACTCACTCACAAAGTGGAACCTGTCTTACCAGCCAAGCTAGAGAATGACTTCAGTGAAGTGAAAGCCATTCAGACAAGTGTGAAGTAGAGAAGGTGTGTCCAGAGGTCAGAGCATAAAGACTAAAAGCTTAGCAGTAAATGCCAGACTATTGGCTAAGGGCAGGCACTATCTACCAGTTTCTAACACTGGGACATGGGTCAGCCTCTCCAAGCCCTAGTTCTCCATCAGTAAAATGACAGCATTATACTAGATGATATTTTTTTACTTCCAATAACCCCCAAATTCTATGATTTTATGATTTTATTTTTTATTTTATTTTATTACTATTATTTTTTTGAGATGGAGTTTCACTCTTGTTGCCCAGGCTGGAGTGAAATGGCATGATCTCGGCTCACTGCAACCTCCGCCTCCCGGGTTCAAGCAATTCTCCTGCCTCAGCCTCCCAGGTAGCTGGGATTACAGGCATGGGCCACCACGCCTGGCTAATTTTGTATTTTTAGTAGAGATGGGATTTCTCCATGTTGGTCAGGCTGGTCTCAAACTCCCGACCTCAGGTGATCTGCCTACCTCGGCCTCCCAAAGTGTTGGGATTGCAGGCGAGAGCCACCGTGCCCGGCCTCACTTTTTTATTTTATTTTTAGACAGGGTCTCACTCTGTCACCTAGGCTGGCTAGAGTGCAGTGGTGTGATCTCAGCTCACTGCAGTCTCCACTTTCTGGGCTCAGGCAATCCTCCCATCAACATTTGGTATTTTTCCATTTCTTTTTCCCTGTACACCTCCATCCCCAGTATTTTAGCACACCCTTCCCCATGAATACCCAATTCTTGGAGACCAGTGATAAGAGCAGCACCAGAAAGAATGAAAAGCTTAGAAATCATCACTGGCCAACTTGGTGCCAGTCATCTTAAAAAAAAAAAAAGAAAGAAAAGAACAGTGGAAAAATTGTAAAAAATCATTCCCTTGAGGTAATATTATGTACATGCTTTTGGTAGCTAACCTACAACATGAATATTGCCAGGCAGTTGGAGAAACTCCTGGAAGAAGAAGAAAGTACCAAGCTGACTTTATTACTGTCATGGGGAGGTATTTAACAAAATTTCTTTGTGGGATTTACCAAGGAAATAATAAAGTTCTCATTATTGATATCCATATTTAGAGAATGAATAAAGTTGAGGGGAAGTGCTTCTATTACTGCATCTGCACCTCAGCTTAACAGAGGGACACATAACTTTGGGCAGAGGGTAAACTTCGGCATTGTGTTATCAATGTGGCATTGTTATAACCCACAATGGGTTTGGCAGACACCACAGTTCTCCCAGAAAATGTACTATTTATAAGGCAGGAACCTCGTCCTGTTAGTCTTCAAAACACTTTTCTCTGTTTTTCTGTTAGCATTTGCTGAGACTCTCGAGAGTCTGTTCAATGGCTCTGATCAGAAACCATCTTATTTTCAATGTCATAGCAATTCCTAACACATAGCAGATCGTCGGTATAGATTTGTTTGTTGTTTAATTGGGTTCCTTTGTTAGTCAAACTCATTACGGCTTAGTAGTGCTTGTACAACATGCTAAGAAACTCTGAGTTAAGTAAAAGGTCCTGAAACCTACCTGGAGATGGAGATGGCTGAGGCCTTTAGAAGAGTCCACAGCAGTGAATACTGAGATTGCTGTTTGGGAGGCAGGATTGCCTGGTGGCTCAGTACTTGGCTCTGTGGCTAAAAACCTGGGCACCGCTCATGACTTTGCCAGTTGCTGTTATTTTAGTCAAGTCACTTAATTTCTTTTTAAGTTTCCATTTTTCTTGTATGTAAAGATGGTGATCATATTTTGTGTTAGAGTTTCCATGAGGGTTAAATGAGATTGTGCCTAAAAGCACTTGTCATATAACAAGTGCCTCAATAAATAATCTTTTCAAACTTACCAAGAGCTTTCTGTTTCTTATGAAGTTACTACAATATTTTTCAGATATTCTGTGTGTGGTGGTATTCTGGAGATTGCTGATGGTTAGAGGCTGAATGTAAAGTCTGAAGTTTTAATTTTTTCTCTAGATAAGTGTTCCATATATAAATAGATGAATTGAACACTGCTGTGTCTCAGATCTGCTGATAATATATGCTAGTCCAAAGATTATGAGCTATGATATGATTTGACTTGTTTTCCCCTGGAAAAGGTGAAGTCCCTAATTATCTCATTTTTATTGCAGTTTTACACCTGCAGCAGAAGTCAAGGAAAAAGGAAAGAAAGGCAAAGCAGTTCACTTTGCAGAAACTGATGGTCCAGCTTCAGACAGGTAGATTAACTTCCCAATCATGCCAGAGTTGCTGATAGCATCTCTCAGTGGAATGGCTTCAGCCTTTACAAACTACGAAAATACCATTCCCATTATTCTAGGTCGCAATGCGAATACCCATCAAAGAAAGAACATGTGCTGTTTCAGCATTATGGTGGGAATTACGATAGTCCCGATAAATGTATCCTGTTAACTTGGCTGTTAGCACATCTTCAACTTTTTACAGTTTTTTAAAATTTGAAAATGATAGGTACACCAGAACAGATGATTTAAATGATCTATTTTGGATGGTATTTGTACTTACATTTTATATCAGGCAGTGAACATCCCTCTTGCCTTAATATAGTAAATAAAATGTTTAATAAAAAGCATTCCAAAATGATCGTACATCAAACAAAACCCATGTATGACACTCAGGCTCTTATTACTTTTTAATAAATGCTTCCTGCACCTCAGGATAGATTAAATACAACTAAAATATATTAAAACACTACTAGAAACTGTTATATTCCAAAACAGGTTGACAGATAAAAGACTTGCTGCAAAAGATGATAAGTCAGCTAAAGCTGTAGAGAAACGAGGTCAACAGGGCACCATTACACTGGATGATGTTAAATGTGAGTAACTGTTTCTTTATGCATACATAAACATACATCTGTACATACATACACATATCCATACATAAACATCCGCCCATCTACATATAACATCCATACATAAACGTATCTTGTGTGACTCTCTAAGGTAGCTCTTTGTCCCTCTCTCAATTGTTCATTTTCTCTTTTCAGTTGTTACTTTGCTTTTGCTACAAGATACTGAGATGCAGCGGATCTGTTCTTTTACAACATTTATGAGGTATCTATTGCTTATGAGTCATTTTAGATCTTTTATCCTTTATTTTTCAGTAACTTCATCTGATAAGTGATGACAAATCTGATTTTTAGAGGAAGAGCGTGAGGCTGGCTCTATGCAAGCCATCCTCTCAGGACCTAGTCACAAAGACTGCGACCAAAGAGTCAGGGAGAGGAAGCCAGAAGTCATGGGAACCCCAGATAAAATCCCAGGGCAAGTAGTATGGAGAGCATGCTGTCAGAGTCTCACATGGACTGTGCTATTTTTATATAATAGTTAAAGGATATACCCATTTACTGGCCAGGTGCGGTGGCTCACGCCTGTAATCCCAACATTTTGGGAGGCCGAGGCAGGTGGATCACAAGGTCAGGAGTTTGAGACCAGACTGGCCAACGTGGTGAAACCCCGTCTCTACTAAAAATACAAAAATTAGCTGGGCGTGGTGGTGGGCGCCTGTAATCCCAGCTACTTGGGAGGCTGAGGCAGGAGAATTACTTGAACCTGGGTGGCGGAGGTTGCAGTGAGCTGAGATTGTGCCAATGCGCTCCAGCCTGGGTGACAGAGCAAGACTCTCTCAGACCAAAAAAAAAGAAAAATACAAACATTAGCCAGGCGTGGTGGCAGATGCCTGTAATCCCAGATACTTTGGCGGCTGAGGCAGGAGAATCGCTTGAACCTGGGAGGCAGAGGTTGCAGTGAGCCAAGATCATGCCATTGCACTTCAGCCTGGGCGACAGAGCAAGACTCCCTCTCAAAAAAAAAAAAAAAAAGATATACCCATTTACTGAAGATCACTTTTCTCTACTAGTTATGTTTGGCAGCCCCAGGATGTGCTAGGTGTGTGACTCTGGGTAAGTTTCTTGACCTTTGTAAGCCTCAGTCTCCTCAGCTACAAAATTGGGAAGTAATTGTGTAATTGTGGGCCCTTTGTATGGCTATGCGTGGCTGTGCCTCACGTGGCCTCAGCACCGCGAACGCTCAGTGAGAGTTGGGTGCCCGATGCCATTTGCACCCCTCCCCATTCCCTCTGCACACACATACAGGCTGCTTGTGGCAACTGCCTGAGACTCGGCCTGAAGGGCTCATTCCACCACAGGCACACACTCAGCCTGACTGCAGGGCAAGTTCAGAGCTAGGGAATCAGTGCCCTAGAAGCAGCCCTCATTCAGTGCCCTGCTGGTGGAGGAGTTGATAGGTAAACTCTTGAGATGTTTTCTACACTGTCTCCCAGAGTCACTGCAGGACTGAACTCCACTTAATTGTTAACAGCCTCTTTGTTGGCTTCCTTTCCTTTCCTGTCTCATTTCCCCACTTTCTTACTGATGTTTCCTGAGATCACTCCCAACTAAACTGTTCACTTTCAAGTATTTGGCCCAGTGTCTGTTGCTGGGGGAACCCAGCCTGAGACAGGGAGTTATTAATATCTTGAAAAGAAAATCTGTAATGCTCACCCTCATCCTGCTCTTTAGGTATAGTTCAGTAAAGCAATGCCAGAGAAAGAATTTCCATCTGGGGCCACAAAGAAGGCAGCAAAAGTCTTGAAAAATATTTAGAAAGAAAACAGTGACTTCTAGTTAAAAACAAATGAGAGAACATTGTAAATCAGTGCAGCCTTTTTGGAGAGCAAGGCACATACACTCTGTGGTAGCAATTTCACTTCTGTCTATAATATTTTTAAAAAAACCAAATACCCACAATAGAAAACTAGGTAAATATGAGGTATAGAATATTCTATTCAGCTCTTTAAAAGAAAGACGGAAATCTACATATAATATCATAGAAAGAGGTCTATGCTACGCAGAAAAGTGACAAAAGCAAGTTGCAAAGAATTGTATGTATAGTATTACGCCACTTATTACCAAAAAACATTTTGAAGGCATATATTCATGTACATGTGTATATGTTGGTGGAGGAGGATGTTACATGTGATTGTCTATGTTTTCGAAAGTTTAGAAAGGATTCATACCAAACTCTTTTTTTTTCTTTTTTTGAGATGGAGTCTCGCTCTTTTGCCCAGGCTGGAGTGCAGTGGCACAATCTCAGCTCATTGCAACCTCCACCTCCTGGGTTCAAGCGATTCTCCTGCCTCAGCCTCCCAACTAGCTGGGATTACAGGGATGCACCACCACGCCCGGCTAATTTTTGTAATTTTTAGTAGAGATGGGGTTTCGCCAGGCTGGTCTCGAACTCCTGACATCAAGTTATCCACCCACCTTGGCCTCCCAAAGTGCTGGGATTACAGGCATGAGCCACTGTGCCTGGCCCATACCAAACTCTTAATAGTGGTTACCACTAGGGAGTAGGATGGTGACAGAGGTAGGAGGAGAGAATTTTTACTTGATACATTTCTCTACATTTTTTAAACAATGGAAATATATTGTATAATAACTTTTTAAAAATTAAAATTAATTAGTAAGCACAACTATAAGAATTTAGTGTTTGACCTCTCCAAAAGTTTTACTTACAAAAACCAGATTTCTTAAATTTTTAAATATATAGTAGATATAATTTTAAGTGGTAAATTAGTTCTTTGATAGGCATGATAACATAGTTTTCTACTTATTCTTGTGTTGTGTGCTCATATATTTTTTATGAGAAATCTTACATTTGAAATAGGTTAGCATTGACTCTTTTTTTGTTGTTTCAAATCTCCCCATAGGAATAAGAATCTTGATAATTTCCTCATGGCATTATTGTACTACTTATCCCATTACTTGGAAAAAAACTCACTGGAAAAGAAACCCAAAAGCTATATGGTGTAAGTAAGATTTTATAGTGTGCTTTAGAGTTTTATCACTGCCAGTATTAAAAGTAACTTTTGTCTAGGATAAAGAGATGATGGAAATTTTTAAATCTTTGAGATGTACTAAGACATTTTACATGGGAAGAGTGTGTCAGTTTTTAAAGCTCACTGGATAATTTATATGTGTAGTCCAGCAACAAAATATTCCAACTGATACAGACTAGCATTGCACAGTAATGAGATAATGAAAGCCATGTATGTAATTTTAAATTTCTGGTAAACATATCTTAAAAATGTAATAAGATACATGTGAAATTAATTTTAATAGTGTCTTTTATTTAACCCAGTGATGCAAAAAATATTATCATGCAACAGTAGTTGATATATCAAGTTATTAATGAGATGTGTTACTTTTTTGTAGTAAGTCTGGTGTCTATTTTATACCTATAATATATCTCAATTCATACTAGACACATTCTCAGTAGCCACATGTGGCTAGTGGCAACCATCTTGAAGGTGCAGATATAGTTGTTGTTTGTGTGCTTTTTATGCTTACAAAGTTCTTGCTAAAGGGCTTGTAAGCATCCAATTAAAAAAAATCTAAGAATTAAAAAAATTAATATATTTGGCCAAAGTGGCATTCCACATCACAGGAAAAAAAATTCAAGGTTTCTTAGGCTACTTATAAAGAATTTAAATGCTTTAGCTTTAGGCAGAAGTGGCGCAGAGGTGTACACCAGGGCAAGAATCTGGGAACTCAGAATACAGAGCAGAACAATGCCTCTCAGCCTTGGTGACCTTTTGCAAGCCATGGAACTTTCCACACGCCAGGCTGCCCTCCCCAGTACGTGTGGAACCAACCCAATGATTTAGCTGTTAGGAATGCTGGGTAGAGTAATTAAGTTGTTGCTGCAGGATGTTTTCAAAATGCAAAACCCTGTATACAATCAAGCAGTTGGAAAAACATCTTATGGATAGAATAAATGTATCTGGATAGTTTTGTAAAGAACCAAATAAATAATTTAAAAACTCTTGTTCCTGTAAAGCCATCATAATATACAATATCAGTGTTATTTTGGGACTGTATTTCACAACAGGGCAGCCAGAGCATGAAATGTTTCTATGGTAGCAAGCAAAAGGGTTTAAAGCCAGCTGTGGACTTAGAAGGTTTGAAGATTCTTACTATTTCCAAATGAAACGTAATTAGACATTTTTGGCACTTTGGCTTATTACATTTTTTTATCGTATTTCCTCTTCTGAGGCTTATTGCTAATCTGGCAAAAAGATTTGTTTAATTTCTTTTTTCTTTTCTTTTTTTTTTTTTGAGTTGGAGTCTGGCTCTGTCACCCAGGCTGGGGTGCAGTGGTGCAATCTCGGCTCACTGCAACGTCCACCGCTCAGGTTCAAGTGATTTTCCCACCTCAGCCTCCTGAGTAGCTGGGATTACAGGAGCCCACAACCACGCCCAGCTAATTTTTATATTTTTAGTAGAGATGGGGTTTCACCATGTTGGCCAATCTGGTCTCGAACTCCTGACCTCAGGTGATCTGCCTGCCCCAACCTCCCAAAGTGCTAGGATTACAGGTGTGAGTAACCGTGCCTGGCCTACTTTCTTAATTGATAAGAATAGATAATAAGACAGGTTTTCTAGTTGAAGATGCACTAAACATACTAGAACACAGTGGTATAAGGTAGACTGTTCCTTAGAAGGAATCAGTTACTCAGATTGACAAAAACAAACCAATTGAAGCCTTAAAAGTATGGATTTTGGCCGGGCACGGTGGCTCATGCCTGTAATCCCAACACTTTGGGAGGCCAAGGCGAGTGGATCACGAGGTCAGGAGTTCGAGACCAGCCTGACCAACATGGTGAAACCCCATCTCTACTAAAAATACAAAAATTAGCCAGGCGTGGTGGCACACTCCTGTAATCCCAGCTCCTCAGGAGGCTGAGGCAAGAGAATCACTTGAACCTGGGAGGCAGAGGTTGCAGTGAGCCGAGATGGCACCATTGCACTCCAGCCTGGGCGACAGAGCGAGACTCCGCCTTAAAAAAAAAAAGTATGGAGTTTATGGTGTGATTCTAAAAATAAAAATTACAACTTTTTATTTTCAGGCTTCCTGTGGTCAGTTGGTTTACTTACTATAATAGAATTAAATATTGATTGCATTGAGGTATCTGCACAGAAGAAAAAAACTGATTTCAAATACCAAGATAGAGCATAGGGATAGTAATAGCATTTAATTCACAGAGTTATTATACAGAAGTAGATGAGACAGTGTATCTTAACCCAGTGCATGGCACTTGGGAGGAAAGCCTACAGCCGTGAGAGGAAAGCAGAAAAGGGTGAAGATGGATGGCAACGGTACACTTAATTGATGTCAGGTGATTAAAAGCCCTACTTCCAAAAGAAGAAGCCTTATCCCTATTTTACAGATGAAGAAATTAAGGCTCACAGAGGTTAAATAGTTTGTTGGGGATTACGTACCATACCTAGGAGATGACATTACAGTTCCTAGGTGGAACTGATATTAGAACCCAGGTCTGTTTAACTCCAAGGCTTGTGCCTTAATCACTGTACAACATGCCCAGCACTTCCCACCAATCAACTGCACTGTTTTCCAGAGTTTATCTGTCCGTAATTAGAATTTTTAGCTTCTGAACAATTATGTATGTACTGTTTGTTTGTTTGTTTGTTTGTTTGTTTGTTTGAAACGGAGTCTTGCTCCATCAACCAAGCTGGAGTGCAGTGGCACAATCTCGGCTCACTGTAACCTCTGCCTCCCGGGTTCAAGTGATTCTCCTGCCTCAGCCTCCTGAGTAGCTGACACTACAGGCATGTGCTACCATGCCTGGCTAATTTTTTATATTTTTGGTAGGGATAGAGTTTCACCATGTTGGCCAGGCTGACCTTGAACTCCTGACCTCAGGTGATCCACCCACCTCAGCCTCCCAAAGTGCTGGGATTATAAGCCTGAGCCACCGTGCCCAGCCTGTATGTACTTTTAAACATAATATCATATGTACTTTCAAGTTACTATAATCTTCATAATTATAATTTTTAATGGTAGCATAGTTTTCCATCAAGCCAATGTGTGTGAATTGACTTACCTACTAAGAGGCAGTATATTATAGTGGTTAAGGGTACAGATTTTGATGCTTGGGTTACATCTCGTGGAAGACTCACTCATAAGTTAGGTTAATAAGCATCAAGTCCTTAAACAATACCTGACCGTATTGCTGCTCCCTTTATCCTTCTGTATTAGTCTGTTCTCATGTTTCTAATAAAGACATACCCAACTGGGTAATTTATAAAGGAAAGAGGCTTAATGGACTCACAGTTCCACATGGCTGCGGAGGCCTCACAATCATGGTGGAAGGCGAATGAGGAGCAACAGCATGTCTTACATGGTGGCAGGCAAGAAAGCATGCGCAGGGGAACACCCCTCATAAAACTATCAGATCTCATGAAACTTATTCACTATCATGAAACAGCATGGGAAAGACCCGCCACGATGATTCAGTTACCTCCCATTGGGTCCCTCCCATGACACATGGGAATTATGGGAGCTACAATTTAAGATGAGATTTGGGTGGGGACACAGCCAAACCATATCACCTTCTATTTTATATATTTTGGCAGTTTCTAATTTTTCTGATATATAAATAATGATTGCATTGAATATCCTCATGCATAAAAGTTTCCTCCTAATTTTGGATGATTTTTTTAAAAGAATAAATTTCCAGGAGAGATGATATTGGATCAAAATTTATGATAATTTCTATGGCTCTTGAAATTATTTTCAGTTTTTTTCCCCAAAGGATTATGCCAATTTTCTGTTACAAGCAATGCATAAGCGCATCCGTTTCAACAAAATTTTGTCAGCATTATTGTTTGCACTTTTAAAGAATGTGCTTTAAAAGTGAACCACTAACTGGCTTTGTATTTAAGGCAGTTTTACAAAATTAGATGAAAACAGTATGGGGGAATGGTTTCCAGACACAGAAATGTGGTGCAAACAGGCCACCTCTGCCTGGAGTTTTGTATATAGGTTAGCTTCTCTTGAGTATTTTTTTTTCATAGCTTTTTCCTTTTTTTTCCATTTCAACACATCAGTTCTTTATGTATATGTGCATATGGGGTCTAGGGACCACTTGCCTTGGAATCATTTGGGAAGATTGTTTTAAATTTCCTGGGCTAGACCCAGACTCCTGAGCCAGAATCTTGGAGAGAGGGTTGCACTGGGAATTTGCACTGTTAGCAAGTATCCCCAGTGATTCTTTCATAATTCATAGGTTTATTAAAACTTGAGAAGCATTGGCCTAAAAGCTTCAAGGCATTCCTTGGTGGCTGTAGTTTGATTTGGTTGTTTTCTACAGCAAAAGAAGAATATTAGCTACTGGCAGCTCTGGCAGAGTAGGGTGACCAGTGAGGGTGGAGCTGCTGAAGGAAACAGGCACAGGGGTGTGGCCACTGGGGTGCATCTGGAGGGGTGTGTTTGGGTTATATCCTCCATGCCATGAGGGGAAGGGGGTGTATTAAGGATAATACAGTTTGTCTTTGTATTAAGGATAATAATAACTGTTCTTGCTGACTTCATGGAGTCAGTCCAATGGTTATATCAGAAGGGGCAGTCATTTGTCCCTGTTTAGAGTAAATATCATTTGGTGTCTAGTGACACCTCACTTTTCCATAAGAGTACAACTCACTTTTCAATAACAGTACATTGGAATGTATCATCAGCAATATTTCCTACTGTATTGTATAGCAGAAACTTAAAATTTGGCTTCAGACATGCTGTAACCTAAGAACAGTTTGTCTTTGTGAAAGTTCATTTGCAATTCAATTGGAACTGCAGCTGGTTTCACAGGGAAGCAGTGTTATTGTAACTGATGCCAAAGTTCCCAGAGTAGTAGTTCACAGATGCCTTCTTAGCAAACACAGCTACACTCAAAATGGAGAGTTGGTCCTTGTTCACATGTTGAGCCCCCAAGCTCAGTAGTGACATAGGGAACGCAGGGGAAGCTGAGGTACGTAGCCTCCACGGTTGTTTTAGGAAAATAGCAGGAAAGTAGGCTGCTAACCGCCTGAGCAACCAGTATAGATAATTTGTTAATTGAGCTGTTCTATATAAATTAGGACTACCTGCATATAAAATTGAGGATACATAACATAATCTATTAAAAAAGCGAAAATAGGCCGGGTGTGGTGGTTCATGCCTGTAATCCCAGCACTTTGGGAGGCCAAGGTGGGTGGATCACTTGAGGTCGGGAGTTCAAGACCAGCCTGGCCAACATGGTGAAACCCTGTCTCTACTAAAAATACAAAAATTAGCCAGGCATGGTGGTAGGCACCTGTAATCCCAGTTACTCGGGAGGCTGAGGCAGGAGAATTCCTTGAACCCGGGAGGTGGAGGTCTCAGTGAGCCGAGTTCATGCCACTTGCACTCCAGCTTGGGCGACACAGCGAGACTCTGTCTCAAAAAAAAAAAAAAAAAAAAAAAAAAAAAAAGCAAAAATACACCATAAGCTTGAGATGCTGATTCCAATGATTAAATATGAAGGGACTTTAAGGATTTTCCTATACCATTGCTTAAATAACATAAACTCATTGGTAAGTGAAGTCTGTTGACTCACTTGTATTTCTTTCAGAATAGTTTATGGCTGGGCACACTGGCTCACGCCTGCCATCCCAACACTTTGGGAGGCCAAGGGGAGGATCACTTGAGTCCAGGAGTTCAAGATTAGCCTGGACAACAGAGTGAGACCCTGCCTCTACACAAAATAAAAAAAGATTAGCCAGGCATGGTGGCATGCGCCTATGAGGCAGGAGGATTGCTTGAGCCCTGGAGGTTGAGGCTGCAGTGAGCTGTGATCGCACCACTGCACTCCAGCCTAGGTAGCAGAGCAAGACTCTGTCTTAAAGAAAAGAAGAAAAGTTTATAATTCTGACTTTTTGCTAGTTAATATAGGCACTTATGACAATTAACCCAAATTCTCTTTTTTTTGTCCTCCCCATCAGAGGCCTTGTAGAGAAAAAAGAAATGGAATTGGTTTTAAGTGAATTAGAAGCAGCACAGAGGTACTTGGCGCAGAAGTACTGTATCCTTGTGCTGGGCTTGGCCGTGCCGGATAAGCATCACATGTGCTGTGGAAAGTAAGCAGATACTTACACTTCATTAGATCATCACTCCATCATAGACTCACATCCTTAAGATGCTTCCGTTTGACTTTTGTTACCTTGAGAAAATGTTCCTTTTTCTGTTGTCCAGAGTAATTGGGCTCAGGTGAGAATCTGTCCCAAACCCTTGTAATGTCTCCTTTGAGAGACCAAAGTGCATGTGGAAGAAATCTCAGAATCTCAGCGGATATTTTTAAAACTTTCCACTGCTTGAGATTGAATGACATGGTCTCTCAGTGAAATCTTGCTCTCAACCAGGAAGGGCTCTTGCTGCCAGACTTGGCTCCCTTGGGCAGGAGGTCTGGTGGGGCCGGTAGTGCAGGGGGATTAGGTGTCTCCCTATCCTTTTACTGCTTATTTTGCAGCAGCAACAATTGTGAGTAGGAGCTGCTGAGGTGTGGATTCTAAGATGGTTCTTTGTGGGAAGATCATTTTTACCTTAGGATGACTATTTTTACACCACTGTAATTAAAACTTAAAGAGGAGTCTCATCACAGGTTTGGGATCACAAGGTCGAACACATCAACCCTTAACTCAGAATCTCCTTCTCTGAGTTTCACAACAGGCCCCAGATCTACCTCATGGTCATAGCCAGAACAGTTTTTTTCCCCCATAGGAAAATAATTATTCCCCCCATAGGAAAAGAACCTAGTACATGATGTGTCTCTTTCTACATTCTCCACATTTTCAAAGACCAGCTTTGTCAATGAGCATACTTACACAGTTGTTGGTATATACATTTTTGTATTCTGTATTTCCTGGGTACTTTCTCTTATTATTCTGACTATGTGATTTCACTTACCACTTTGAATAGGATTCTGTTATGTAACATACATATTTGCTTAACCATTCTTTTTGTGTACATTTGCATAATTTTAGTTTTTGTGTGTTATAATATTTCTGCATTGAATATTCTTTGTTCATTTGGACTATTTCCTTATGGCTTATTTTCCACAGTATATTTACCTAGAAAGCCACAGTTTTGTAGCTCTTGATACATACTGCTAGATTGTTCTCTATAAAGGTTAAGACATTTTGGGGTTTTTTTTTTTTTTGAGACATAGTCTTGCTCTGTTGCCCAGGCTGGACTGCAGTGGCACGATCTTGGCTCACTGCAAGCCCCGCCTCCTGGGTTCACGCCATTCTCCTGTCTCAGCCTCCCAAGTAGCTGGGACTACAGGCGCCCGCCACCACGCCCAGCTAATTTTTTGTATTTTTAGTAGAGACAGGGTTTCACCATGTTAGCCAGGATGGTCTCGATCTCCTGACCTCGTGATCCACCCGCCTCGGCCTCCCAAAGTGCTGGGATTACAGGTGTGAGCCACTGCGCCTGGCCTAGTTTAAGACATTTTGTATTACCATCAGCAGTAAGTATATCTGGTTGCATTGGGTTTTATTACTTTAATATTTTTGATAGTTTAAAGGTGTATAAAAAGCTTAAAGATGTTTTATTTGACTGAGTATCTTTTTTTTTTTTTTTTTTTTGACAAAGTCTCGCTCTTGTCCCCATAGGCTGGAGTGCAATGGTGTGATCTCGGCTCACTGCAACCTCTGCCTCCCAGGTTCAAGTGATTCTCCTGTCTCGGCCTCCCGAGTAGCTGGGATTACAGGCACACACCACCATGCCTGATTAATTTTTGTATTTTTAGTAGAGATGGGGTTTCACCATATTGGTCAGGCTGGTCTCAAACTCCTGACCTCAGGTGATCCACCCACCTCAGCCTCCCAAAGTGCTGGGATTACGGGCATGAGCCACGGCACTCCGCCCTAATTCGTTCTTTAGTTGGGTAGATTTTTTCCAAGTTACCCAGGGTCTGAGAGGCACAGGCATATGTTCTCTAATTTCTTCTTGGCTATTCATAAGGATCGTATATTAGTTTATAAAGTTAAAAAACAGATATACATATGAAGTTTCTCTCAGATGGAACTTGATATTTATTGATGTTTGCATCGATATACTTTCAGTTCAGGCTCACTTTCTTTGTTTTGTTGGTTGTATCTTGGCGTTGTCGGCCATTTCTCTTCTCTTGCACCCCTGTTTCTATAGTGGTGGATGTCCTCGATCCACTTCCAAGGCCCAGCATCTCTGTGATTTGATTCACCATGTGTGTGTGATTTTTCATGATTTGGGAATACACTCTTAATGTGTATTCCTGACAACACCCATTCTTTATTCTACTACATCCGTTCTGCAGCTTTCAAGTTTTTGTTGCTGCAGTTCTGTTATGGAGTTGACAAGTTTGGTTCTGCTTTCCAGCATGGGACGATGAAAATGTGGCACTCAGGGAGCGTAACTGAGCAGTGGCCCCAGCTGTTGCACCTGAATCCACCACCAGGTCTGCACTGAGGCCACATGTTTTAGCCTGTTTGGGTTGCTATAGCAAAGTACCATAGACAGGGTGGCTTATAAACAACAGAAATGTATTTCTCAGAGTTCTACAGGCTGCAGGTCTAAGATCAGTATACCAGCATGGTCAGGCTCTGGTGAGGGCCCTCTTCTAGGTTGCAGACTGCCAGCTTCTCATTGTATCCTCACCATGGCAGAAAGAGGATGACAGAGCTTTCTGGGGTCTCTTTTCTAGAACACTAATTCACACAATGCATACGGGCTCTATGTCCGTGACTTAATTACTTCCAAAGGCCTCACATCCTGAGACCATCACACTGGGAGTTAGTATTTCAACATATGAATTTTGGGGGAACACAAACATTCAGCTCATTGCACCATGCCTCCCACAGGCTGCCTCCTGCCAGTGTCTGGGTGCAGCAAGCCCATTCCCCACAGTTGCGGGACTTCTCTGACTGACAGCGTCAGCTTGAGGACTCCCCTTTGGCCTGGTCAAAACTTTCCTAGAGCTGTGCCTCTGTCTGAGTTCCTTCCTACCCAGACCCTCCTGCCTTTCCTCTCTCACAGGGTCAGACATGCATTGAGGTGTGACGGCACTCCTTGCCTTCTCCAGTTCTCTCCTCATTTTCTGTCACCATAATTTTCTCCAATAAATCTTGTCTTTCTCCAATAAATCTCATGTCTAGTCCTGTCTTGGTGTCTGCTTCTGATAACATATCCAACATCATAGCATTTTTAAGCTTTGCTGCCATGATTACTTTTTTTTTTTTTTTTTTTTTTTTTGAGATGGAATCTCACTCTGTCACCCAGGCTGGAGTGCAGTGGTGCGATCTTGGCTCACTGCAAACTCTGCCTTCCGGGTTCACGCTGTTCTCCTGCCTCAGCCTCCCGAGTAGCTGGGACTACAGGCGCCCGCCACCACGCCCGGCTAATTTTTTGTATTTTTAGTAGAGACAGGGTTTCACCATGTTAGCCAGAATGGTCTCGATCTCCTGACCTTGTGATCCGCCTGCCTCGGCCTCCCAAAGTGCTGGGATTACAGGCGTGAACCACTGCACCTGGCCTTTTTTTTTTGAGATGGAGTTTCACTCTTGTTGCCCAGGCTGGAGTGCAATGGCGCGATCTCGGCCCACCACAAACTCTGCTACCACGCCTGGCTAATTTTTTGTATTTAGTAGAGATGGGGTTTCACCATGTTAGTCAGGCTGGTCTTGAATTCCTGACCTCAGGTGATCCACCTGCCTCGGCCTCCCAAAGTGCTGGAATTATAGGTATGTGCCACCATGCTTGGCACTTTTTGTGTCTTTCAAAAGTACAGTCAGTCCTCATCTTTTATGCATTCAGCTTTCTACAGCCTGTTGTTCTTTCTTACAGTAACGCTCCTAAACCAGTGTTTTTCAGAGTACAACACATTAATGGATCTTGAAATCAATTTAGTAAGTCTTGAAGAGAGTAGACTAGAACTTTAAAAATCAGAGTACATCATAAAAAGTAAAAGTAAGTATTGTTTTAGGAGACTTGTTTCAGTGTGTACTGGGGACTCTATTAAATATATTTCTTTCTGTGGGTTACAGTAAAAAATAAAAACCACAATGAGATACTATTTCACATCAGTCAGAATGGCCATTATTAAAAAGTCAAAAAATAACAGATGCTGGCTAGGTTGCAGAGAAAAGGGAACGCTTATACACTGTTGGTGGGATGTAAATTAGTTCAACCATTGTGGAAAGCAGTATGGTGATTCCTCAAAGAGCTAAAAGCAGAACTACCATTCAACCCAGCATTCCCATTACTGGGTATATACCCAGAGGAATGTGAAGCATTCTGTCATAAAGACACATGCATGCAAATGTTCACTGCAGCACTGTTCACAATAGCAAAGACATGGAATCAACCTAAATGCCCAACAGTGACACACTGGATAAAGAAAAGGTGGTACGTTTACACCTTGGAATACTCTGCAGCTATAAAAAAGAATGAGATCATGCCTTCTGTGGGAACATGGATAGAGCTGGAGGCTATTATCCTTAGCAAACTAGCACAGGAGCAGAAAACGAAATACTGCATGTTCTCATTTATTTATAAGTCGGAGCTAAATGATAAGAACTTATGAACACAAAGAAAGAAGCAACAGACACTGGGGTCCACTTGAGGTGGGAATGGTAGGAGGAGGGAGAGGAGCAGAAAAGATAAGTATTGTCTACTGAGCTTAATACCTGAGCGATGTGATAATACGTACAACAAACCCCCGTGACTCGTGTTTATCTATTTAACAAACCTTCACATGTACCCCCAAACCTAAAATAAAAATTAAAAGAAAAAAGAAACCCAAAAGGACAAGAGCATATATAAACTAATGGAATTATTACATTTAATCTCTCTGATGAGTGAGGTATAGTAGTAGATTTAATATAGAGATACTTAAAAGTTGGGGATGTTTCAGCATCAAAAATACCTTCCTGTGATCCAAAAACAGGAAGCTTTTACAGGTGTTTAGGGCTGTTGGTGGAGGTTCAGCTTGCTATAGACTTCATTGTTTAGAAAGAAGTAGTGTTTTCTCTTGACAAAGTTTTTAGGAAAAGCATTATGATAAAATTACAGTCATCTTTACAGTTTCCTACTCAATCATTTATAACATCACTATTAATATTGACACTAATTTCTTTTGTCTTTAAAGTGTCACTTCTAGTTAGAAAACTAGGATTTAAGGTTAAAAAACCTGCTCTTGGGCCAGGCGCGGTGGCTCACGCCTGTAATCCCAGCACTTTGGGAGGCCGAGGTGAGCAGATCACGAGGTCAGGAGATCGAGACCATCCTGGCTAACACGGCGAAACCCCATCTCTACTAAAAATACAAAAAATTAGCCGGGCGTGGTGGCGGGCGCCTGTAGTCCCAGCTACTAGGGAGGCTGAGGCAGGAGAATAGCGTGAACCTGGGAGGCGCAGCTTGCAGTGAGCTGAGATCGCGCCACTGCACTCCAGCCTGGGCGACAGAGCGAGACTCCGTCTCAAAAAACAAAAAAAACAAAACAAAAACATGCTCTTAAGAAATGATTTTGGCCAGGCACAGTGGCTCATGCCTGTAATCCCAGCACTTTGGGAGACTGAGGCAGGAAAGTCACTTGAGCCCAGGAGTTCGAGACCAGCCCGGGCAACACAGTGAGAGCCTCTCTCCAGAAAAAAATTAAAGAATTAGCTGGGCATGGTGGTGCATGCCTGTAGTTCCAGCCACCTGGGAGGCTGAGGTGGGAGAACTGCTTGAGCCAGGGAGGTTGAGGCTGCAATGTGTCATGATTGTGCTACTTACTGCACTCCAACCTGGTGACAGAACAACACCCTGCCTCAAAAAAATTTTTTTTAAATTTCTCATACTTAATGTTTAATCTTTAAAAACACATATACATTGCAAACCAATGTTGGGATAAAAAGCAAACTATAAACAATTATACCATAATTAGAGAATTTATAATATTTTTTAGTTCTCGGCATAGAGCCTCCACTGAAGTAATTATACTTTTTCCAAGGCAATTTTTACACAAACCTTTAAAGGAACACATATGTTTGAAAGTAGATGATGGCCTCTGGTTAGCACTAGCTCATTTCCAGATGGTGCTGGTCATTTTTCCACTGTATGCGACATAACCCATGTTTCCTCTGCCTGCTGGATAGCAGTTTATAGAAGAATGAGCGCAGATCTCACCACCCACGTAACAAATTCCATACAGGTCAAACGCTGAACAAAGGACATAAAAGACAGACTGGAACAGGTTTTTGCCATGATTCGGAAGTTTATATTGTTCTTTTGGTGGCTTTTATGCAGGAGAAGATGAGGACAATGTTTTTGCCGGTTATAAGTGATTAACTCATTTTAACATTCCACTTCTTTCCGATTTCAGTAAGCTAATATTTTCATGTGTATTTTCTGACTTTTCTCTTTCATATATGTGTTACCGAAGTGAACTGGGGTCCGCTTGCCTGATGCAGTCAGGTGAAACATCCACACCGTGGTTTGTAATATCAGGAGAAAGGAGGGTATTTATTTGCAGGTTGGCAAGCAAGTAGAATCAGGCAGCTCTCACTTAAGACCTGACCTCTCTGATGGCTTGTAAGCAAGGGTTTTTAAAGGCAGGAGTACATTTCAGGAAAGCAGAAGTTACAGGCAAAGTTGTAAATCAATACATAGAGGTTATATATTGGTTTGGACTAAAAAGGCAGGATATTTTGAAGCGGGGCCTTACAGGTCATAAGCAGATTCCAAGATTTTCTGATTTGGTTAAGGTAGAGCAGCTTTGTTTTAAAAACTTGGGGTCTGCAGAAAGATGTGTTAGGTCTGGCTCATGTACATGACTTCTAGGCCTCTCAGGAAGAACTTTAGAACAATGAATGCAGTTAGAGTTCAGTCCTCAGTCTCCCCTTATCTGAGGTCTACATGCCAGTGGACCCATTTGGTGGGGGTCTGAGTTTCTGAAAAACAACGCAGGGACATATGTTAAAATGTTATTTTTACTTTATATAGGGAACCAAACATCTTGTGACTCTAACTTCCTTGGCTGTCTTTTAAGCTACTGTTATCTTCTTATCAAGTTGCTCATTTACTTCTCAGGGCTAGCTAGGTGCCTGGAATTTCCCTTACAAGAACTCAAGGCTTCCCTTTATTTCCATGTTTGGGGGTGGGGGTGGGGTGGCAGATCCCTAAGTGTGGGGGGTGGTCCCTGTTTTGTCTCATGTGCACACTTAATATTTGACTACAACACATTATGCTGCGTATCTCTATGATTAAAGATTTTAGTAGAACCAGCAGTTTGGGTGCTGTTAATTTAGTGCTTTCATGTCTCTTGAGAAGTAGAAGGATGTGCCTTTAAATGTCTGAGGAACCCTGACATCCTGAAAGCTTTGGCAGAATTTTGATGAACACGTTCAGTAAAAGTTCTCTGTGTTTTCCAAGTTAGATATGAAAACCTCCTTGGTGGCAGGCACATGCCATAGTTAGATCTCTTTGGTGATGGCCAATGCTGGCTCCACCCCCGCCTCTACGCTAGTATTTATACCTTCTTCCACTGTTCTCAGTGCAGCTGTCACTTGATGGGCAACCAGAGAGGCTAGCGGTGGGGCTGACGGGGAAAAAGGGAGTCTTTTTGAAACTCAGGTGTGTAAATTATCCCTAAGCCCTATTCCTCTACCCTTACCCCCAGTCACATGCACCAAAGCCTCTTTCCCCTCCCCTAAAATACATCCCTTTGACACTCTTGTATAGAGCAGGCCTTGACCTTCTTTTAAACCTGATTTCACCTAGAGCAGCAGGGGGCAAGTGGGGGAGCACAACTTTTTTTCTCCCTAGCCCAGAACCCTGGGTCTAGACTTTGTTTCCCTTTAGGAATGACAAATCATAAAATATACTTTCCTCATTTTGATTTGGAGCCAAGAGTCTAAGGTAGCAAGAAGGAATAAGAGAGCATCATAACAGGCCACTAAAATTCTCTAGATTTACTACCAGGCTGGCTTTCCCCTCTTTCCTTTGGGTTGTGTCCTCAAACATGGAATGCATGGTGTCTGTGCTGACCAGCATGGTGGCCACTTGCCACACGCGGCTGTTGAGCACTTTGAAATGTAGTAGTCCAAATTGAAACATACTATAAGTGAAAAATAAGCACTGTACACAGAAAGTCTAAATATGAATAAAACATCTCAATACTTTAGAAATATTGCTTCTATATTGAAATGATAATATTTTGGGGGTTTGGATAAAATTTATTATTAAAATTAGCTTCACTTGTTTCTCTTCACTGTGGCTACTAGAAAATTTAAAATTAATTTATGGCTTGCATTATATTTCCACGGATTGTATTGTTTAAACCCCATTTCTATTTGCAGACGATTCTGGGAGGCTTAAATTTTGTTATTTTAATTTTTTAAAATTTAATTTAATTTATTTTTATTTTTTATTTTTTTTGAGATAGGGTCTCACTTTGCCACCCAGGCTAGAGTGCAGTGGCACTATCTTGGCTCACTGCAGCCTCAACTTCCTGTTCTCAAGCGATCCTCCCACCTGGCCCCATAAGTAGCTGGGACTACAAGGCGTGTGCCACCACTCCCAGCTATATATATATATATATATATTTTTTTTTTGTATTTTTGTAGAGATCGCGTTTTGCCATCTTGCCCAGGCTGGTCTTGAACTCCTGAGCTCAAGCGATCTGCCTGCCTTGGCTTTCCAAAGCGCTAGAATTACAGGTGTGAGCCACCATGCCAGGCCAATTTTGTTATTTTATAATCAATAAATTTTTAAATTTATAATCAATTTATTTTAAGTATATGTACTTAATATAAAAATTATAAAATACCAAAATAGACAGGAAAACGACTCAAAATATACCAGCCAGAAGTAAATTTGTAGAGCTTTTAACTATGAAGTCCCCAGATGTATTCACTGTATGCACCCATTTCCTGGACGCATTTCTATTTCATATGCAGGGCTAAATCAGAATGGCAAGAAGAAACCCATGACATTCTGTACTTAATTTTTGCAGTATGGGTTACATCAGTTTGCTTTGGGCATTAAGAGAGAAAGAGTTAGGCCGGGCGCTGTGGCTCACGCCTGTAACCCCAGCACTTCAGGAGGCCGAGACAGGCGGATCACCTGAGGTCAGGAGTTTGAGACAGCCATGACCAACACAGAGAAACCCCATCTCTACTAAAAATACAAAATTAGCCAGGCGTGGTTGCGCATGTCTGTAATCCCAGCTACTTGGGAGGCTGAGGCAGGAGAATCGTTTGAACCCGGGAGGCAGAGGTTGCGGTGAGCCAAGATCGTGCCATTGCACTCCAGCCTAGACAAGAGTGAAACTCCATCTCAAAAAAAAAAAAAAAAAAAAAAGAGAGAAAGAGTTCCAGTGTGTATGGCAACTCGAGGGAAAGTGGAAAGAGGTTCATGTTACCTCCTCTTTTTTTTTTTTTTTTTTGAGATGGAATCTTGCTCTGTCGCCCAGGCTGGAGTGCAGTGACGTGATCTTGGCTCACTGCAACCTCCGCCTCCTGGGTTCAAGCAATTCTCCCTGACTCAGCCTCCCGAGTAGCTGGGATTACAGGCACCTGCCACCACGCCCGGCTAATTTTTGTATTTTTAGTAGAGATGGTGTTTCGCCATGTTGGCCAGGCTGGTCTTGAACTCCTGACCTCAGGTGATCCGCCTGCCTTAGCATCCCAAAGTGCTGGGATTACAGGCGTGAGCCACTGTGCCCAGCCTTACCTTCTCTTCTAATGTCTAAAAAAAGAACCCAGAAAGAAAAGGAAAGAAAGTGTGTTTCCTGGGCAATCACTCTCATTTCAAAACCATGCTAAGATGGTGCTGGTTTGCCTTGTGCTGATGTGAGCTCTGCTCTAGATCTCCCAGAATACAAGCTGACTTTATTCCCAAAACAGACTTTGGCTAGTTTTCTTGCTTCAGCTTGGCAGGTGTTCATGGTCTCTGGTTTCAGCTGGCAGAAGATTTACAGTTAGTTATGGAAGAGGAGCTTTGAAAGGGTGGAAATTTCACATCAGCACACCCCTCAGGTGGAGGCCTCAGGTGGCACAGAGAAGAAATGCTGAGGCTTGCTCTGAAAAGTTTCCGCTGAGCTCTGTTGTTCAGTACGTTTATCTGCAAACTATTTTAAAGAAAAAAGCTTATTCTCCTCACAGTCCAGTTATGAGGACAGACGTGGGTATCTGACAGGCCCGAGTTTTAGTACAGGATCTGTCCCTAATTAGATATATGTCTTTGGACTTAAGTCTCAACTTTAGTTTCCTCAGTTGAGAAGTGGGAATAATAATGTTGACTATACCATAGGGATGTTATGAAGACCAGATATGATAATACATGTAAAGGGCTTAGCGTGGTGCAGGATGTTATAAAGACTAGATAGGATCATACATGTAAAGGGCTTAGTGCAGTACCCGGCACATAGTCCATACTTAGTCCATGTTCACTCTAATTGCTATTGCCGTAGTTCTTTATTGAAGACTTGCACATGAAGAAACCAATATATAATGAAGAGAGTCTGTAGGAGGGGAGGGGCAGGCCCCAGTAACCACCTCTTTGGCCTCATTCCCCAAGTGGAGGGCTAGTTTGGGCCCATTCAGACCAGGAAGTCCCTGTGAGAAGGCCGAAGGTCCTGTGAGGTTTGGGTCATCTTTCCCAGACTGTGGGAGTTCAGGATGGTTCTGGAGAGCCTGGTACCAAGGCCAATCCTCAGAGTCACAGTTCCTCCAAGGAAGGCCCCAACAAAAGCAGAAGCAGGCCGGGCACCTTGGCTCACGCCTGTCATCCCATCACTTTGGGAGGGTGAGGTAGGTGGATAGCTTGAGCTCAGGAGTTCGAGACCAGCCTGGCCAACATGGTGAAACCCCATCTCTACAAAAAATACAAAAATTAGCTGGTCATGTTGGTGTGTGCCTGTAGTCTCAGCTACTTGGGAGGCTGAGGTGGGAGGATCACCTAAGCCTGGGGAGGTCAGGGCTGCCGTGAGCCATGATCATGCTACTGTGCTCCAGCCTGGATGACAGAATGAGACCCTGTCTCAAAAAAAAAAAAAAAAAAAAAAAATTAGCCAGTGTGGTGGTGTATACTTGTGGTCCCAGCTTCTTGTGAGGCTGAGGTGGGTACCAGGCTCTCCAGAACCATCCTGAACTCCTACAGTCTGGTGGGAGGATTGGGAGGTGGGAGGATTGCTTGAGCCCAGAAGGTCAAGGCTATAGTGAGCTATGATCACACTACTGCACTCCAGCTCTGTCTTAAAAAAGAAGCAAAACCAGGATCAGCCTTGAAGTGTCCAGGGTCTGGCCTTGGCCGCTGTGACTGATCAAGTGACTGCAGGTGCATAACCCCCTCAGTCAACTCTCAAGGGCTCCCCAGACCAGGCCTGGTTTCCTAGGCTGGGAGTCAGAATCAGAATTGTTAGGAGGGGAGGCCATGTTCACTAATTGCGCCCATGCCAGTATAGTATTCTTTTTTTTTCTTTTTGAGATGGAGTCTTGCTCTGTTGCCCAGGCTGGAGTGCAGTGGCACAATCTCGGCTTACTGCAACTTCTACCTCCCGGGTTCAAGCAATTCTCCTGCCTCAGCCTCCCGAGTAGCTGGGATTAGAGGCGCCCGCCACCACACCCAGCTAATTTTTGTACTTTTAGTAGAGCTAATTTTTGTACTTTTAGTACTTTTAGTACTTTAACAGCGTCACCATGTTGGCCAGGCTGGTCTGAAACTCCTGGCCTCAAGTGATCCACGCACCTCGGCCTCCCAAAGTGCTAATTACAGGCGTAAGCCACTGCATCTTGCCAAGTATAGTATTCTTAACATTGAATTTGTGTTGCAAGGACTCCTGGGAAGAGAGAAGACTCAGGTTTGTCCATGCCCATCAGAAGGAGGAGCACACTGCCGTTCTCAGTCTATTGGTTGTTTTGGCATAGATCTTTGTGGATTTTGTTTCTGTTTCTTTTTGTACCCAATAGCCATAACTATTGTTTGCTAATTCTTTTCCTTTTCTTTATTGCAGACTTACCCTCTAGTTCTCTGCTTCCTCTTTACCACCTTTCCACTCTCCTTACCTCCCCAACACTCAAATTACCAGAAGCCTTTGGAAGAATACATTTCCTCACTGGTTTGTTTACCCCAAATTTATATTGATTAACTTTTTACCATTCTAGGAGTTTTGATCTGGGTAACGTAGGAGGTTGAATAAGAAAGTATTGAGACTCTTTATCAATGCCTTTTGATAGCATTTGTGTAGCTGAAAATAATCTTGGGGCCAAGATAATGACCCTAACTTTAGAGAAAGATAAGGACTAGTACCCTGAAAGATTGAACTTCCCTCTCAACCTATAGTTGTGACTTGTTATATTACAGGGAGAAAATATCAGATACACAGAAAGACTGGAAGTTCTTTGAGGTGAGTCACTTATGTTTTGGTGCTTTTTGATATGAAACAATATATACCAACAACCAATGGCCATTTGTCAGGCACTTATTTTTAGTGAATATCCTTTCTAAAAGACGGTGCTAACAAGCTATATGCTATACCTTAAATTGTTGGTCTGATTTTCCTCATGCAAAAGTGAGTATGTGTATAATTTTTCATTGTTTCAGGAATATTGGGAAATTGGGTCATCTGGGTTTGTGTCTGCTTAGCTGTGTTATACAGACAGGTAAGAGTTTTCCATTTCACAGCTAAGGATCGTGATTCTTGTCTATTTTTTGTTGTAGTCCTTTTATACTTTCTGTACATATGTGGCTTGGATTGTCTTCCGACGTCAACACTTGACAGAGATTGAAGAAGAAGTAGGGAGACTCTTTCGTACCAATATGTTCAACATTCCTCGCAGGAGGCGTGAAGATGAGGAATCAGGAGGGGAAAAGAAACGCATGACTTTTGTTCAGTTCAGGTATGACCTTTTGACTTTCCTATGCTCAGGGGTATTTCTTTTCTTCCTTTCCTTTCTTTTCTTTTCTTTTTTCTCCTTTTTTTTTTTTTTTTTTTTTTTTTTTTTTGAGACAGAGTCTTGCTCTATTGCTGAGGCTGGAGTGCAGTGGCACAAGCTTGGCTTACTGCAACGTCCGACTCCTGGGTTCAAGCAATTCTCCTGTCTCAGCCTCCCGAGTAGCTAGGATTACAGACATGCGCCACCACGCCTGGCTAATTTTTTGTATTTTTAGTAGAGACGGAGTTTCACCATGTTGGTCAAGCTGATCTCGAACTCCTAACCTCAGCTGATTCACACGCCTCAGCCTCCCAAAGTGCTGGGATTACAGGCGTGAGCCACCATGCCCAGCCTCCTCTTTTTTTTTTCAGACAGGATCTCATTCCGTCACCTAGGCTGGAAGGCAGTGGCATGATCACAGCTCACTGCAGCCTCAACCTCCCAGGCTCAAGTGATCCTCCTGTAGCTAGGACTGCAGGCATGCTGTCTCACCTGGCTACTTTTTAAAATTTTTTGTAGAGACGGGGGTCTTGCTATGTTGCCCAGGCTGGTCTCGAACTCCTGGGCTCAAGTGATCCTCCCGCCTTGATCTCCCAAAGGGTTGGGATTACAGGCATGAGCCACTGCACCTGGCCTCAAGAACATTTCTAGAAAACAGGGTGATATGACCTAAATGTCACCTTCCTCCCCGACAGGAGAATGATGGCAAAACGCCCAGCAATTAAAAAAGCTATCAACATGCGTTCTCCAGTCATGTCTACTCTGCTGCCATCTCTCAGAGAAAAAGCTCAAAACGTCTTTGAGAAAAAGTATCATCAAGTAGACGTCAGATTCCCAGCCGAGATGCAAAAGCATGTGGGAACTCTGGACTCTGTGCCCATGCCGGTGTAAGTGGCTTGGCAAGAGAAGCATGAGTGCCTTGAGGTGGCATCCCAGGTGGGGCTGGAAGGGGCAGGGGCCCAGGCACCATGCCTCTGCCAGGGAATCGAGCCATGATGACAGCCCCCATTTTCTTACTTCTGCCCTGCTCCCCTCCTAGTTTCCTTTCTAGAGAATCTTGAGGTACACCCATCTAGACCAGAAAAACAATTGCTAGAAAGTGGTGCTAGACTCCAAATAGTTCTAGTTTGGAGGAGTGAGTAACTGATTTTTTTTTTTTTTTTTTTTTTGAGACGGAGTCCCTCTCTTGTTGCCCAGGCTGGAGTGCAATGGCACAATCTCGGCTCACTTCAACCTCTGCCTCCCGAGTTTAAGTGATTCTCCTGCCTCAGCCTCCTGAGTAGCTGGGATTATAGGCATGAGCCACCACGCCCGGCTAGTTTTGTATTTTTAGTAGAGATGGGGTTTCTCCATGTTGGTCAGGCTGGTCTCAAACTCCCAGCCTCAGGTGATCTGCCCGCCTCGGCCTCCCAAAGTGCTGGGATTACAGGTGTGAGCCACCGCGCCCAGCCTGTAACTGAATTTTTTTAAGGCTGAGGTTTTTCTATTAGTAGAATCACCTTTGAGAAATGTGGGAAGCGCTAGTACAAAATCTTGCTAAGGATTTACTTTTGGACTCATATATAAGACTACAGTGGTAGTTCATGGAAACAGGGAAAGTTTTTAAAAAGAGAGAAAGAGTATATCTTAGCTTTAGTGTACATACACACACACATACATACACACAACCACAATCACAGTCTCAACCCTGCACGTCAGTCTTTGGCCTCATCACTTCAGCTATCCCAATAATTCTTTTCACAGAGTTGGCATCTTGGGGGAGCCTCGATGTCTATTCAACCCACATACGCTTCACCCCCTTGATCCAGAAGAAAACACAAAATCATTTGGGAGATATCCTTCCTTGATGGAAAACAATAACATGAGGATTCAGGATACACTGGACTTGGTCATGAAAACACTGTCCTCTCATACATCATGCCCTAAGTAACCTGGTACATTCCATATCTCAAGTAAACTACTTTGACTTTATAGAAGATGGTTATTCGTTGTTATTATTATTAAGCTTTTAAAATTTTTCAAATTATCTGGTTAAAAGTTGAACAGCAGACAAAGAATTCCTGAAAGCTCTTGAAAAGCTCATTTTCCTATTTTTAGTAGTTTGCTTTGTTTATGTATTTATTTGAGCTCTATGTGACTACTAAGAGTAATGTATTAGAACATTTAGTCAGTGCTGTAGTTTACTAGTGAAGAACCATGCTGTTTATTCATTTCTCGAATTTTTTTTTTTTTTTGAGACAGAGTCTTACTCTATAGCCCAGGCTGGAGAGCAGTGATGTGATCTCGGCTCACTGCAGCCTCCACCTTGGTCAAGCAATTTTCCTGCTTTAGCCTGAGTAGCTGTGATTACAGGCGTGCGCCACCACGCCTGGCTAATTTTTTTGTATTTTTAGTAGAGATGGGGTTTCACGATGTTGGCCAGGCTGGTCTCCAACTCCTGACCTCAAACGTTCCGCCTACCTTGGCCTCCCAAAGTGCTGGGGTTACAGGTGTGAGCCACTGCACCCGGCCTTGTTTATTCATTTCTAAGTTCATTTTTGCCTTATGAGATGTCTTCTTTGGTACATGTGAAAACAGAACTTCATAATCAAAAAAGGCACATTAAGACTTTTTAACTTTAATCTCTTTCTATGACTATATTATTATTGTTATTACCGGCCTTGGGATATAAAGTATATCAGATTCATTTAGAAGCCTTTTAACATTCATTCTTTCATTTATTCATTTAACAACAAATATATATTAAGCCCCTATTCCATCCAGAGCCGTGTACTAGGTTATGCAGAAAAAAAAGATGAAGACAAAGACAATATCCTCCAGGTCTATGTAGCAGAGAAGATAAATGAAATACACCACCACAATATAATATTAAATATGTTATTGGCCACAGAAGTGATAAACACACAAAGTGCTCAAGAGGACAGAGCCATGGAGCAGTCAGTTCTGAGGGCAGCAGGAGAGTTCTGATTTGAACTTAGCTTTGGAGGGATTCAGTGGTACTGAAAGGGAACTTGCAGTCAGAGGAAGAGTGCTTGCAAAGGCACAGAGATGGGAAAGTGGACCCTGTGACTGCGGAATGCCAAGAGCATGGTGTCTGCAGCAGGCAGCCTGAGAAGGTCAGGCCTGAAAGGTCAGCTGAGTCCTGGACATCCAGCTAGGGAGTGAGTTGGATGTTATCTGGTAGGCAGTGAAGATAAAGAATCACTAATAAAACCAATTCACTAGATGGAATACAGAGCTGTTGATTATATAATATTATCATTTTAAAAGTCCTGTAAGGGTATAGAGTTTAGTCACCTAAAACAACTGGACTAAATTTGCCAGGCCACAGGTTTGTCCTCAGACTTCAACATCCTCCTTTGGCATTCAGCTTCATAAAAAACTGGACACCTTTCCCAGATTCAATATCCAGGGCAGAGGAACATCAATTCCAGCCTATTGGTATTGGGGCATCTTCTTAAACATGCACTCTGTCTTCATCCTCTCATCCTTTATTACCCACATCAACTCCTGGACTATCAGCTAACCCTGGTTGGCCTTTTTTTTAAAGTGGAGAATTAGATTATAATGCACTCTGTTATAACAAATTTTTAACTAGAATATGTTGACATGGTTTTTTTGTTTGTTTGTTTTTTGAGGTAGGGTATCGCTCTGTCAACCAGGCTCCCAGACTCGAGTACAGTGGCACATTCATGGCTCCCTGTAGCCTCCACCTCCTGGGCTCAGGTAACCCTCCCACCTCAGCCTCCCGAGTAGCTGGGACCACAGACACATGCCACCATGCCCAGCTAATTTTTGTATTTTTTGCAGAGACAGTCTTACCACGTTTCCCAGGCTGGTCTCGAACTCCTGAGCTCAAGCAGTCTGCCTGCCTCGGCCTCCCAAAGTGCTAGGATTATAGGTGTGAGCCACTGCACCTGGCTGTTTTGTTTAAAAAGTTTTTTTTTTTTTTTTAAATGGAGTCTCGCTCTGTCACCCAGGCTGGAGTGCAATGGTGCCATCTCGGCTCACTGCAAGCTCCACCTCCCAGGTTTATGCCATTCTCCTGCCTCAGCCTCCCGAGTAGCTGGGACTACAGGTGCCCGCCACCACGCCTGGCTAATTTTTTGTATTTTTAGTAGAGACGGGGTTTCACCATGTTAGCCAGGATGGTCTCGATCTCCTGACCTCGTGATCTCCCTACCTCAGCCTCCCAAAGTGCTGGGATTACAGGTGTGAGCCACTGCGCCCGGCCTGTTTAATAAGTATTTTTCAAAAAGAAAACCTTGGAATTATGAGACGTTTGTAACTATCTTTACTAGGCTTTTCTCTTGCTCCTTTCTGAACTATGAGGCTTAGATATATTTCATTTATTCATTCTTAAGTTTACATTTTTTATTCTACAATTACTATATCCCCACTCTGTGCTAGGCACCACATTAGGTGCTGGGAATTCAGTGTGGATGAAATAAATATAGCCTGCTCAGTTATGGAACTGACAGTCTTGAGGGAAGACAGGCATGAAACAAATACTCAGATTATGAACAAATTGCCATGGTGATGAGTGCCGCAAAAGAGAAGAAGAGGATGCTGTTAAAATGTATCATCAGAGGCCTGCTGGTATGGGGGAGATTGTCAGGGAAAGGGAAAGTCGTCCCTGAGGAATCGACATTTAAATCTGAGAACTGATGACTCATAGGATTTGGAGAGGTGGGAAGTTAGGAGGGGAATATTCCTGGTTGTCTTCATTATCTACTGCTGTATAACATTACCTCAAAACATGGTAGCTTAAAACAGCAACATTTATTGTCTCATAGTTTTGGTAGGTCAGGAATATGGTGGCAGTTAGCTGACTACTTTCACTCAGGGTCTCTCAAAAGGCTTCAAAGTGGCAACCAGGGCTAAAGTGAAGTCATTTAAAGGCTCAGTTGGGGATTGACCCCACTGAAGACTGCAAAAGATCACTGAAATAAATTAAAGAAAACCTAAATAAATATGAAGACATGTCGGTGGATTGGAAGACAATATTGTTATGATGGCAGTAATCCCCATGTTAATCTACATATTCTGTGCAATCCCTATCAAAACCCTAGCTCACTCTTTTGCAGAAATGGACAAGATGATTCTAACATTCATATAAAATTTTAAGGGATCCAGAATAGCCCAAATAATCTTGAAAAAGAAGAACCAAGTTGGAGGACTAACACTTTCTGATTTCAAACTTACTACAAGCTTTAGAAATCAAGACCATGTGGTACTGGTGTAAGAACAAATACTTAGATCAATGAAATAGAATCAAAAATCTAGAAATAAATGCATGTATTATGGGCCATTGATTTTTGATAAGGGTGCCAAGACAATTCAATGGGGAAAATAATATTTTCAACAAATGGTTCTGAGACAACTAGATATTCACAAGCAAAAGAATGAAGTTGGATCCATACCTCACACCATATGCAAAATTGAACTCAACATGGATCATAGACCTAAATATAAGAGGTAAAACTAGAACACTATTAGAAAAAAAATAGGAGTAAATCCTTATGTTGTTGGGTTAGGCACTAGTTTCTTGAATACGACACCAAAAGCACAAGCAACCAGAGAAAAATTGGTAAATTGGACCTCATCAAAATTAATAACTTCTGTGCTTCAAAGGACATTATCAAGAAAATGATGGTGATGGTTGTATAACTCTGAAAATACTAAAAACAACCAAATTGTTACATTTTAATGAGTGAATTGCATGGCATGTGGATTATATTTCAGTAAAGCCATTATAAAGAAAAATAAGAAAGTACAAACACAACCCCCCAAAATGAGAGAAAATATTTGTAAATCACGTATGTGAAGAGTCTAGTATTCAGAATATAAAAAGAACTTTGATTTCACAATTAAAAAGACACAATATTTAAATGGGCAAAGGATTTGAACAGACGTTTATCCAAAGAAGTTGTATAGCTAACCAATAAGCTCATGAGAAAATGCTTAACATCAGTAGTCATTTAAAAAATGCAAATCAAAACTACAAGGAGATACCACTTCACACCTAGTAGGATGGCTGTAAGCAAAACAACAAGAGCAAGTGTCAGTGAGGATGTGGAAAAATTGGAACCCTCCTAGCATTGCTGGTGGGAATGTAAAATGATGCAGCCACTTGGAAAACTAGCATTTCCTCCAAAAGTTAAGCACAGAGTTACCATATGACCCAGCAATTCCACTCTTAAGTATGTCCAAGAGAAATGAAAACATTACATTCATGCAAAAACTTGCCCACAAATGTCATAGCAGTATTATTCATTACAGCCCCAAAATGGAGCAACCTAAATGTCCTTCAGTTGATGAATGGATAAACAAAATGCAGTTTATCCATATAGTGAAACATTATGCATCCGTAAAAAGGAATGAAGTACTAATTCATGCTACAAGGTGAATGAAATTTGAAAATATTATGCTAAGTGAAAGAAGCCAGACACAAAAGGACACATAATGTATGATTCCAATTGTATGAAATGTCCAGCATAGGCAAATCCATAAAGACAAGGTATTATTAGTGGTGCCAGAAGCTGCTGGGAGGAGGGAATGGGGAGTGACTGCTAACAGGTGGAGTTACTTTTAGGGGAGATGAAAATGTCCTAGAATTAGATAATGCTACTGGTTGTACAGCTTTGTGAATATAGTAAAAAATCACAGAGTTGTACATTTTAAAAGGGTGGATTTTATGGTATGTGAATTCTATCTCAAACAAGCAAAGTCTGAGAAACTGCAACATGATTGCTAAATGTAATACAGTATCCTGGATGGGCTTCTAAAAAAGGAAGGTAGAAATTAAGAAAATTCTAATAAAGTATAGGTTTTAGTTAATAATACTTATTATTATTATTACTTTTTTAATTTTTAGAGACAAGATCTCCCTATATTGCCCAGGCTGTTCTCGAACTCCTGGGCTCAAGTGATCCTCCTGCCTCAGCTTCTCAAAGTGTTGGGATTGTAGGCATGAGCCACCACACCTGGCCAATTTTAGTTTATAATAATGTTCAATATTGGTTCATTAACTGGGCAGATGTACTGTACTCATATAAGATGTTAAGAATAGGGGAAACTGGGTGTGGGGTATACAGGAACTCTCTATACTGTCTTCCCAATTTTTCTGTAAATCCAAAACTATTCTAAAAGAAAACGTTGACTTTAAAAAATGTTCAGCAAATATTTACATAGTACCTGCTATGTGGATGTAGAGGACAATGTGCAGTCCTTTACTCAAGTTGCTCTCTGGGCAGAAGGGTGAGGATAAGACAAATACATACTCAAAAAGAGGCCAAAAGTCAGAAATAAAGAGACATAATGCCTAGGGCTTAAAGGAGAGAGCCTATCGGGGGGATGGAGGGATGGGCATAAGGTTGGTTCTTGAAGATGTGTGGGGCCTGGCTAGGCAGAGTTGGGGTGGGGATCAGGGAATGCTTCATGAGGTCCTTACAGGGTTTGAAACCGGGTGGCCATGTTCTTTGGAGCTGGACTGTGGGGTTGGTTAGAAGGTAGTGAGGACTTCTCCCTTAAATAGGAAAGATAGGGTCTTACTGCTTAACCTTTTGCCAGTGGCTGCAGAGGTCTCTTTGTTTTAAGGCCGTCTACTCCAGGCTCCTATCACACTTGAACCATCACCCTCTTCTGAGATTCAGCCTGCCCCACTATGTCAGCATTTCCATCTTCACATCTGTTTGGGGCTTCAATATCATCACAGATACAAACCATCCTATTTAGGACTTGACATATAGCATTCTGATCTCTTAGGTAATTATTTTACTATATTAAGAAGGAAAAGTAAATTGGAGTCCTCCAGGCCCCATTACCATTCATCTCTCCTCCCTCTGAACAAGTTTCAGATTGCAGAAAGAAGTTTCAGGGAACCAAAACCATGGGATGGACTCCCACCCCTTGTTTTATTTGCAGATCTCTCTGCTTTCATCTCTAGAGCAGTCTGTGCCTGGCAGCAGGTTCATAAAGTTGTTCTGTGTCTGAGTTTGGGGACATGCTGGTGGCTGTCCCTGTGGGGTGATGTCTCAGGCAGTCTAGGTGAGCCATGCCAAGAGGCTTGGTGTCTGGGACCACTTCCTTTGCACCTTGGTCTCCCTCCTCCTTGTGCAGAATAATTTGTTCTCATTTCCTTTACCTCTCCTACCTCTAACCCAGAGGCTCATGCAGAACACAAAGAAAATGCCCTGGGACTGAGGGCCTGGGCCCTCTCCCTGAGAGGTCAGGTCACACTGAAACCTGGTACAATAGTGGTAACCCAAGCCTAAGACCTTGGTTGGGGGATGTCACTTCTCCCACTTCCACTGGCCAGTGTCAGAACATTGGCTCTATTTAGAATCAAATTCTTCAGTCTATTTGTGGTTGCCCCATATCAACCAGTACTTCTACTGGAAACCATTTTTAATGACATCTTCCCCACTACTTCCCACAAGTGATACTTGTTCAGTGTAAAAAACCTTAGAAAACACAAAAACCTTAGAAAACACAAAGAAAAAATTAAACACTCATAATCTCATGACCCAGAAAAACTTATTGTTAATATTTTCAGTCATTTGTGTGCATATATGTACAAGCAAAATGGGGTCATACCATGTACCCTTTTGGCAACCTCCCTCTTTCACATGGTAGTACATCATGAACATTCTCCTACATCAGCCAATATTCTCTTAAAACATGATTTTAATTGCCCCACAGTGTTCTATGGTTTGATATGCCACAGTGTACTTGCCCACTCCTCTACCTTTTTTGTTTTTGTTTTTTAAAGAGACTGGATCTCGCTATGTTTCTCAAGCTGGACTTGAACTCTTGGGCTCAGGAGATGCCCTGGCCTAAGCCTCCTGAGCAGCTGGGACTGCAGTGTGCACCACTGCACCTGGCTTTCAATCCCCTACTTTCTTTTACACACATGTTGCCGCTCAAATTACTGGTCATTTCCTTAGGATAAGCTCCTGCAAGTGATACTGCTGCATCAAAGGGCAGATTCATTCTCAAGAACTTACTAGTGTCAAATTTTCTCCCAAAATGCTAGCTCCAAAGCATATTACCTGCATCTGTGTATGAGAATGCTCACTTTCTCGCCACTTGCAAACTCTGGGCATTATGATTTCTTGGAATCCTTGCCAAGTCTATAATAGTAAAAAATGGAATCATATGTTTGTTTAACTTACATTTCCAATTAACAGTAAGGCTGAGTACCTCTTCACATTGGCCATTTGTGCCTCTCCTTTTGTGAATAATCACCTATTCATACTCTTTGCTTATTTTTCTATTAACAAACTATCATTCTCTTACTGATTTGTCATTCTTTGAAGAGATTGCAAAGATTCTTATGAGGAAAACAGGTTACAGAAAAGCTGAATAGAATAAGATCCCGTATGTGTGAAAAACACCTACACTTACATATTTAGAAGATCTGGAAGGAAATAACTATTAACAATGGTTCTGAGAAGTAAGATTAAAAGTTATTTTTCTTTTTTTTGTTTACTTTTCATTTATTCACATTTCATGGATTGTTACACTTCCTCGATGGGAGCATTCAAAAACTAATACAAGCTGAGATTATATTGTCTGGACAATTCAAGTATTTTAGTTTTAGAAAACAATTTCCTATTTAAAGTAAAAAGCAAACAATTTATCCATCTGATTGCTAAGAAGTTTTACATCTCCATTACAATTGTGTCTGCATCAAACGGAGAGTCCTTCATCCTCAATATGATTGTTACTGGTTGAGAACATAGAGTGGCCTGTGTTCTGAGTGCCTGATTGGAAAAGACCTCCCCGTCATCTACCATACTACGGGACAAATCAGTATCTACTCAAATTCCCACTTCCAGAATGAGAGGACTCATCAGGGGTTTAGGAGTTTGCAAAGCCTTCAAAATGTATTGTGCTTGAATTTTGACTCTTCTGAAATAGAATAACTGACAAATGCTCAAAAAACAAACTTATTTAACTTTTACTGAAAAGGCTCTCAGTGAAAACTTGTTTTGAACTCTACCAGAAGGTAGAATATTAGTTTTTCTTCCTCTCCACACCAGAAAAGGTAGTTTTTTCTTTTTTCTTTTTTTGACATGCAGCATATATAAAATGATCTAGAATTGAAATTGTAAAATAGAATAATCCTCTTAAAGAAAATCAGCCCATGAACAGTCAGACTTGTCCTTCCATGGAAAACATAATCTAAACTTCTTTAAAAACTGGCCATATTTTCAGTCTGTAATTCAAATAATGAATATGGCATAACAAATTTTTTTGCTTACTAGGAATGCGCAAAAGGATGAGATGGATACACAGGTTTAAAAAAAAAAGGCCACTGGGATACTTAGTATTTGTCCAGATGCAAAACAATTTCAGAATAACAAAATACACACCTTGCTTTAGGCCACGTATATGATACACTTCATAGATTCTCAAACAAAAGATGAAAATTTCAGTCCACATTAAACATTTTAAAGCATAATTTCTAATATTTTGTTAAAAATAAGTCAAACTAAAATAACGCATAAATCAGAATTACCTGTTAACATAGTGGGGAAAATAGGTAAGCCCTCCGGGGCCCCCGTGCCCCAAGTAAAAGACAAGGAGTTAAATTTTACAATTAAATCCACGTATACTCAGGCACTTTACACTAATAATCAAAGTGGAGACCAACCAGTTCCTAAAGCATAAAAGAGTGATTTTAAGAAAATATCACATTTTGAGTTATGGTATATTCATCACATTTTTCCCTGTAATTTTCACTTTAACAGTGATAGTCTTAGCAGCAAAAATTTGCTGGGAATGTTAGGAAAAAAGGAAGCCACACATACCCACTAATTTAAAAATATATGAACTATTTTTTTACAGAAGGGGCAGGTTTAAAAGAAAACCCAATCATGATCTTTTCATGCCATTTTTTGTGAACTTTCCATACACACGCAGACGCTAACAAAGTACTGTGTCATATACACTGAAGTGTCCTAAAGATGCTTGTGAGCTGCTGATTGCAGCTGACACCAGGGAAGCATGTATGGCTAAGTTGCAACAAACTTAAATTTGTTCCCCTTAGTTCTTCATCTTTTTAAAAGTTGAATAAACTTAATGTCAATCAGGCAGGGCCGGTATTAACAGCATCAACCACTTGCTTACTATGAATCATCTGCAACAGAAACTCACGTGCATTCTCAATTCTAAAAAGTCAGTGTAAAAATAATGGCCACTTCCTCCCTAGGTGCCTACTATAGCTATGTCTGACAGCATCCTGTAACAGTACAAGCACACCTCTCTCTGCACGGATTCATCCAAAGCCACACACTAGGGCCAAATTCTCCCAGTGGAATCAAAACACTGAAAGTAGAGCAAGAATCTTATGACAACGTTGGCCCAATCACACCTCAGGTACTTAGAAGTTCATCATATTTGATCATAAAATTGCTCCTGGCTCCAAACCTTACACTTAAAGACTGTAGTTTTAAAAAAGCCACTGTACAGTCCACAATTATTCTGACTATTCTTTTCTAAATGAGAATGCGCTACGCACTGAAGATCAGAACACACACACGTGAGCCCTTGGGCACTGACCCTGCCTGTACACAAGATCAGCTGGTACTAGTCTCAAATGATTCATGAGGAATCAAAGTAGAAATTTAAACATTCAATTCTGTATCTCATTCATGTGCCCAGAGTCTTCAAAGAATGCTCGTGTTAGTTACCTGACGGCTCTGGAGAAGTGACATGGATATTCGTGTGCATAACCATGGCTCCCTTCCAAACAGACAAATGGAATCTTACTCTTAAAAAAGTAAAGATATTTCAGATATCAAATGTATAATATACTGCTGTCTAAAGTTAAAGGCAAAATGTACACACGATTTTCTCTTCCATTACCTTATTACGTGTTTCCTAGTGAATTCACATGGCTTGTGTGTCAAAGCTCCCAGGCACGTCACTTGGTCATAGTTTTCATATGCGTGGGGTTGATCATGGTACAAATGCCTATGAGCATCTTCTTTTTCTAGGATGGTCTCATTTGACTGTCATTTCGTAAGGGTTCACTCTCCATGGTGTAGATGATAAGCTACCAAATTTGTGCTTTTAAACCCATTCCTGGCAATCCCCCTTTATCTTCATTTTGTCTTTAGGGGGATAAAGAAGTAACACTACCTCATGAATAGAAACTACAAAGCCAAAAAACTCCTTCACAAGCTGTTCATTTCTTTTTAGAATGAAAATGCAGGTCCTGAATTCTTGTGAAGCAGCCCACAGGGTTACAGGCCAATGATTCGAACGCTGAGGTGAACACTTAGTACTCACATTTTAGCTTCAAAATAAAAATAAAGCAGAGGACAAACGCCTGTCACAGCGTGGCAGCCTGGTTCATTTGATAACACAAGTCTCACACGTCGGCTGAGCCCACTGGAGAGAAGCACACAGGCCAGCTTCCTTCTGAACACAGCCGGGCACGTGTTCAAAAGCCTCTTTCATGGTGGCGATGGACCCCAAAACCCACGGGTTGGAAGAGCCTTTGGGAAAGCGAATCGATACCCTGATTGCAGTCCTTGAAGAAATCACTTAGGGTTAGTTTAATAAACAAACGAACATTTAAAAAATCTTCCAAAAATTGCATTCAAATGTATTTTACACTTGAGGCAGTTCTTAAGAAGTGAGAGTGCGGTTTCTTGACACATTTAAAGGTTTTACTGGCCACATTAATCTTCCTCACAAAAGTTTTAAGTTATCTATAAGTTCTTAGAATGTCAAAGAAGAGAAGAAAAACTGACTAAGTTTAAGGGGCGGTGGAAGAAGCAGCAACTTGGCAATAATTCCGCAGCCGACTTCGCGTGTTCAGGCATCCTTTTTCTCCAGTAAAATTTTGTGCAACTCGTCTGCATCCTCGCTGGTTTTTACCCGAATCAACATGGTGACTGGCATGGTGGCATTCTTCTCGTCGATTGGTGGATTTGGAACACAGACGATAAGAACGTTATTTTTCCCTGTTCGCGTACATGGCATATTGGGTGGAATCAGAACATTCAGCAATATGTTGCCTAAATTGGTGTCTGCCCGCACCAAAAGCTATGTCTTCTGATTTGCCGTAGGTTTTAAATGCAGAGTACCTATGCCTTTCTCTTTAAACTCATTGTCTTTCTTGTAAAATAGTTTACACTTTTTGGAGTAAAAAGCATCTTCTTTTACTTCGGTAACTACTACTTTGGGTGGCTCATCATTCTCTTCTTAATCTCCACCTTTGCATTCACCACTGTCACCTTCCGCTTGGCCCTCCAATGGTTTAGTGGGAAATGGTGAAGAGACTGGTTTACTCTGGATAATATCTTTGCCAAATAAACTAGAGTTTCCAGGGGAGAATGAAAATCCAGTCGGGGGACAGAGCTTAATGAGCCCAAAACAGAGCTATCAACTTTCTCGCCGAAATTAAATGAGGCACTTGTCGCTCCTAGTGATGATGGGTCCGTTTTCTTTTCAGATGCCACCTCCACCTTCTTGTCAGGTGTATCTTCAGTTTTGCTGCCATGAAACAAAAACGTTGACTCTTGCTGTAATTTTGTTGAGCTAAAAAGGGAAGGAGACTGTGTTTCAGCCGCCGCTTTGTTAGATTCACTTTCAGAATTCCTGCCATTGTTCCCTTGTTGCTGTTCAATGTTTGCTAAATATTTCTCATAGTCTTTAAAGATAGGTGTCAGATCACAGAGGGAGTTTGTATTCGCGTGCTTCACCATCCAATCCCGCACGGAGCAGTCCAAGGCGGCCAACTGCTTGTGATAGGCATTTCCGACACAAGCTTTACTGGAAGCAAGGCCAGAGGAGGAGGGCTGCTGACTGTCCCCATTAGTTTTGGGATTTGAAACATTTTTATCAACCAAGGCGGTAGGGCCATTTGCAGCAAGAGAACCAAAGGCTACCTTGGGCTCTGCCACTGCCTTTGCACTGGTGAAGGGAGGGGCACTGGTTATGTTGTTTCCATTCGACAGTCCTTCCAAAGGCTTCCCTCCAGCGCCACTACCAAATCCAGGAAACCGTCCTCCTCCAAAAGGTACCACCAAACCTTTAAAACCTTTAAAGTCTCCTCTACTGTCAGATTCGAATCCACCATTTCTGCGCTTTGCTTTCTTTATGGCTCTATTCTTCAAGACTTCCTCACTGGCCACGGAGAATGTTCCCACCTCTTCAGCTTCATCTTCTTGATCCCAATTCCTATCTGTCAGTTCCTTCTCGGCATTTCTTTTGGCCATGTTTTCGAACCTCCTCGGCGGCCGCCGCTGCACTCGCTGGGTCTTGGGTGCGGCGAAACCTGGCGCGAGGCGGCGCAGGGGTCTGGAGCGGCTGGTGGTCGCCGGGCTGAGCGCGCTCGGCCGCTTCCGGTGCTGCCCTGCGGTCCTCAGAGGACTTGGTGCTCGGCAAGCCCAGAGACTCAAACACCATGTCCCCAGGGGGCTCCTCACGCTGTGTTCGGCGGGGAGGCGAGAGCGCCGGTTCAGCCGGAGACCGCTGGGGGGAACCGCGCGGAACACGCTCCGGGCGGCCATTTTGTAAGTCGACAAAAGTTATTTTTCTTTAAGCATTTTTTACATACATGTATTTTCTTCTTCTTCTTCTTCTTTTTTTTTTTTTTTCCTGAGACAAAGCCTCACTCTGTTGCCTAGGCTGGAGTGCAATGGCATGATCCCGGCTCACTACAACTTCTGCCTCCCAGGCTCAAGCCATTCTCCTGTCTCAGCTGCCCGAGAAGCTGGGACTACAGACACATGCCATGGTACCTGGCTAATTTTTGTATTTTTAGTAGAAACCGGGTTTCACTATCAAACCAGGCTGGTCTTGAACTCCTGACCTCAGGTGATCCACCTGCCTCGGCCTCCCAAAGTGCTGGGATTACAGTAGTGAGCCACTGCACCTGGCCGTATTTTCTTCTTTTTAAAAAACAGTAGATATTTGTTTTGAAAGTGTCCTGGACTTCATGCATCGTGGCATTTAGCACCCAGTCCCACCCAGCAGTACACAGGGACCTCAATGCAGATGAGCAAGAGACATGAATAGGTAATCAGCCACAAAAGGAGGAACACAAATGGCCAATGGGAAGAGGGGTTAGTTCTTGCTACTAACTGAAGTATAAACTAGAACATATAATGGGCCGGGTGTGGTGGCTCGTGCTTGTAATCCCAGCACTTTGGGAGGCCGAGGTGGGAGGATCACCTGAGGCCAGGAGTTCGAGACCAGCCTGGCCAACATGATGAAACCCCATCTCTACTAAAAATACAAAATAATTAGCCAGGCATGGTGGCGGGCGCCTGTAATTTCAGCTACTCCTGAGGCTGAGGCAGGAGAATCTCTTGAACCCAGGAGGTGGAGGTTGCAGTGAGCTGAGATCGCGCCACTGGATTCCAGCCTGGGCAACAAGAGCGAAACTCCGTCTCAAAAAAAAAAAGAGAGAGAGAACATATGATTCCATTTTTTTACCTATAGAATTGGCAAAGATTTGAAGAAATGATAATGACTGTTGGCAAGTGGGTGGGAATGTGAGCATCCTCATACACAGAAGGCAGGACAGGAGCATGCTTTGGTGTGAGCGTCTGGCAGGCAATCTGGCAGTAACATATTACCTTTGGAACATTTGTGTGTTTTGCGTATTTATTTAAGACTGATTCAAATATCTGGCTCCTTCATGTTGATCTGGGACAGTGTTGTTCATTATTGATTTAAGACTTATTGAGGGGTGGAACTATGTCATTCCATCCAGCCCTGTGACCAGATAGACACTTCAGAAGTGCTTGTGAGAATTATTATAAAATAAATAATTCATCACCTTGAATTTACAAGCAGTCATTCATTGATAGGTGACTCAGTGCTCAGTGCCTTGCTAGGGCTATGAGGGACTCAAGAAGTATAAGGTGGGGTTCTGCCCTCAGAGCTGAATCTAGGAGTAAGGACAAAGCTCAGTAACAGAGCAAGGGGCAGGCAGGTGAGGAATCGTGGAGACTAAGAGCTCAGCAGTCAGCCAACTCATAATTATCCATGCAGGAATAATGAGGACCCACAGATTAGACGATCTCAAATCTCATTTCCATTAGTCGTTCCCTCCTCCTCCTGTACCAATGCCTTGAGGAACACTCTTACCAAGTAGCCCAGAGGGTTCTTCTGAGTTTTGCCTCTTTTCCCTGGCTTTTTCTACCCCACAAGTCTGAAAATGGCACGTAGTCATTTCCCTTCCAAATTGTACCTCAGAGCGACCCAAATAATTGATGAGGGGAAATTTCTCTTTATAGAAATATTCCAGGTAATAAATTAAAAAGGAATTATATAGCTGGACTGTCAGCATTTTGAGAACACTTAGTGCAATAATGGATCTAGGTACTGATTATCAGTGGCAGCTGACATCTCAAGAGACACCTGGGCATCAGGTGCCCCCTGATGGGACTTTACAACACACCTGGGCATCTGTGAGTTGCCCTGTGTATGCACTGGGAATACCTAGGAAATGTTCTTGCCAAAAAACAAAACCTGCATCAGACTGAGCTGCTAAATCTAACATCAAATCTATAGGAAATTCAGGGACAGAAAAAGTTACCCAGTTTCTTCAACAAATAGCAAGGGGATAAAGGGCTAGAAGGAGAACCTTTAGGTAAAAAAAGAAACAAGAGACATATTGGTCAGGCATGGTGGCTCATGCCTGTAATCCCAGAACTTTGGGAGACTGAGGTGGGAGGATTGCCTAAGGCCAGGTAGTTCAAGACCCACCTGGTCAACATAGCAAAACCCTGTCCCTACAAAAAAAAGCTAAAAATTTAGCTGCAGTGAGTCATGATTACTCCAGTGCACTTCAGTCTGGTTGACGGAGCAAGATCCTGTCTCAAAAAAAAAAAAAAAGCCCTATCAGTCAAATATAATGGGTAGGCCTTGTTTGGATCCTGAGTTGAATAAACCAACTATTTAAACATATGTAATTAAGGAAATTTAATACTAAGGGGATATTTGATATGAAGGAATGATTAAAAATTTTTTTTATTATTTATTTATTTTTTGAGATGGAGTCTCACTCTGTTGCCAATGCTGGAGTGCAGTAGCATGATGTTGGCTCACTGCAACCTCCGGCTCCCAGGTTCAAGCAATTCTCTCTCCTCAGCTTCCCAAGTAGCTGGGATTACAGGTGCGCACCACCATGCCCAGCTAATTTTTGTATTTTTAGTAGAGACGGGGTTTCACCATGTTGAGCAGGCTGGTCTTGAACTCCTGACCTCAGGTGATCCGCCCACCTCAGCCTCCCAAAGTGCTGGGATTACAGGCGTGAGCCACCGTGCCCAGTAATTTTTAGATGTAATAATATTATTGTGGTTTTCTAAGCCATCCCTCCTTTTTTCAGAGGAACAAACTTAAATATTTACAGATGGAAAAAAAAGGCAGACAATGGAAAAGAGAATGGGAAAAAATGAGTGGATATCAACTCTCCATAAACTACCAGGATGTGGTTGCAGGTTGACTGATGAGCATTTCATTCCCTTCTCCAATTCTTTCACTTTGCAACAAGCACAGACCAATGCATGTGTGAGAATGTTAAAAAAAAAAAAAAAAAGGAACAAAACACACCCTCAAGAAAAAAAAGAATGAACATGTAAATCCGCTACATGCTCAGACAACTCAAATCAGCGTCAGCTCGTGCCTGCAGCAGGGCAAAGAGGCCTCACGTGGATGTGGCAGTGGCTTCACTGCATGCTTTTTAATTCAGGGAAGCGTGTTCCTTTGTGTGGTTTTTCTGAGCCACTGACTCTATTTAAATGTGCTAGTTGCTACCTGAATACAGTCGCTTCACCTGGAAATAATTATCTCCTCTGCTACACTCTTTCCCTTCACACACATCCTTCAATGTGTACTGATAATCCCACACTGACTCAGACCTGAAAGGTATAAATTGAGCATTTGCTGGAGGACTCCAGAGTCTTGTATCATTGCCTACAAAGAATAAAATGAGGAGGATAATAATGTCATCAGGGGACTCAAACTGTAGCACGTACCCATTAAAGAATTATTGTGTGGATTTTTAAAACCAGGCCATTTTTTCCCACTACTTCTCATAGCAAACCAGAAATCATGGTGGTTATAGATGCTGGCTCTTCAAGTCAGGACCCTGAGGTACAGAGCTGTTATTACCAATGTAGAATTTTAAGTTTCTCTTACTAAGTCATTGATTCATTGATTGACAAACAAATATTTATTGTGCACCTGCTGCACTAACCCTAAGAATGCCCCCCATGACTATACAGACATGCTCCATGCCATTCTGGATGAATGAGGGAGTTGGTGGGAACCAGATGATTTATGCTTCACAGGTGTGTAGGGTGTTGGGCTTTTACACTAATTGGGTTGGGAAGCAGATGGAGGGTTTTAGGCAAAGAAGTGATGTGATCCAGTTAATGTTTTAAAGGATGACTCTGGCTTCTGTGTGGAATATGGGCCGGGGGCAAGGGGAGTAGACAGTGGAGAGTGGAGGCTGGGAGATCAGTTAGAGGCTACAGAGAAGATCCAGGAGAGGGAAGATGGGGATGGATCCTGGATAAGGTGGAGTTGATAAGAGTGACAGATCGGAAACACGGGATGAGAAAAGAGAAAGCAAGGATAACTCCAAACTTTCTGGCCCAAGCAGTTAAGCATACCATGCTTCCATAGGGGAAAGTGCATGAGGAACAGCCTGAGGGAGGAAATCTTCAGTTCTGTTTTGACGGGTAAGCTTGATATGCCGATTAGTCACCCAAGTACAGATGTGTGCGTCTAGGGAGAGATGAGAGCTGGAAATACAGATTTGGAAATAGCTGGCCATGGGACCAGATACAATTACCTAAGAAGAGAATGCAGATAGGGAAAAAGGTAAAGGACCCAGCTTTCAGGTCTTCTACGTGTTAGAATGGGCAGAGGAGGAGCAAATAAAATGCATTAAGTTCCTTGTGGTCTCCAACAACCCAAATCAGCTTCAGAATGTGCTAACAGCCAGCAAGATATCAGGAAAACCCAGAGCATGGGGAGTCATGGGACAAAAAACTGTGTCATCAAGTAGACAATGGGAAGCTGAGTAGAAATGCTGCAGAGAGAACCAGTAAGGTGAGAACAGAGAAGCGGCTCTCAGACTTGGGAATGTGGCGGTCAACCATGCAGGCTCAGAGGTGTGCAGCCTTCCTGAAATGGGCTGAGTAGAGAAAGGCAGGTGAGAAAGCAGAGACCAAGACTATGGACAAATCAGTTCCATAGTCCTTGGATTTGCCGAGCAGGGAAGGAAAGAAATAGCACAGTAGCTAGAAGGCGTTGTGGGTCAAGGAGGTGAGGAGTTTGGGGGGTTATTTTGGCTTTTGGCTTCTCAGAGACAGGAGATACTAGAACACATTTGTATGCTGATGCACATGACCTAGTGGAGGGGGTGGGTGGGGGAGAACTGCTGATGCAAGAGAGAGGGGATGCTTGGAGGAAACGAGACCTTGAGGAGGTGAGGTTTGGGATGGAAAGCACAGGGTGGGGTTGCCTTGAATGGGAAAGCAGAGCAGGTGACGCTGTTTCTCCAGTTCTCCTGAGGCTCTTAGATGCCCAGGGGACCCCTTTATGTGCATCACTTGAGCAACACACAGTCCTTGAATTTTCAGTAGAAGAATCCCAGGTAGCAAAAATTCTTAACCCAAAGAAGTATGTCCCTAATGGTGGACTTTCAGAGACTGCATAACGAAGACATAGCTGGGCTGTGAAGTATCTTTTTTATTTTCTTGAAGCCATATTTTCTGGATGATCATCTATTACACTTATGTGTAAGACTAGCCCTGAAAGTTGTATCACTATTTTCCTAGGATCCCATAACCAAGTCATGGATTGTTTTTTTTTTTTTCTTTTTTGAGACAGAGTCTTGCTCTGTCGCTCAGGCTGGAGTGCAATGGCGCGATCTTGGCTCACTGCAACCTCCGTCTCCTAGGTTCAAGTGATTCTCCTGCCTCAGCCTCCCGAGTAGCTGGGATTACAGGCGCCTGCCACCATGCCTGGCTAATTTTTGTATTTTTAGTAGAGACAGGGTTTCACCATGTTGGCCAGGCTAGTCTCGAACTCCTGACCTAAAATGATCTGCCCACCTCGGCCTCCCAAAGTGCTGGGATTACAGGCATGAGCCACCGCGCCTGTCCAGTCATGGACTATTAAGCATTAAAATGAACAGCATCTGAGCTCTTAGCCTGCTTAGCCTCTGTAGACCTTATTTTGTGCTCTGCAGGTTATATTTTAAGACTAAGTTCATCACCCTTTCAGAATTGACTTCCAGGGGAAAGATTGTCTCACCTAAAAATATACCATGATTATTTTGATCAGAGAACAAGAACATATAACCTATCATGTTTTCTTCTTTTTATTTTGCAGCAAGGAACCACAGAAACAAATTTAATACTTAATCATAAGAGCTTAGTGTTTTGGTTGCTTAGATTTTTAGATTTTTATTTTTTTGTTTGTTTTTGAGATGGAGTTTCACTTTTGTTGCCCAGGCTGGAGTGCAATGGTACGATTTCGGCTCACTGCAAACTCCGCCTCCCAGGTTCAAGCGATTCTCCTGCCTCGGCCTCTGGAGTAGCTGGGATTACAAGCACGTGCCACCACACCCAGCTAATTTTGTATTTTTAGTAGAGACAGAGTTTCACCATGTTGGTCAGGCTGGTCTTGAACTCCCAACCCCAGATGATCCACCCGCCTCGGCCTCCCAAACTATTGGGATTACAGGCATGAGCCACCACACCCAGCGCCCCCTTTTTTTTTTTTTTTTTAAGACAGAGTCTTGTTCTGTTGCCCAGGCTGGAGTGCAGTGGAGCGATCTCGGCTCACTGCAGCCTTGACCTCCTGGGCTCAGGTGATTCTCCCACCTCAGCCTCCCTATGAGCTGGGACTAGAGGCATACACCATCACACCCAGCTTTTTTTTTTTTTAATTTTAGTAGAGACGAGGTCTCACTGTGTTTCCCAGGCTGTTGTCAAACTCCTGAGCTCAAGCGATCCTCCTGCCTCAGCCTCTCAAAGCATTTATTTCCTTTTTTTTTTGTTTGAGACAGAGTCTCACTCTGTCGCCCAGGCTGGAGTGCAATGGTGTGATCTCGGCTCACTGCAATCTCTGCCTCATGGGTTCACGCCATTCTCCTGCCTCAGCCTCCCGAGTAGCTGGGACTACAGGCGCCCGCCACCATGCCTGGCTAATTTTTTTGTATTTTTAGTAGAGATGGGGTTTCACCGTGTTAGCCAGGATGGTCTCGATCTCCTGACCTTGTGATCCGCCCGACTCGGCCTCCCAAAGTGCTGGGATTACAGGCATGAGCCACTGCGCCCGGCCTTGTTTCCTATTTTTACAGCTTTATCTTGCTTATACATTTTCATTTGTTTCTTTTTTAAATTAAACTTTTTTTGAGATAATTACTGATTCATATGCAGTTGTAAGAAATAATACACAGAGATCCCGTGAAAGCTTTACCCAGTTTCTCCCAATGGTAGCATCTTGCAAAATTATAGTGCAATTTTACAGTGGATATTGATATTGAACCAGTCAAGACATAGGACATGGCAGGGCATGGTGGCTCATGCCTATAATCCCAGCATTTTGGGAGGCCAAGGCGGGAGGATTGCTTGAGCCCAGGAGCTTGAGACCACCCTGGGCAACATACTGAGACCCCACCTCTACTAAAAAAAAAAAAAAAAAAAAATAGCCGGGCGTAGTGGTGCACACCTGTGGTCCCAGCTACTTGGGAGGCTGAGATGGGAAGATCACTTGAACCCAGGAGGTTGAGGCTGCAGGGAGCTGTGATCATGCCACTGCACTCCAGCCTGGGTGATGCAGCAAGACCCTGTCTAAAACCACCACCACCACCATCAACAACAACAACAAAAACCAAGAGTCCCTCATGTTTTATAGCCACATACACTTCTTATTTCAAGAATGTTGTATGCATGGATTCATTTAGCATGTAATTTACTGGGATTGACTTTTTTACTCAGCATGATTCTCTGGAAATTCCACCCAGGTTGTTGCATTTATCAATAGTTTACTTTTATCGCTAACTAGTATTCTATTATGTGAATGTACCATAGTTTGTTTAATTTGTCCTTTGTAAGTCATCTGTGTTATTTCCAGTTTGGGGCTATTACAAATAAAGCTGCAAACATTCATCTACAGGTTTTTTTGTGTGTGAACGTTAAGTTTTCATTTCTCTGAGCTTATACCTTTTATAGTGAATTGTATTAGGTAGATGTATATAATCATAAATAAGGACTGCCTACTTTCTTTGTATCATGATTGTTATGAGCATGCTATTATCCTTTGTCCTCAGAGCCTCCCACTCTCTAACTCCTCTGTGGTCTAGAAGAAGCAGGTGAAACTTGCAAGGGTTACATGGTTTGTTTGTGGTTCCAGCAAAGCCAGAATTCTGATTTATATCCCTGATTCCTGGCTGAGTATGAAAATGACTGCAATTATTAATATATAGTTGCTATTTGCTTTTTCTCTCCAGAACCCTGGTCAATATGAGCCATGTTTGGTTTCAAGTTGCTTGCTTAGGAAAGGTTCAGAGATGTGATTGGACATTCTTTGATGTGACAAAACAAACATTTCAATAGAGATGGAAGTTCAATTGACTCCTAGTCCCACTTTATCTGGACCTAACATTTGAAGTTAAGATGATAACTTCATGGAATTATAGCTTTATAAAAATCTCTGCTAAAAAGAATGCTCAATTTAGAGAAAGGGACAGAACTAGTCTACCGTGAAACCCAAGCCATGCATTTTTTTTGAAGCCACATCTGACAAGCCTTCAATGGAAGAATAGAGAATGAGAAAGCATGTGCACCTTTTCATTTTTGAGGTTTGAAAGTGACACATACAGCTAAATGCCGCTTTCACTCTCTCTGCCTACATTGATGTAATATCTAGCAATTAAATTATGTTTGCTCATTTATTTCTTTTAGTATTCTGCTCACTCTGTGCCAGGGACTGGGTTGGAGGCTGGAAATCCAGAGATTAATAAGGTGCTCTTCCTATGCTTAAGAGGCTCACAGTCCAGAGGGAAGAACAGGTGCATATCTAAATGGTTACAAGAGGATGTGCTAAGTGCTACTGCAAAGTCCTCAAGTGGCTGTGGTACCAGAAGCAGCATCTAGTGACCACGGGTGGTAGCAGCAGGGGGTTCATTGGACTGGCCAGTCGTGCGGCCTTGCTTGTGGCTGTGGCTAGTTGTCCACCCTCCCTTTATTCTTGTCTGTTTTCTTAGCCATTCTGGAGACTGAACCCAATATTCTTTTTACCCAGTAATTTATCTTTCTGTTTAAATCAGCCAATCTTGATTGATAGGCTGTTAGTATCAGTCTCTTGGGAATACTTCCAGAATTATTTTCTGCATGTAAGGACTAAGCTTCATCTACTTGTGAATATCTTCAAATATTTCCATATAAGCTGGTAAATAGACACTGCTCCAGGCCCCTGAGACCCAGCCACTCTGGCCCCTTTTCTGGGACCCCCTTCTTTACAATCATCTAAAGGGTTATGCCATGCACAGATGTTCTGGCACTACAGGTGGCATTCTTTCTGATTGGTGCCTGTCGTGAGTTACTACACACAACACACACGCACACACACACGATATATATGTGTTACATGTATGTGTGTATAGTATAGTAAGTATATATAAGTATGTATACATAACAAATTTATGTCAAATGGAAACTTACTACACATTCTGTATGGCTAATGTGAGATCTTTCCATATTAACATGTTTAGATTTAATTAATTTTAAAGAAGATTGCTTGGTATTCTATTACATGGATTTAATCATAATCAATTTAAACAATTTGGGGGAGGTTTTAACTAATAGAGATGCCCTGCCTCCACCTCTCAATACCACCATAATGGTGGAGATTAGAGAGGGGTTGACCATACACATTTACCAAATGCTCCTCAGGTGGTTTTACTCATCAGCTAGGCCTGGGATTTATTGGCATAAACAGTACATCCTACAAATAGGAAAGCAAACAAGAAGGCCTAGAACTTCCTTTTTTAAAAAAAGCCTGTCTTTACTTTTCTAGGAGACAACATCTAAAATAAATAGTACAATAACCTGTGTTTAAAGACTTCCAGTACTTCAGTTTATAGTTGCCCTGGCTTGCTACCAGATTGTAATTTTTTCACTGCTAGGCAGTAATTAAAAGGAACAGCAGCCTAGGAGCAGACTTGGGGTAGGGCCCTCTCAGTAGGTTCCAGATATCCAGGCCAAACTTTTTGCTTCCAAAGAACATTGCTGTCCCTCCTGTATTTAGGGTAAATTCAGCTTTGGTTGTCCTCCAGGAACTGAAGCCAAACAGCAGCATTTCTTCAGACTTGGAAATGAGTTTTGATTGTTTCTTCATAAAACGGCATAAAGCTCAGATAACCAACTGCAGTTCTTGGAAATAATTAAAATGTGTACTCAGCTCATCACTCCCATGGTATCTGGAAGCCAGGAAAGTATATTTATGGGAAAAGATGTTTATATAAATAGCTTCCTCAGTGACCCACATGATAGAATTGAGAAAAAGCATCTTGTGTTTGATGAATGATACCAAATTAGGTGGAGTTGCTAACATCCCAGACAGTGAGAACTAAACTCAATATGTCCCTTTCAGATTGGCCTTGGCAAACTAAAAAAACAAAACAGGAAAAGAAAAAAGATCCATACCACAAATTCAAGATGAAAAATGACTTATAAGAGCTACTGTTTAAAAAAATATTATGGAGTTTTCAAAGTTAGCAGTTGTATCACAAGTACAAAATGACTCAGCAATAGAGAATCACTAGGAATGCTGGAATGTTAATGAGGAAAAGATAAGCCAACCTCCTGAATCCTCTTCCCATGTATGGCATTGGTCAGGCCCTAACTGGAGAACACCCCCATGCCATTTTGAACTTTATCATTTAGAAAGTCTACCCCCGAAAATAAAGTGTATCCCAAAAACTATAGGTGACTTAAGAGATGGGGTGAGAGGATCTCTTGGAGAAATTTTAAGCTAATTGGAATTGTTTAAACTACAGAAGGAAAACTCAGAAACAACTTAAAAACTGGTCTTCAAATACTCATGGTGAGATTATAAAGAGAGTGCTGAATATCTTTTTCTGTCTTCCACAGCGGACGCAACTGGAAATCAAGAGCTAACTATGTGATCATTCAGATTACACTAGATGTAAGGACATGTTCGCTTGAGGCAGATTGACTGGGCGACTTAGAGTATAGTCCATGGTGCTAAACAGAGCATGGACTCTGGGGCCTGGGTTCAGATCCCAGCTCCACCACTCACCACCTCTGAGGCCTTGGGTAGGTTCCTTAATCTCAAGCTGCCTCAGTTTCCCCATCCAAGAAGTTGGGAGGGCAATAGTCTCTGCCTCCTACGTGTGTGGGAAGGATGGCATGAGATGATAGATACAAAGCCCCAAGGAGTGTGTGATTATTGGCTGATCACTAAGGATCTAGAACAGACCCCTGGAGAGGATCCTTGACTCTATTCCCAGCCGTTTAAAAGACTGTCTCAAACTTATCGTTAAATTTATAGTTCTGCTTTGAGTCAACTCTGTCAACAACACATGGTGTCTATGTTAAACATCTCACTGACACAATATTTTAGGCATAATGTGAAAATTGCCTCATTCTATCACATTTTTATATCACAAAATTATATATCTTATACACCAGCTGTGGCTGCCTTGCACACAATACACATATTCAATCACATGGTTTGCAAACCCGGATGTGGCTTATGAGAATATTTGGTTCTTGGCCTTTTGATTACCAAATGCTCCTTATCACATACCCCAGAGCATATCTGTGCCTAAATTTTGTGTTACTGTGCCAGTTTAATTCAATTCAAATAAATTGCATTCCATTGAACTGAACATTATTAAGGACCTGTGCTAGGCCTCTAGAGAGACAAATAACTCTTGTTCCCTGCCTTTAGAGATTTCACAGACTAACAAGGAAAGGAAGAAACAAAAATAGCTCCTTTTACTATCAAGTGATAGATGCCATATTTCAGGTGCAAATTGCTATGGAAGCACACACTTTGATTGATGGTTTTTGCCTGGGGAAATCACTAAAGGCTCACAGAAGCCCACTTACATGAGCTTGCAGAAAGTCAGGGAGAGAAGAGGGCATTTCTCAAGGTGAAGCTGAGAGGGGGGTCTAGGGAGTGAGAGTTTCTGCCAAGTCCAGGGACAGGCACTCGTGGCTGGAGCACAGAGCATGATGGTACAGGCAAAAGTCACCTGCCAATGGTACATGGGTCATTCATTCCAGGGGCTGGTTGCAGCGGGTGATACTCCCTGGCTCTGCTAGAGCCCTGTTCTGCCTTGGTGTTGGTCAGTAAGCAATCTGGGAATGGAATAAGTTATCTCTTCCAGTTCCTCTCCTGCCCTGTGTGTTGAGAAGTTATTCATGTTAAGTCACATGGACTCCATTGTCTAATAGAGAAAAAAAATCCACATTTCATGATTGTGGTCTTAGGGAAGTAATGCACCTTTTATGGATCAAGAATAGTTGAACAAGCACTGGATTTAGAATCAGCTTCTAGGCCTGTGTTCAAATCTCAGCTCTGCCTCTTAGTGGTGCATTACCCTGGGTAGGCTGTTATTAGTACCCAAGTTTTCTGAATAATGACTTGATCATGCCCAGAGGACTGCGTTAAGGTTGGAATGAGAGATTGCATGTGAAAGCAGATGGCATAAAGTAGAAGCTTTCTTCATGTTTGAGGGATTTTTGTACTGTTACTATTGTATTTTACCTAAGCAGTGTTGGTATAGTGCTATGACATCCCAAATGAAAACTAACATAAAGCAGTATTCAAAGGAAACAAGAAGTCAGAGGCCATGGGCTTAAGCTGTACCTCTGCCTTACAGAGGATTTCAGAGTAAGAATCCTGCTGTGTGTGTGTGTGTGTGTGTGTGTGTGTGTGTTTACAACCATTCTTACGCATTTGGACCAAGACCATTTTCTAAATAGCAGAACACCAAATGCCAACACAAGATGTCCTGTCTCTGATGAAACGAGTGGGAGGAAACTCTTTCCTTAAACCCTGTTTCTAAGGGTTCTGGTAATACCACCTCAAACCCACAGAAGCATGTTAGAAGTAGGTACTCATTCCAGTTTATTCTATGTCCCAAATAGATGAAAGTATAGAATACAAGTAATGTGGAAGAATTCAAGAAGCTCCAACCCCCTGAATGTTGTTACTAAGTTTTTCATGACCAGAACGATAGGGAGAAATCGTAGAACAAGGAGGGCATGGAGGAGGAAAACTGCAGGCTGAGGACACCAGGTGCCCCTGCAGATTCAGGCTGAGCAGTGGTTAGGGGAGCTCCTTAAATTTCCCTTCAGGCAGCGTATTTGTTCTCTCTCAGATATTTTCATAAATAATAAGCGAATCCTGTGATAAATCAGCCTCTCCTGGGGTTGCAAGAAGGGTAGTGGCTGTGCCACTGACGAGGCCGGTCCCAGCCCAGCAGGCTCAGGACCCTGAAGGGACAAAGCTGCATGTATGTTCTCAGGCACCAGCAAGACTAGAAATGGCAGACAGCTCCAGCATGATTAACAGGAAATCATTCTTTTCAGAGCTGGGCTGGGAAGAGGCAGCTGAAGGAAGAGTGTTCAGTGCTTTCCTAGGACACAAGGTCAAGGTTTTTTTCAAAGTAAATGACAGATTGTCCTTTGTCCATCCGTGGCTAAATGATACCCGAAGCCCCAGGAGGAATAGTTGGTACCTGTCACGAGACTCCATGCCCTTGTCACATGCTCATGTCAGTTCCTAAAATGAGAATGTGATGAGGCAGCCCTGTGTCCCCGCCCCTGACCTCTGGCTTACTCCCCAACTTTCACCCCCTTCTCTTCTCTGGTGTCTGGTTTCACAGATGCCAAATAAAAATCTCATTGATGCTGCTTTTGGGATCATTGGAGCTGAATAAACTGAAGTTTTCCTTTGTGATACCTTTAGAGAAGAGTTTGCTAAATAAATGAACAAAGTAAAATGTTGTCAGAGGAAGGGAGGATTTAACCCATTTAAAATAATAAATGTACCAAAAAGACTTTAATGCAGGTTGATGTGTTAGTCCTTGGTGATACATGGGTTTTTCTGTTTTTTAAAATTATGGCTAATCTCTGACAGACACAATGCTGAGAAAGATTATGCATTAAAAAATAGGAAGGAAGGAAAAGAAAAAAGGTTGTATCTTGAGTTTATTTAGAAACAGTACTGTGATTGATTAGCAATGTCTGCCCTGGGCTTAATAGGCCAGGTAGGTATTTGCTTCCTTGATAGTGCTCAAATCCCTTTTAGAAACAGAGCTATATAGAAAATAAATAGTCCGGGTGCAGTGGCTCATACCTGTAATCCCAGCACTTTGGGAAGCCAAGGTGGGCGGATCACCTGAGGTCAGGAGTTCAAGACCAGCCTGGCCAACGTGGCAAAACCGCATGTCTACTAAAAATACAAAAATTAGCCAGGCGTGGTGGTGGGCACCTGTAATCACAGCTACTTGGGAGTCTGAGGCAGGGAGAAGCGCTTGAACCCAGGAGGCGGAGGCTGCATTGAGCCGAGATCGCGCCATTGCACTCCAGCCTGGGAATCAGAGCAAGACTCTGTCTCACAAAGAAAAATAAATAAATAAATAAATAAATAAATAAATAAAAAGAATGTAAGCAAATAGCATTAAGTAAGCATTTATTATGTTCTGGACCTATGCTAGGTACTTTAAATAAATTTTTCATTTGATTCTTTTTTCTTTTTTTTGAGACAGGGTCTCACTCTGTTGCCCAGGCTGTGGCGTGCAGTGGTGAGGTCACAGCCCACTGTAGCCTTGACCTCCCGGGCTCAAGTGATCCTCCCACCTCAGCCTCCTCATTAGTTGGGACCACAGGTGCATGCCACCATGCCCAGCTAATTTTTCTATTTTTTGTAGAGATGAGTTTTTGCCATGGTGTCCAGGCTGGTCTCAAATTCCTGGGCTCCACCCACCTCAGCTTCCCAAAGTGCTAGGATGGTAGGCATAAGCCTCTGTGATTCTTATGGTAAGAAGAATGGTAAGCCTGATTCTTGTGGTACTTTGAAAAGTCAGAATGATCATCCCAATTTACAAATGAAGAAATAAATTCTATAGAGGTTACACTGAGAAAGGCCACGCAGCCAGTTAGTGGTAGAGTCAAGTTTCAAATACAGGTTTCGTTGGCTCCAAAGTCCACACTCTTTTGATGAAAATAATATGAAACTCTACTGGCAAGACATAAAAAGAATCATTAATTTGGGTTCAGTATGCATGGGAACACTTTCAATTAACATAGTTTAAGTGGAGATAAAGTGGAATAACAAAAAATGTTAATACTCAATTCACAAGAAGACAAGAGAAAAAAATAACAAGGATGTAACAAATGGAAAACAACTAGTAAGTTGGTAGCTTTAAATCCAACATATCCATAATTACATTATATTACACAGTCTGAATCATCCTAGTTCGAAGGAAGAAGTTGTCAGATTGAATATAAAAAGGTAGATCCAACTCAAGCTGCCTATGAAGAGAAACAGATTAAAAGTAAAAGGATGGAGAGGGATAAAACATGCTGGCCTTAATCAAAAGAATGACGGAGTAGATTTCAAAACAAGGAATATTGACAGGGTTAAGAGGTATATTACCCTATGATAGAGGAGTAGATTTCTCAAGAAGGTCTAACAATCCTAAATGTGTATGTACCTAACAACAGAGTCTCAAAGCACATAAAACAAAAACTGATAGTAATGGAGGAAACAGAAAAATCCATAATTACAGATGGAGATATCAAAAGAACAAATACACAAAGCAGACAGAAAAATAGTAAGAATAGAGAAGACCTAAAGAGCCCTATCAACCAACTTAACCTAATTGACATTTATTTACAGTACATTCTACCCAACTACAGTAGATACTGATTCTTTTCAAATGCACACAAAATATGTCCCACTATAATTTGGGCCATAAACGAATGTTAGCGAATTTAAAAGAACTGAAATCAAAGTATGTTCTCTGACCACTACGGAATTAAACCAGAAATCAACAAGAGAAAGATACTGGAAAATCCCTTAGTATTTGGAAATTAAACAATATACTTCCAAATACCCTATGGACCAAAGAATAAATCACAAGGGAAATTAGAAAATATTTTGAATTGAATAAAATAGCCTAAAATACTGACACTTTACAAAGCCCACCTGGTCTTAATTAGTACGGTTTGCCTGCAGGTTAAAAGCAATGTGCGATTGTGGCAATTTTATTAAAATAGGAGCAAGGAACTGAGCTCTCAGTCTCTAAAATAAAGAGCAGATGGGCCAGGTGCAGTGGCTCACGTCTGTAATCTCAGCACTTTGGGAGGCTGAGGCGGGTGGATCACCTGAGGTCGGGAGTTCAAGACCAGCCTAAGCAACATGGAGAAACTCCGTCTCTACTAAAAATACAAAATTAGCCGGGCATGGTGGCCCATGCCTGTAGTCCCAGCTACTTGGGAGGCTGAGGTAGGAGAATCGCTTGATCCCGGCAGGCGGAGGTTGCAGTGAGCCGAGATCAAGCCATTACACTCCAGCCTGGGCAACAAGAGCGAAACTCTGTCTCAAAAAATAAATAAATAAATAAATAAATAAATAAATAAATAAATAAATAAAGAGCAGATAATGCCTGTAGGACACCCTCCCCTTCAACTTCCCCTCTTCCTGCATCACTGGTTCTGTCCAGGTTTCAGATCATAAGTGCATTTTTGTGAACACACACAATGGAATCTCACTCCAGACATCATACCAGTGTTAGGTATTTCTGGGAAAGCTTGTTGCCCACAGTAAAATCGATTTGCAATAAACCAAGAGGCAGAAGGGTCTCTTCTCAATGAGCAGGAGTCAGCTGTCACACTGGCTCTGAGCAAACTTCTGTAGACAGCCAGAGGCCTGCAGGAAATTGATTCCATCACCATGGGTGAGACAGCCAGAACCGGGCTTAGACAACAGGAAAAACGAACCTAGATATGAGAATGTATAGATTACATGTTGTTAACAGTAATAACAACACTTATGTACTGCTTACGCTGTTCCAGGCATTATCTCTTTAATCTTTACAGCAACCTACGAGATAGGTCCATTCTGCAGAGGGGAGATTGAGGCAAAGCGAGTTAAAAAAATTACTTAGGCTTTCACAGCCAGCAGGGCAGGGATTCCACTTAGGCAGGCTGTTCTAGCAGCTGAGTGGCTTTAGTGGTTCTATGTTTAAATACACGGTCTCAACGAATCTCACCAGAGGGAGGCCTTATGATTGAATGGGGGTAATGGATGCTAAAGAGTTGCCAGTGCCTGCACAGGTGAGCTCAGGCAGAGGCCCAGGGAGGTTAAGTGACTTGCCCATGGTCATAAGGCTGTTCATGGGAGATTTCAAGCTAGAACTCAGCCCTTATAAACTCCAGTCTGGTGTCCTTTTCCCCACACGACACTGCCTTCCTCAGTTGGGTGCCCCAGGAGAGTCACTCATATTCCTTGTGACCTGGTGTACACAACTTCCAAAGCACCAGTGTGATCAGCTATAGGTGCAGGTGTGGATATAATAAGCAGAGCAGAGGTATTATTAGTGGGGCACAGTATTAGCACAATTATGAGAGCTGTTTGGCATGGGGGAGGGGGAGGGCACAAGGAATGACTGGAGTATGTGGTTCCACATCATATGGATCTGGTCAGAGAGGCTCCAGTCACACACGTGAGCTGTGTGACCTCAAGTAAGTTATTTAACCCCTCTACGCCTCTATTTCCTCATCTGCAAAACTGGGATAATAATAAGCCTCATAGGGTCACTCCAAATATTAAAGTGGCTACTGCACATAAAGCACCTAATCTAGTGCCTGGCACATAGGAAGCGCAAAAGCAATGTTGGCTCACATTTTCCAGGAGTTGCTTCCTGGGTCTGCCTAGGAAGTAATTGCTTAAGTGTACGCTCTTCTGACTATAACCTCTGGATTGATAATGAAACCAAGTTTTTCTCTTCTCTCCATTACCTTCTTGAGTGGTGGTTTCTACCCTGTGTCTTCACCAGGTGCTCACCAGCTTCAGCTTAGAGACATTTGCCTGTGGGAGCCTGTCCCTACAGTCTAGCTTTGTGCTTTCAGTACACACCCAGGGTCTAGGGAATTCCTCTTTGGATCCAGAAAGGGTGTGTCTTGCAATGCATTCTTTCCAAAGCTCGGAAGTGGGAGGACTCCAAGGAATGCTCTATAGAATATACATGTACGATATATGTATTTGGCAGAGGGGAGAAAGAAGCCGCTTGTTTTTTGCTTCCTAGTTTTGTACATTCAGCTTCTTCTAGAGCGAGGTGGGACTTCATTTGAAGTTTTTAGAGAGAGTGTCTCTAGAGTCTTCCTTGAGATCTGCAGGGGATTTCCCTTAATATTCTGGCCCCTCCCATTGGAAGCATCCAAAGCTGCCTACTGGACCGACTGAAATGCTGGAATCTGGCCGGGCGCGGTGGCTCACGCCTGTAATCCCAGCACTTTGGGAGGCCGAGGTGGGCGGATCACGAGGTCAGGACTTCGAGACCAGCCTGACCAACATGGTGAAACCCCGTCTCTACTAAAAGTACAAAAATTAGCCAGGTGTGGTGGCACGCACCTGTAATCCCAGCTACTCAGGAGGCTGAGGCAGGAGAATCGCTTGAACTCGGGAGGCGGAGGTTGCAGTGCCGAGATCACATCACTGTGCTCCAGCCTGGGGGACAGAGCGAAATTCCCTCTCAAAAAAAAAAAAAAAAAAAAAAAGAAAGAAAGAAAGAAAAGAAATGAAGTGCTGGAATCTTTCTCCTTGAACCAAAATGCCAAGAATGAACTCTTGGTAACACGTATCAAGAGCCTTAGAGAGATTCACATTCCACTTCGTGTGTGTGATGCTTTGTGTGTGTGAAGATAGCTTAAGTATATATACATACTTTATTTTGAGATACAGTTTACCATAGTGAACAAAGAACATGATGGCTAGCTAGTTAGCTAGTTATAAGGTTATACCCAAAATGTTAATGATGGTTTTGTCTAGGTGATGAAATTATAGATGATTTTTCTTTTCATGTATCTAAACTTTTCTACCAAAAGAATCACTTGGGTAATTTATCCTAAGAAAATAGCCACTTATACTGACAAAGATATTTTAACAGCATAATTTATGGAGAAAACTATGACTGAAATATTTGCCAATAGGAAATTACTTAACTATGGTATGTATGGTTCATCCATATAATGACATATAGTGCATACATAAAAAATGACAATTACAAAGAATATTTAGTATTGTGGGGAACATTCATAATCTAATGTTAAGTAAACACAGAATTTAGAACTATATATAATGATACATTCAACAGAATGGCTAAAATTTAAAAGTCTGGCCATCTCAAGTTTTGGTGAGGATGTGAAGGAACTGGAATGCTCATATATGACTGATGGGATGGTACAATGGTACGAACACTTTGAAAGACACTTTGACTTTATATATATATAAGTTTAAACATATACATACCTTATGATTCAGAAACTCCACTGCCAGGTATTTACTCAAGAGAGATGAAGACATGTCCACACAATGACTTGTTCATAGTAGCTTTATTCATAATTGCCCCAAACTGGAAACAACCCAAATGTCTATCAACAGGTGGATGAATAAACTGTGGTGTGACCATACAATGGAACATTACTGAGTAATCAAGAGGAATGAACTACTTAGACCTGAAACAACATGGATAAACCTCAGAAACATTATGCAGAGTGACAGAAGCAGACACAAAAGGAATGCATGCTGTATGATTCCATTTATATGAAATATTAGGAAAACAAATATAATCTATGGTGCCAGAAAGCTGATCAGTGGCTGCCTGGAGCTGGGGATTGAGGGAATTGACTGAGAAAGGCCACATGGGAACTTTTTGGGGTAATGGAAGTATTCTATATATCTTGATTATGGTAGTGGTTCTGTGAGTGCATAAAGAGGTATTTGTTGCCACTATTTACAATATGGCTAAGTAAAAGATATTTAGTATATGTGCATGTATAGCTATATGCTACAGTTTGGATGTTTGTTCCCCGCAAGACTCATGTTGAAATTTGATCCCCAGTGTTGGAGGTGGGGCCTCATGGGAGGTGTTTGGGCACAGGGAGTGGATCCCTCATGAATGTCTTGGTGCCATCTTTGTCCTTGAGGTCATAAGTGAGATCTTGCTCTATTAGTGCCTATGAGAGCCTGGTACTCCCCCACCATAACCCCTTTGCTTCCTTTCTGGCTATGTGATCTCTGCACATGCCAGCTCCCCTTTGCCTTCCACCATGATTGGAAGTTTCCTGAAGCCCTCACCAGAAGCAGATAATGGCTCCATGTTTCTTGTACAGCCTGAAGAACTATGAGCCAAATAAAGCTCTTTTCTTTATCAATTGCGCAGCCTCTGGTCTTCCTTTATAACAACACACAACAGACTAAGACAATAAACATGTATACATATACACATATACATAGGACATGAGATCTCAATTTTGAAAATATAAAGGGAAGCAGAAAAAGAACAGCAGGGGCATACTTACCGAAAGGCCTCTAGCTCATGCAGTTACAAGAGATTAAACAATTAGTTTAATACTTTTATTTTTTTCTAGATTTTCTTCCATGAACAAATATTTAATATGTAAGTAAAACAATCTTAAAATAATTAAATTCTTATTTAAAAATTTTCATCTAAAAATATTTAAGGACTATTTGGTGATACATGTCATAGAGAAGGGTAAAAAAGAAGCAGGGCTGGGCGGCTCATGCTCGTAATCCCAGTGCTTTGGGAGGCTGAGGTGGGAGGATTCCTTGAGCCCAGGAGTTTGAGACCAGCCTGGGCAATATAGTAAGATCCCCCCCGCTACAAAACATTTAAAAATTACCTAGACATAGTGGCACACGCCTGTAGTCCCAGCTACTCAAGAGGCTGAGGTGGGAGAATCACCTGAGCCCAGGAGATTGAGGCTGCAGTGAGCTATGATCACAAGACTGCACTCCAGCCTGGGCAACAGAGAAAGACCCTGTCTCAAAAAAAGGCAGGGTTGGGGAGGCAGGGGGTACCTTGTTCCCTAGTTAACTGACTGTATCTCTTTACCAAGGCAGTGAACTCCCTGCCAGTCAAAGCATGTGAGAAAAGAACCCCACAATGCTGAGTAATGCATTGCAGCAAGTGGGTGCCTCCTAAAAATTTAGAGGGTGTAGATGAGGTAAGCACATTTTGCCCAAGTATCGTGCTGAGATCACTGAGCCCTCAGTATGGGCAGAGCCCTATCCCAGGACCTTCAGGGAGGTGGAGCTAAAGGGACTTCTGGGCGGACCCTCTGGGAATCCTGACCTAAAGGACCTCTGTGAGGACCACCTCCTCACTCCAGGGTGTGTACCACCCAGTCACATGGGCATAAGGAGACAGACACCCTGGAGTATCACTCCATGGGGTGGATGATACTGGGAAGGACTCATTTTCAGAGGGACACTCCCAAAGCTGGCACCCCCGATGGCCATCACCCTCCTTGAACTCCAACATGGTGAGAGCCACAGCTTCTTCTTTGGTACCTCCCACTCCCATAGCTCCTGTATATGAAGGTAGCCAATGACTAATTTTGCTGAATTAGGTCATTTTTTTTTAAGTTGACTTTGTGGGACAAAGGGAAATGAGCCATTTCTCTTGACAGAGGGTGCTGATGCCAAAGCCATGGCTGAGGGCAGGAACCATGATCCAAACTTCTCCCAGAGGTTAGCAATTCCTGAATGTTCTCGTGCAGTCCTTGGGAAAGATCGAGAAGTCAGCCAAACCCGTTCTTTGTCCGAAATACGCAGTTGCTTCTTCACTCACTTCCCGCCCTTGGTCTTCTTCCTCCAAATCATTTTCACCCAGACTAGTTCCACCACCAGAGCATGTCCCCGGCTCGGCCAACCGATCACAGAGAACGAGCCATTCTGGTTGAAACCTGGCTCGTCTTGCTCAAATGATCTTCTCAGTGGCTTGCTTTGTATCTTCAAGCCACACTCTCTGGCTTTATTCTAACTTCCCTGCACTGAAAAGAAAGCTGAGGAAATTTGGCATTGCCGTTCCCTGTAGACCTGCCACGCACCACAGGAAGTGGATGTGGCACTGAGAAACCAGGCTGGCCCTGCCCACAACACATAATTATTGGTTTTACTATTTGGATGGTTTAATCCAGTGCCAGGTCTCTTGTTCTTGAAGGCGCAAGGACATAATCCCCTGTCCTTTCTTCCAAAGCAAACCCAGGGAGCCTTTATTCTCTAGGCTGATTTCCTTTGACGAGGTTTTCCTGGCTTTCTTCACTCACCTCGGGCACTAATTATGGCCCACACCCGCTTCCATCTGTTGTGGTTTCTGAGCTAGGAATGGAAGTGTAGTTGGATGTTTTATCATCACTTTGGAACATGGGCCTAAAAAAGCACAACCTTCCCTGTAATTTCCACCCCTCTAGGCTTCTGTTCAGCCTTGGTTTTTGCTGAAACAGCACATTAAGCAAAGAATAGACAAGATATGGGTCATTTTCAGAAGTGCCACCCACCTCCCTATCTTATTAGAAAAGCCAATCAAATGACGGAGCCAGTTTCCATCTTTAATCATCCATCCATCAACAAGGAAGCAGATATTTACCCCATACCTGCCAAGATGCCAAGAGGCCGTGGGAGATTCACAAAGGTAGAGGTCTGCCCTCTGCCCCAAGTAGTTCACCACCTAGACTGTGCAGTCAGAACATAGTCTCAGCATAGACCCATGAAGCTGATCAAGAACAGATCAATACTCAACCCAGGAGAAGACGCACAGCAATATGGAGTTACATTTGTTGCATATGCGGTGGACAGCTTTACAAACTCAGAGCAGTTTGAGGTCACTGTGGCCTGGAGGGCTCATGGAAGGAGAATCAGAAGAGCTCTTTGAACTGAGTCTTAAAAATCAAGGAAGAGAGGCCGGTCGCAGTGGCTCACGCCTGTAATCCCAGCACTTTGGGAGGCTGAGGAGGGAGGATCATGAGGTCAGGAGATTGAGACCATGCTGGCTAACATGGTGAAACCCCGTCTCTACTAAAAATACAAAAAAAATTAGCCGGGTGTGGTGGTGGGTGCCTGTAGTCCCAGCTACTCAGGAGGCTGAGGCAGGAGAATGGCATGAACTCGGGAGGCGGAGCTTGCAGTGAGCCCAGATTGTGCCACTGCACTCCAGCCTGGGCAACAGAGTGAGACTCCATCTCAAAAAAAAAGAAAGAAAAAAATCAAGCAAGAGGCTGAGCGTGGTGGTTCACGCCTGGAATCCCAGCACTTTGGGAGGCCAAGGCAGGAGGATAACTTGTAATGAGGAGTTTGAGACCAGCCTGGGCAACATAGTGAGACCTTGTCTCTACAAAAAATTTTTAAAAAATGAGCCAGGCATGGTGGCATGCACCTGTCGTCCTGGCTACTTGGGAGGCTGAGGTGGGAGGATCACTTGAGCCCAGGAGTTCAAGGTTGCAGTGAGCTATGATCACGCCACTGCACTCCAGCCTGGGGGACAGAACTTATCTCTGGGAAAAAAAATTAAGGAAGAGTTATTCAAGAAAGGAAGGAAAACAATCAAGCTATTCTACACTGTGTGAAAGTGAGGGTGAGCTGAGCCCTTCCAGGGGCTGACGCTGTGGCCCCTTCCTTTACTTTGAAATGCTTCCTTTCTGCTTCAACTGGTTTAACCAAATAACAGAACCCTGTTAGGCTGCAGGCCTACCCCTAAATCAAATGACGATTTGAACTCCTGAAGGTGAAGGAGCCCCTAAATCCCAGCTCCCCCACGCTGGCCCCAAGTGACCCAATACATGCATATATAGTCTCAGAAATAAGAATAGCTCATTTCAGAAGCTGGGGTCAGGTGTGGGGTTGGACAGAGGGTGAGCCAAAGGCTAGCCGGGGTGGAAGGTGAGGGGCAGGAAGATACCCCAGAAAGAGCTGCCGAAGAATGGTGAAGATTTGTGCAGAGACTCTTATAGGCTTGAGGAGGTCAGACAACAGGCTGCTCTGTTTGTCTTGTAGGTAGGGGCAGAAAGGCAAATAGAAGGAAAGAATCCAGAGCTGATCTGCCCCACCCTCTGAGTTCCATATTGAGCCTTTGTAATCCAATAGTAAGATTCTCCCTGAGGCAACAGACTCTTATGTCTCCCCGCTTTCACAGCTACAGGGATTTCATACTTTAAACTCTGCACATGGAGGGAAAATAACAGGAAGGACATGCGCGGTGAGCTCTGTGACCTTGGGTCTCTTGTCGGTCTCAGTGCCTCTGCGCTGTTTCCTTGCACTTGACCTGGGTGTCCTGGCTGCTGCCAACTCCGGAGCCAGCTCTTGCCTCGGCTCACCAGCTTCTCCCCGCACCCCCTGGCTGCACTTTCTCTTTTTGATCTCTATGCTAACAACAGCCCAGGCAAGTCAGGAGTACCACGGGGCCTGCCCAGGCCCTTCTTCTGGATCTGGAGCAGGAGGGAGGAAGAGGCAGGAGCCCAGCATGTGTGAGGGGTGAAGCCAGAGGAGAACACTGGGAGTGCCCCCCGACTTGCTCCGTGAGGGCCTCTGCCGGGTCTGAAGGGCTGCTCAGGAAAACATGCACCTGAGCCAGTGGCCCTGGGGCTCTCAGCCTGCCTGGGAGCTGGGAGCCGGGAGCCACTGTAGTTTGGTTTTTGTGTGGGAGTTGCCTTTTATTTTTACCTGTGTATTTATTCATCTGGATTGTATGATAACTCTAAGAGGACAGGTCTAGTCTTCACCACTGATACAGTTTGGCTGTGTCCCTACCCAAATCTCATCTTGAATTGTAGCTCCCATAATCCCCACATGTTGTGAGAGGGACCTGGTGGGAGGTAATTGAATCATGGGGACGGTTACCCCCATGCTGCTGTTCCTGTGATAGTGAGTGAGTTCTCATGAGATCTGATGGTTTTTAAGGGCTTTTTTCCCCCCTTTTGCTTGGCACTTCTTGCTACCACCATGTGAAGAAGGACATGTTTGCTTCCCTTTCTGCCATGACTGTTAAGTTTCTGGAGGCCTCCCGAGCCCTGCTGAACTACGAGTCAATTAAACCTCTTTTCTTTATAAATTACCCAGTCTTGGGTATGTCTTTATTAGCAGCATGAGAATGGACTAATACAAACACTATCAGCAAGAAGTGTCATAATGGCACTGCCAAGGGGAGGTGCCCAGTGAGGCTTTCTTCAAATGAAAAGACAATATAAGCTTCAAGAGGGTGAGGTGGAGGGGTTTGCTGTTTTATTTATTGCTGTAACCTCTAGTCTGGGGGTGGGGATCCACTGTGCTATGTTAGAAGCATGATAAGGGAAAGAGAATCACCATCTTTACTGTTCCCATAGGTGTAAAAACCACTTACAGTTCCTTTGTCAGGAGTATTGGAGACCTATGTGCTTGTCACATAGTAGGTACTAAGTAAATATATACTTTTTATTGAATTAAGTAAGCATTTACCCTGATATAGGCTAGAAGCCTTTTTAAAAGGTTATGACCTGGAGAAAGTCATGGCAAAATTTTTGCAGAGCCCAAATTCCAGATCACTCCATCCATTTAACATTTACTGAGTGCCTACTATATGCTGGGCACAATAATAGATGTTTGGGATACAAAAATGAATCAGATATGAACCTGTCTTCAAGAGGGCCACAGGAGGTTTTTTAACTAAGGGGAAAAAAAGCATTGCAGGAGTTGGGCAGAATCAGAGAGGTTGTTTAGAGAAGTGGATAAAAGCATGGGTCCTGGCCTCAGGCAGATGAAGTTTTAAATATTTATCTAAGCCTAAATTTTCTTATCTGTAATGAAGGATAATCATCATTTCTGTTTATTGTAAAGGTTGTTGTGAGAATTAAATGAGCTAATGCATGAGGCTCACTTTGCACACGGCATGGCTTGCACTAAACACAGTAAACACAAAGGGTCCTGATATGGTTTGGCTCTGTTTCTCCACCCAAATCTCATCTTGAATTGTAATCCTCACATGTCGAGGGAGGGACCTGTAATCCCCATGTGTCAAGGGAGGATGATGATTGGATCTTGGGGGTGGTTCCCCCATGCTGTTCTTGTGAGTTCTCACGAGTTCTGATGGTTTTATAAGTGATTGGAAGTTCCTCCTTCACTCTTCTCTGTCCTACCACCTTGTGAAGAAGGTACCTGCTTCCCCTTCCACCATGATTGTAAGTTTCCTGAGGCCTCCCCAGCCATGTGGAACTGTGAGTCAATTAAACCTTTTTCCTTTATAAATTACCCAGTCTCGGCTGGGCAAGGTGGCTCACACCTATAATCCCAGCACTTTGGGAGGCCAAGGTGGGTGGATCACCTGAGGTCAGGAGCAACATGGTGAAACCCTGTCTCTACTAAAAATACAAAAATTAGCCAGGTGTGGTGGCTCATGCCTGTAATCCCAGCTAATTGGGAGGCTGAGGCAGGAGAATAGCTTGAACCCAGGAGGTGGAGGTTGCAGTGAGCCAAGATTGCACCATCGCACTCCAGCCTGGGCAACAAGAGCAAAACTCCATCTCAACAAACAAACAAACAAACAAAAATTACTCAGTCTTGGGCAGTTCTTTAGAGCAGTATGAGAACAGATTAATACAAGTCCCATAGAAAGAGCAGTGTGTTTCACATGGGGAGGCAGTGGTCACAAAAGACTCCTCAGTGGGGGACTCAAGCGAAGTCTCCAAGGATGAGTGGAGGTTCAAGTAGGCAGAGAGGAGGGTGTGTTAGATGGGACGATGTCGAGGAGAACGATACACAGTTCTTCTAGGTCCAGCAGATGAAGGAGCCCCAGGAAGCCACTGGGGGAGGGCTCAGTGCAGAAGCTGCCATGACTACTCCCTACCCAACACACAGCCTTTGGCAGTTTCCGCTCCCCTCCATGGGATCTCTGTAGTGTCACCTATGCATTTAGAGCACCCTGAACCACCACACTGACCCCTAGGATGTGCTTCAGCTACATCCCCAAGCACATGGAAGATATGCACACAGCAATGGGGTGACCATTTGTGAGTTGTCAGACTTCAGCAGGGCGGGGCCAAACACCACCTGAAACTGCCTTGGTGCCAGGCTCTAAGCATTTCACCTATATTAACTCCTTTAACCCTCACAATGAGCCAAGAAGGTAGGTACTATTATTTGTCCCATTTTATAATTGGGAAAACAAAGGCACAGAGAGGTGATGCACTTTGCTTGAGGTCACATAGCTAGGAAATGGTGGAGGAAGGCTTAAAGACAAGGCAGTCTAGTCCAGAGGTGGGGCTTCTAGCCACCATCCTATGCTGAAAGCATGATAAGGGGTAGAGAATCACAGTCTTTACTGTTTCTATGGGTGTAAATACCACTTCAAGTTGCCTTTTGAGGAGAGTTGGAGACCTATGTACAGCTCACTGAAAATCTAAAGACTATCTGCACACTCTTCCCAGAAAACACAAGGTTGCAAATGTAATTCTAGTGGGTTGTGGGTCCCCTGAAGACTATCTGTGGACGCTACAGGCCTGTGAACTTGAGGTTAATGGGTGTGAGATTTCCAGTGTGGCCTGGAGACAGGGGTGGGGGAGGGAAGTGCGTTTGCTGGAGAGTGCCAAGCAGGGGGCAGACTGGTTCTGAGGCCATGGCCAGGCCCAGCTGAGCGCAGATGATGTGCTAGCCAGGCTGGCCGTGACTGCGTGCTGCCCAGCTCACTGCTTAGCTCTTTGGAGATGAAAGTGCTCGCCTCAAACTCTGAATCATCCCTTGCTATTTCTTTACATATTTTTGCAAGAAGGAAGTCTTTATTTGGAATGATTCACGAACATCTTATAAATCAAGAGATACACAAAACAGACTTCAAGGAGCTATAGAAACCTACAGAGACACAGAAGCTATAAAAACAAACTGTTTCCAAGGGCCCTGTGCTGTGGCAAAGCATGTCTCACATGCAGGGAAAAGAAAATTAAAATCAACCCTGTAAGAGATAGATTAGAAATCTAGTTAATATAATGCACAGCTATTTTCTTTTTTAATAAAGGGAGTCAAGGTAATACATACACATGATTAAAAAGTAAGAAATTTGGCTGGGGGCGGTGGCTCAGGTCTGTAATCCCAGCACTTTGGGAGGCCAAGGCGGGTGGATCACCTGAGGTCAGGAGTTTGAGACCAGCCTGACCCACATGGAGAAACCCCATCTCTACTAAAAATACCAAAAATTAGCTGGGCGTGGTGGGCGCCTGTAATCCCAGCTACTTGGGAGGCTGAGGTAGGAGAATCGCTTGAACCCAGCGGGTGGAGGTTGTGGTGAGCCGAGATCATGCCATTGCACTCCAGCCTGGGCAACAAGAGTGAAACTCCGTCTCAAAAAAAAAGAAAAAGGTAAGAAATTTGGAAAGTCCAGCAATAAAATCCAACAGCTGCATCTCTCCCCAGCTGAAGTCCCAAACTCTAAACGTAACTACTTTTACTTTTTCTGCTTTTGCTGCTTCTGGGAGCTACCTTTTTCCCTCTAAATAATATGCTTACCTTCTGTTGTTCTGCTCCGACAGACTAGGATTTAGATATGTCACCACCCTGTGACCCCACCATTTCTTTAGAGCTAAATTCCTATTTTTCACTCTATTGCATTGGTTAAGAATGTAACTTTGAAATGCAGTTGGCCCTCTGTACCTGTGTGTCCTGAATTCTTGGGCTCAATCAATCACAGATCAAAAGCATTTGAGAAAAAAAATGACATCTGTACTGAACATGTACAGACTTCTTGTCATTATCCCCTAAACAACAGAGTATAACAACTATTTACATAGCATTTACATTGTATTAGGTATCATAAGTAACCTAGAGATGATTTATATGGGAGGATTTATGATTTATAGTGGAGGATTGCATGGGTTATATGCAAATACTACACCATTTATATCAGGGACTTGAGTATCTGCAGATTTTGGTGGAGGGTCCTGGAACCAATCCCCCATGGGTACCGAAGAACAACTGTATATATACTTAAGTCTCTATCTCTCATTCATTCCACTTTTGCGAATCTGTCTTGTTTCCCTACTGTACAGATGAGAAAAGGAGGTTTGGAAAGATCATCCCTTGCCCAAGACCACATAGTTGGTAAATGGTAGAGCTGGATACAAGCCCAGGTCAGCCCCTACCATCCCCAGACTACAACTACTGTGGTCCCCGAGACATTTTTGCCTGACACCTATCCCTGAAGGGGTCAGCTGCTATTTTTACACCTGTTACTATGCAGAAAGAGAAGTCTCCCCCAGGACTCAGCTCTGCTGTGGATACCACATTAGCAGGTGGAAGAGGGGGGTTTACAGAATGGATTGCAGAGGACAGCAGTTCAGTCCTGGAAGTCTTGGACCCATTTGAATTCCGTCATTCTCTTGTTGCCAGAAGCAGGATTAAGAGTTACTCCAGGTTATTTTAAACCAATAAAGGTTGTCAGGTGGCAGTCTGCTCAGAGGTTCCCTGTTCAGCACTGTCACTCAATAGTAGCAAAAGACAACAAAGGTGTGGAAGTGAGTAGCTCTTTGCCTAGTGTCCTGCCCCAAGTCTGGAAAGACAGTAGAGGTCTCACTGGTGTCACCCTCACTGGGAGTCTCCCTCCTCTATGGAATGGTGGAAGACTGTTCTCATCACTCTTTGATAATTTAAATCCCAGATCAGACCTGGGTACAGCTGATAATAATTGTTTCTCAAGCTTTTTCAGTTGATCTACTAGTAGATCTGAATACAGAGCCCAACCTGTAATCCCAGCACTTTGGGAGGCTGAGGTGGATGGATCACTTGAACTCAGGAGTTTGAGACCAACCTGAGCAATGTGGCAAAACCCTGACTCCACTAAAAATACAAAAATTAACTGGGCATGGTGGCATGCACCTGTAGTCTCAGCTACTCAGGAGGCTGAGGCAGGAGGATCACCTGAACGTGGGAGGTCAAGGTTGCAGTGAGCTGTGATCCTGTCATTGCACTCCAGCCTGGGTGACAGAGTAAGACCTCATCTCAAAAAAGAATGCAGAACTCAAGGCCCATGGCAGCATCTATGTAGTGATGGGCTGGTATATTTTTTTTTTTTTTTGAGACGGAGTCTTGCTCTTGTTGCTCAGACTAGAGTACAATGGCACAATCTCAGCTCACCGCAACCTCTGCCTCTTGGGTTCAAGTTATTCTATGGCCTTAGCCTCCCAAGTAGTTGGGATTACAGACATGTGCCACCACGCCTGGCTAATTTTGTATTTTTAGTAGAGATGGGGTTTCTCCATGTTGGTCAGGCTGGTCTGAACTCCTGACCTCAGGTGATCCGCCCACCTTGGCCTCCCAAAGTGCTGGGATTACAGGCATGAGCCACTGCGCCCAGCCTATGCTAGTAAATTTTTAACAACTGGCTCTCCTTGAGGTGGGGGCTGATATGTAGCATTTACCAATTTCCATAGTGTAAATACTCCCACTATAGTTGATTTTGAGCTACCTGAATTTACTGAACATGAAATTGGGAAGAAACACACAGTAACAATTCATTACAAAGTATTTCCATCATACAAATGTAACAGATATAATAACCCAGAAAACATAATAGTAAAATATAAGAAAATAATTAGAAAATGATGATTTTTGAGTATTCAATACTTTTTAAAAATTTTGGTCATATTTATAATTTGATCTTTAATAATGGCCGTGTTTAACTGGCTCACAAAATTCCTGAAAATTTAACAGCCAGCTCTTGGGAGCTGGTACAAACCCACGTCAGCATGCCACTGCTCTTGTGGCCAGCTTAGGAATTTGCCACTGGAACTATGGCAACGAGTCAGGAAGCTGGTATCAATGAGAAGAAAGTGGCCAGTCTAGAAATCATAAAATGCCCAGGAGGATGGGTTCTGGTCACACCGAGAGAGCAGGCCAGGATAGGCTATATCTCTGAGATTCGAATACAGCTGGAATTTTATTCAGTGTACTCAGATGTGCAAAAAAGGACAGGCTTCTTTGTGATTATTCTTATCTTCCTCTAAGGCTTCTATTGCCTCTGGTGGGGGCAGAGGACTTCACTTGTCTATGAAAGGTAACTCAGGAGAACTAATTTTCTTTCCATTTAGTACAGTCTCTTCCAGATGATCTCGGCCCCTCTTGAATAATGGTCTAGTCTTTCCAATCTCTCCCCACCCCCTTGCTTGTTTAGCAAAGCTGGTGCGATATTTGCTAACACTGCCGTAATAAAGTGCCACAGATGGAATGGTTTACACAATAGGAATTTATTGTCTCTCACTTCTGGAGGCTGGAAATCTGAGTTTAAGGTGTTGGCAGGGTTGGTCCCTTCTGAGGGAAGGATCTGTCCCAGGCCTTTGTCCTTGGCTTGTAGCTGGCTGTCTTCCTCCTGTGTCTCTTCACATGGTGTCCTTCCTGTGTGCATCTGTCTCTGACTTCCCTTTTTTTTTTTTTTTTTTTTTTTTTTTTGAGACAGAGTCTCGCTCTGTCGCCCAGGCCGGACTGCGGACTGCAGTGGCGCAATCTCGGCTCACAGCAAGCTCCGCTTCCCGGGTTCACGCCATTCTCCTGCCTCAGCCTCCCGAGTAGCTGGGACTACAGGCGCCCGCCACCGCGCCCGGCTAATTTTTTGTATTTTTAGTAGAGACGGGGTTTCACCTTGTTAGCCAGGATGGTCTCGATCTCCTGACCTCATGATCCACCCGCCTCGGCCTCCCAAAGTGCTGGGATTACAGGCGTGAGCCACCGCGCCCGGCCGACTTCCCCTTTTTATAAGGACACAAATTATGTTGGATCAGGGGCTCACCCTACTTCAGTATGACCTCATCTTAACTAATTATATCTGCAACCACTCTGTTTCCACATAAGGTCACCTTCTGAGGCACTGGAGGTTAGGATTTCAACATAGGAATGGGGCTGGGCACAGTTCAGCCCATAGCAGATGGTATGCGGCTACAGAAGCATCAGGATGGGAAGGCATGTGCTCGTGTCCTTGTGGGGGTGGAGGCCCGGAGGCCGTCTGCCACATCCTTCCCTGTCTTCACTGTAGGGTGGCTGGGCCGGGCTGGGCCCCCACCATCCTATGCCTGCCACTGGCTTGCTCAAGTGAAGCTGGTCCCACCTGGCCCTTTTAGCCCCTACATCTGTGTTTCCTCTGGTCATTTGGTTTTTGCATTTTGTGGCGTCTCATTCTCCCCCAACCTTCTGGAATCCACTGGTTCTAAGGACTCAACCCCTTAGGGCTTTGGGCCCCCCAGCTGCCTCTACATTCACCTTGCAGGGCTCAGGGCTCTGTGAGGCTGTCCGGCAGCCCACCTTCAGCCTGGGGGGCCCATGTTGGACCCGGACCTTCCCTAAGACACTTGAGGAAAGAAAAAACAGCCCCACTGTTCTGGAGTTTCCTAAACTTACCCAACAGGAGCCTTCTAAACCTACCCAAGTGGGGAGTGGGACCTGCTCCCCTTCCCTGCCCCACATACACTATTTGCCTTCTACCTTCTCTCTCCCTCAGCTTCCCACACTGGAGATACAGTCTATTTTCCCCCAGATGAGTGGGTGCTTAAGTTATCTCTACCTAAGGCTCGTAGTAGAAGTCAACATAGAACTCTAAGCTATACTTTTGATCGTTAAAGTGAACTTTTTAGAATTTAGAAAAAAAATTATCTACTCAAAACCAAGTCTTCCTTTCAAGAGTAGTGGCCTTAATTTTTTGATCATGCATTCCTAACAACAAAAAAAACTTAAGCACATACATAAATGTATATTTAATATATTTGTGTATGCCATATATATTAATATATACTTGGTTATATATGTATATATGGTAACATGTATATCTGTATATGGTAGATATACATGTAACACTGTATTAATATATTACATGCGTTATAACACATACATCCCAAAATGGACATTTTAAAAGATAAGGTAAAAAATGAAAATAACAATTCTAATATTTGCTTTCTGTCCCCATTGTGCTGTCTTGGGCACACCCCACTTTAGAGACAATTTTTCACTACTATTGTCTTGCAAGGGATTAAAAAAAATGAATTTGGCAACCAAAACTAAGCAGTGAACTGGTTGTTCCCAACAGTATCTCTCTTTCCCTGAAGCATAGAAACCTGTTGATTAAATGAGTGGAGAGCCACAGAGCATCATGATTTAAGTGGAAAGAAAAATATACCCCTTCAATATATTCAAGAATATAAATTCCATTCCATGGAAACCAAATACAATGGGCTGGCCCTGATTGCTAAGGCCTGAGAGCAAAACAGACTTTCTCAGGAAGGAGAGCGGGAAGGAAGAGCCACCAGGAGGTGCACAGGGAACAGGGCAAAGAGTACTGAGTTCTGTGTGTTGGGAATAAAAAAGGACATGCAGTCGGAATCAGGGCTTCACTGTGTTTCCCATGGGCTGAGCAAATCCCCCTTTTGAATAGCATATGGCATTGCTAGTCCACATGGAAGTCCCCATGTCTGAACACCAGTCCTGATTGTAGGTACAGTCATAGGACATCCTTGTACGTATAGCATTTCCCACATGGGAGCATTTGAGAACCCAGGAAGTCAGAGGAATTAACTATAATTCTGTCCTTGCATTTCAATAAAGACCTCGGACAAAGACTGGGGGATTTCCAGCAACTAGTCACTTACCTTAGATTTGTTATGTTGGTTATGTTGCAGTGTGGTCAAGTAGAAAAGCAGAAAGTTCTTGAATCCTGGCTACTGCTTGTAAGTTAGCTGACTTTGGACAAGTTGACTGTGCTAAGCCTTGGTTTCCTGTCCATAAAATGGCCCAATACTAAATAATACAATCTATACATAGTGTCTATCATATCGCATGGCACACAGTAGGCATTTAGCAATCCCCATTAAAGTTAGCCAATAGGCAAAGGACAGACTTAATAAAAGTTTCCCCTCAAATTTCCTAGCATCTCCTACCTGCCTGATGCCTGCCCCTCCAACCAAATCTTGGAGGGGTTAAAGTGGTCTGTTTAAAAAAAAAAAACTTTTTAGGAATGTTTGACTTTTTAATTAACTTTAAAATTAATACAATTTTTGCATAAGAAACGACAATCATTAGGAAAATTACCAATGAGTTTTTTTGTGTTTTGTTTTGAGATGGAGTCTCACTCTGTCACCCAGGCTGGAGTGCAATGGCACAACCTTGGCTCACTGCAACCTCCACCTCCCAGGTTCAAGTGATTCTCTACTTCAGCCTCCAGAGTTGCTGGGATTACAGGCGCCCACCACTATGCCCGGCTAATTTTTGTATTTTTAGTAGAGACGGGGGTTTCACCATGTTGTCCAGGCTGGTCTCAAACTCTTGACCTCAAGCGATCCACCTGCCGCGGTCTCCCAAAGTTCTGGGATTACAGATCTGAGCCACCGTGCCCAGCACCAATGAGCTTCTTACCATGTTTATTTTGAACCATCTCCCCTCCACTTCCATAGTATTTGCATCTGGATTTGATGCGAACTCCCCAATCATGATACATTCACGTTTTTTATATGAAGCTCTTGAAAATCTGACCATCCTCAAAATCAAAAGGAGTGTATGAGGCCAGGTGTGGTGGCTCAGGCCTATAATCCCAGCACTTGGGGAGGCCAGGGTGGGAGATGGCTTGAGTCCAGGAGCCTGAGCAACATAGACCCTGTCTCCACAAAGAAACAAAAACAAAAAAAATTTTTTTTAACTTGAAAAGATGTGTGTCACCCATCCCCAAACCTGGGACTTCAGGCTGTACGGCAGATGGTAGAAGTACTTATGTGAAGGCTGTGGGTGGGAGGAGACACTTCTCACTGCTGCTTGCAGCTGAACCTGCAGTAGCTCCCTACTGGAGGTGCAGGCATAAACCTGGCAAAGCCTCTATTGGGCCTGAAATGTCAGCAAACAGCCGCCACCTGTAGTTACTCGTGTGGGTACCAGCGCTATCCTCAGATGGCCTCTCTCACGGTCTCCCTGGAGGTGTGCTGGGTTCCGGGGGAATCACAGCTGAGCTGAGCCACTGGAGTCGGCTCACCAGATTTGCACAGAGCTGGCCTTCCAGGAAGTGGGGCAGCAAACTGGCAGGTGGGTGACGAGGGTGGCAGGACAGGCGGTTGAAGCTGGGGATTGGAAATAATCCTCCTGGAGGTGTTTCTGGAAGGACAGATCTGTGGTAAGCATCACAGTGAGGGGCTTGGGCAGCCGAGAGCAGCTGGTGATGCGCAGGGAAGGAGGTGCCTGCTCCTATTTCTACTAAAGCCTACTCTGTTTATTTTTACTAAAATGTTTTAAAAATAAAATGTATAAAAAGACGAAGTTTTGAAAATTACAACACAGGCATGGTCTTTCTGCCCCCACGTTTGTCTTCACGTCTCTAGGGCGACCTGTTGGAGGCCCTCGTGGGCTCTGGCGGAGTGAGAAACACTGCCACCTGCTGGGCCTTTTGAGAATGTCAGTGAACTCCGCCCGCCAAACCCAGTTCCAAACCTTCCCCTCAGTTGCAGGTTCCGAGATCTGTGGCAGGCTTTGCCACTGGCCCCAGGAAGGAGTTACTCAGCTGACCAGAATATAGAGATAATCAGCTAGACCTTGTTTTTTACCTTGAAGAGAACTGGATTAAGTGAAAATTTCAATACTTGCCTCCTGAAATAATCTATTTTGTCCTACAATTTTATTGCCTCCATAGAAATGAATACAGCCAAATAGCACTAGATTAGATAAGCAGAACTGTCCTTTAATAGCTTCAGCCTTATCAGCTACGGGACATGGGGCAACCTTCAATTTAGTAGTTATATCTACCACACAGAATTATTTTAAGGATCCAAAAATCTTGGCACATAGTAAATGCTCAATAAATATTAATAGTAGCTCTTATTCTTTTTTATTTTTTGACACGGTCTCATTCTGTTGCCCAGGCTGGAGTGCAGTGGCACAATTATAGCTCACTGGAGTCTTGAATTCCCAGGCTCAATTAATCCTCCCACTTTAGCCTCTTGAGTAGCTGGGACTAAATCGTGCCTCGCTAATTTTTGTATTTTTTGTAAAAACGGGGTGTCGCCATGTTGCCCAGGCTGGTCTCCAACTCCTGGGTTCAAGCTATCATCTGCCTTGCCCTCCCAAAGTGCTGGGATTACAGACATGAGCCATGGCACCTGGTTTTATTATTCTTAATTTGGTTCTAAAATACTATATAATCTAAGAAGATGGTAATATTAACCCATTATTAACCTAATATTTGGTCAGGGAGTGTATTTTAGATAAGCCTCTTTGTTCTCTTTGGCTAGGGTTCGGTCCTAAGTGAGGCATAGATCATGGGAATATTCTATGATGATGGAAATGGGCTATGCCAGCCCTACCCACTCTGTTATGCAGGGTCATCCTGCTCTACCATTCTCATTTTCTCGAAAAACAAAAAAAGAAACCAAAAAAGCACACACACATTGCAACATACACCAAGAACTCTGACCAGAATGTGCTGACCAGAAAAACTACAGCTGACACGTGGAGGAGAGGAGATAAAGGCTGTGAGGATTTCTTTTTTTCTTGAACCCCGGAAGGCCAATGTGTCTGGGCACGTTTACTTCTGGCCTTAGAATTTTAATGTAAGCCACTAATTAAAGTTCAGATGTGATTCACCAGCACATTAAAACAAAACAAAACAAAAACCCCTAATATATTGAAACAAGTGAGAGGAGGGTGGATGATGAGAAATTACTTAATGGGCACGATATACATTATTCTGGTGATGAATGCATTGAAGCCCAGACTTCACCACTAACAAGATACCCATGTAAGAAAATTGCATTTGTCACAGCCATAAAAAAGAACGAAGTCATTTCCTTTGCAGCAACATGGCTGCAGCTGGAGGCCATTATCCTAACGCATAGGAATTAATGCAGGAAGAGAAGAGCAAATACTGCATGTTCTCACTTATAAATGGGAGCTAAACATTCCACTCTCATGGACATAGAGATGGCAAAAATAGACACTGGGGGCTGGGTGCGGTGGCTCATGCCTGTAATCCCGGCATTTTGGGAGACTGAGGCAGGCAGATCACCTGAGGTCAGGAGTTCAAGACCACCCTGGCCAACATGGTGAAACCCATCTCTACAAAAATTAGCCGCGCATGATGGCGGGTGCCTGTAATCCCAGCTACTTGGGAGGCTGAGGCAGGAGAATAGCTTGAACCCAGGAGGCAGAGGTTGCAGTGAGCCGAGATCATGCCATTGCACTCCAGCCTAGGCAACAGAGCAAGATTCCGTCTCAAAAAAAACAAAAAACCCCCCCAATCCAAAAAAAGAAAAAAAAAATAGACAATGCAGACTGCTAGTGTGGGAGGGAGGGAGAAGGGCAAGGGTTGAGAAACTATTGGGTACTATGCTCACTGCCTGGGTGACAGGATTGATCATATCCCCAACCTGAGCACCATGCAATGTGCCTGGGGAACAAACCTGCACATGTACCCCCTGCATCTAAAATAAAACTTGAAATTATTTTTTAAAAGAGAAAAGAAAATTGCATTTGTGCCCCTTAAATTTATGCAAATAAAAAAGAAACATATTGAAACAAAGCAAAACAAAAATTAGAGAGGCCATCTAACGGCAAAGCCCTGTGTGCTGGGGAGTGCAGGGGGTGGGGGAATGGAGGAGAAGATGTTACAGGAAAGGGGTCCCCATCTAGACTCCAAGAGAGGGTTCTTGGATCTCATGCAAGAAAGAATTCAGGGCCAGCCCACAGTGCAAAGCAAAAACAAATTTATTAAGAAAGTAAAGGAATAAAAAGATGACTACTCCATAGACAGAGCAGCCCCGAGGGCTGCTGGCTGCCCATTTTTATAGTTATTTCTTGATGATATGCTAAACAAGGGGTGGATTATTCATGCCTCCCCTTTTTAGACCATATAGGGTAACTTCCTGACGTTGCCATGGCATTTGTAAACTGTCATGGCACTAATGAGAGTGTAGCAGTGAGGATGACCAGAGGTCACTCTTGTGGCTATCTTGGTTTTGGTGTGTTTTGGCCAGCTTTTTTACTGCAACCTGTTTTATCAGCAAAGTCTCTATGACCTGTATTTTGTGCCGCCCTTTTACCTTATCCTGTCATTTAGAATGTCTTAACCGTCTGGGAATGCAGCCCAGTAGGTTTCAGCCTCATTTTACCCAGCTCCTGTTCAGAGTTGCTCTGGTTCACAGGCCTCTGACAGGACCACAATAGGAAACTCACTTAGCTAAACATCTGCCAAGACAGTGAGAGAGAAAAGAGGAGGGGAGGGAGAGGGAAGGTAAGAGAAAGTGAGAACAAGGTTCTGTAGAGCCAGGAAACCACCCCCTGAGCAGCTCCCTTTCTCTGCAAGACTTGCAGTGGAGGGCATGAAGCATAACCAGATGCAGCTCCTCTGTGAGGAGACTCAGGGCCTAGGACTGTTCCTTGGCGTTCAAACTGTTGCAGGATTGTACCTGAGCCTCAGCCCTTGATAGTTTTCATCAGATACCCTCCTGGCCTGATGTGAAACCAGGCAGCACTCCATTCATACACAAGTTTCCCCTTTGTTCACAGAGGTGCAATCTACACAAAACGCGCAGTGAAAATGTGCACATGTTTTTAGGGGGAGACTTTGTGTTGGCATATCCCAACTTAGGAATCCATTGAACTGAGCATTGCAGGTATGTACTCATATAAATTATGTCCTGTGAAAAATAGGAAAGAAGAGCACATCTGATCACTGTAAAAGCAGTTAATTCGGGCCAGGCGCGGTGGCTCACGCCTGTAATCCCAGCACTTTGGGAGGCCGAGGCGGACGGCTCACGGCTCATGGAGTCAGGAGTTTGAGACCAGCTTGGCCAATATAGTGAACCCCCGTCTCTACTAAAAATACAAAAATTAGCCGGGCACGGTGGCATGCGCCTGTGGTCCCAGCTACTCGGGAGGCTGAGGCAGAAGAATCACCTGAACCCGGGAGGTGGAGGTTGCAGTGAGCAAAGATTGCGCCACTGCACTCCAGCTTGGGCAACAGAGACTTCATCTCAAGGAAAAAAAAAAAAGCAGTTAATTCTTAATTTTTTTTTTTTAAACAGGGTCTCACTGCAACCTCTGCCTCCTGGGTTCAAGTGATTCTTGTGCCTCAGCCTCCCAAGTAGCTTGGACTACAGGTGCCCGCCACCATGTCTGGCTAATTTTTGTATTTTTTGCTAGAGACAAGGTTTCACCATGTTGGCCAGGCTGGTCTCAAACTCCTGACCTCAAGTGATTTGTCCACCTTGTCCTCCTAAAGTGCTGGGATTACAGGCATAAGCCACTGCACCCAGCTGTAAAAGCAGTTAATTCTATCTTGTAGTCTCATGAATGGGCATTGTTGACAGACGAAAGACCACCCTCAAATTCAACCAATCATAACTCAGCAATGCCCAACACCTGTCATTGGGGTTTAGTGACTGAACCTGGGCTTAGCTGCTTTGTTATAAGCAAATTAGATGAATTGAAAGAGTTGAATCATTTGTGCTTGTTAACAGCAATTAAACAAAACAAGAGATTGCAGTAAGAGAAAAAAATTGAACCAGGTCATTCACAAGGTAAAGAAGCCAGCTTTGGCAGGTTATAGCTTGTTTATGTGTGACTTCAGCCTTAGGTAGTTGTAATATAATCAAGGGATGGAGTAGGGTCAGGAGTATAGCCTGCAAGTTCTTTAGGAAGTGTATGACATGCATTTTATTTCAATGCTAATCTAAAATCATAGCAACGTGAGCATAATTTGGTTCATTTTTATGTCCACTCTGAATTTATGACAGATTTCTACCATGTGACTTCAAAGTGATGCTTTGCATATATGTTTATGATTACCTTGGGGCCATATGATTATCCAAAGTGACAAACTTTAAATTTTCCAAAATAGACTTTTTTTTGAGACAGAGTCTTGCTCTCCTGCCCAGGCTGGAGTGCAGTGGCGCAATCTTGGCTCACACAACCTCCGCCTCCCGGGTTCAAGTGATTCTCCTGCCTCAGCCTCCCGAGTAGCTGGGACTACAGGCGTGCACCACGATGTCTGGCTAATTTTTGTATTTTTAGTAGAGATGTGGTTTTGCTATGTTGGCCAGGCTGGTCTCGAACTCCTGACCTCATGATCTGCCTGCCTCAGCCTTCCAAAGTGCTGGGATTACAGGTGTGAGCCACTGTGCCTGGGCTTTTTTTTTCTTTTTTGAGACAGGCTCTCACTCTCTCACCCAGACTGGAGTGCAGTGGTGCGATCTTGGCTCACTGTAGCCTCAAACTCCTGGGCTCAGGGGATTCTCCTTCCTTGGCCTCCGAAATAGCTGAGACTACAGGCACACACCACCACACCTGGCTAATTTTTAATTTTTATTTTGTAGAGTTGGGATCTCTCTATGTTGCCCAGGCTGATCTCAAACTCCTGGGTTCAAGTGATCCTCCCACCTTGACCTCCCAAATTGCTAGGATTACAGGCATGAGTCACCATGCCTGCCTGACTTCATTTTTTAGAGCAGTTTTACATTCACAGTAAAATTGAGCAGAAGGTACATAGTGCACATATGCCTCCTCCCACGACGTGCAAAGCCTCCACCACCACCCACATCCCACACCAGAGTGGTACTTTTGTTATAATCAATGAACCTATCACACATCACTACCACCCAAAGTCCATTGTTTACATTTGGATTCACTCTTGCTGTTATACATTCTACGGGTTTTAGCAAATGTGTAATGACATGTGTCCACCATTATAGTATCATATGGAGTAGTTTCACTGCCCTAAAAATCCTCTGTGCTCTGCCTATTCATCCTTCTCCATCCCTTAGCTCCTGGCAACCACTGATCTTTTTATTGTCTCCATAGTTTTGCCTCTTTCAGAGTATCATGTAATTGGAGTCATACAGTATATAGCATTCTCAGATTGGCTTCTTTTGATTAGTAATATGCACTTAAGTTTCCTCCATGTCTTCATGGCTTGATAGATCATTTCTTCTTAGTGCTGAATCATATTCCATCAAATGGATGTACCACAGTTTATAAGAGTTTAACTTTTAATGCAATCTTTTTCAAATTAAAGTATTCTAAAGGACTCCTCAAGTTATAAATTGGCTGAACACTTGGTTTAAGTTCCTGGAGAGCTTTATAAAGCTTTATAACTCCTTGCAGCATAATGAGGTCACAGGGTAAACCCATGGATGTTCAAATCTCAACATAGAGTGTAGAAGCATCTTCTATGTTCACTGAAATTCCTTTCCGTTTCTTCCTAGGTACTCAGGTAGGCTCACTGTCCCAGCCTCCCTTGCATTTAGATGTAGCCAGTTCATTCTGGCTAATGAACTGTGAGTGGGAGTGGTCAAAATGGTTAAGAAATTAATGTGTCAAGATAACCAGACAGGTCAGTATAGAAAAGTCAATTGTATGTCTTTGGAAAGTGAAATTGCAAAAATAGTTCCCTTGTCAATAACATCAAAAAACACTAGCTAGGAATAAACAACAAAAGATATGTAAGACTTCTATACCAAAAACTACAAAAAAAGAGGCATATACTACTATGTCCATGGATTGAAAGAATATTATAAAGCTGTTAACTTCCCCAAATTTATTTATAGATTCAATTCAATTCCAATCAAAATCCCAGCAGACTTATATGTGTACATGTAAAAACTGATAAGCAAATTTTGAAATGCAAAGTGCTAAGCACAGCAAAGACAATCTTGAGGAAGAACAAAGATAGAAGATATAAAGCACTGATTTTTAAGCTACCATAACTAAAAGTGCATGATAGCAGAGAGAGCATAAACAAATAGACCAATATAATAAAATAGAGTCCCCAAATGGACCCACACATAAACAGTCACCTAATTTGCAACAAAGTTCCCACTGCAATGAAGTGGGAGGAAGAATGGTGTTATTCAACCAGGAAAAAACAAACCTTGATCTCTACATCATATCAAACGCAAAAATAAATTACAGATAAATCATAGACCTACATGTGAAAGGCAAAATAATAAAGCTTCTAAAAGATAACATAGAATATCTTCATGACCTTGAGGTAGACAAAGATTTCTTGAATGGTTCACAAAAAAATACTAACCATAAAAGAAAAGATTGACATTTCATAATTTTGTTAACGTTCAAAACTTCTGTTTATCAAGAATACCATGTAGAGAGTGAAAAGGAAAGCTCCAGAGTATGAGAGTATATCTGCAATACATATACTTGACAAAGAATTCATATCCAGAATATATAAATAACTTCTTCAAACCAATAAGAAAAGAACAGACTTCCCAATAGAAAAGTAGGCCAAAGCCTTGGACAGGAAATTCCCAAAACAGAATATCAAAATGGCTAATGAACCTATTAAAAGAGTCCTCAATAACATTAGTCATTAGGAAAATGCAAGTTAAAACCACAAGGAGACATCACTGCAGCCATACCAGCATAGCTAAATGAAAAAGAGACAATACCAAGTGTCAGCAAGGAGGTGGAGCAACTGGAAGTCTCATGCAATGCTGACGGGCATGTGGATTTGTCTAATCACTTTGGAAAACTATTTGCCAACATATACCAAATCTTTGCATATGTATGCCCTATGACCCAGGAATTCTACTTCTAGGTACATGCCCAACAGAAATGTACACGTACGTGCACCAAAAGACACATTCATAATAGCTTTATTGATAATAGCTTAAAACGGAAAACAACCTAATGCCCATTAGTAGTAGAATGAATGAATAAATCATGGTATGTTCATGCAATGGAATATTATACAGCAATGAAAGAGAATGAACTGTTGCTTCACGTCACAGTATGGATGAATCTCCCAAAGTGTTTTACGAAAGAAATGAGTGTACCTTCCTCATGCTGTCTTTTTTCATCTGCCAACTAAACGGCCAAGACTCCAAGGACCTAGAAAAGGATGGAGCCACAAAGTAGAGAGAGCTTGGGGGACCCTGAATGACTATGTGGGAGGCTTACCTGGCCAGGAACAGTCACCTTGTATTGTGACGAGTGAAAATAACTTTTATTGTGTTAATCGACTGAGAATTTGGATCATCTGTTACAGCAGCCAGCATTCATTCTCCTAGGTGGTAAATAGGGCAAAACACATTATGTGATAACAGATGGTACCATCAGAATGTGCTGGAGAAGCTCATGAGAAGAGAGCCTACCAGGAGCTGGCATGGACAGGAAAGGTCTCTTACCTTCAACAAGAGCTAGAACTCAGATGGAACGCTGAGCTTAGATAAGTGACTAGAGAGAGCAAGATCCTACTGTCAGAGGCATGCGAACGAGAACAACTCCATCTTGAATAGGGGCTGGGTAAAATAAGGCTGAAACCTACTAGGCTGCATTCCCAGAAGGTTAGGCATTCTAGTCACAGGATGAGATAGGAGGTCGGCACAAGACACAGGTCATGAAGACCTTGCTGATAAAACAGGTTGCAGTAAAGAAGCCGGCTAAATCTCACCAGAACCAAGATGGCCACGAGACTGGCCTCTGGTCATCCTCACTGCTACACTCCCACCAGCGCCATGATGGTTTACAAATGCCATGGCAATGACAGGAAGTTATCCTATATGGTCTAAAAAGGGAGGCGTGAATAATCCACCCCTTGTTTAGCATGTAATCAAGAAATAAACACAAAAAATGGGCAACCAGCAGCCCTCGGGGCTGCTCTGTCCATGAAGTAGCCATTCTTTTGTTCCTTTACTTTCCTAATAAACTTGCTTCACTTTACTCTATGGACTTGCCCTGAATTCTTTCTTGTGTGAGATCCAAGAACCCTCTCTTGGGGTCTGGATTGGGTCCCCTTTCCTGTACCACTGCCAGGCGGGGGCAGAGGCACATGCTAAGGACAGGTAGAGAGCACCCAGTTCCTGCACGGGGAAGACAGGGTAGGGCCAGCTTTTGCAGAGGCCCCGTCATGCCCTGAAGGATCTTGGAAAAGAAGGGTTAAAGGCTGTTCTTTCCTTAGTAGAGCTGCCACCCACAATTTGAAATGACATATGTGCTCCGCCTACGCATTCAGGGCAGTTTCATGGGAGATGTGCGTAATTCCTTTAACCTGACAACATGACCTAGTGTCTCCTCTTTATTTTATAATGATCTACTTTTAAGAGAATTTATGGAGTCTGATGAATAGCTTCACATTTTTTCCTTTGAACTCCCAGATGCTGACCATATTCCAAATTCCAGCTGAAGTTCCCAGCCCTTCACCAGAGCCGTCTGGTAAATTTCTAACACTCCCCAGGACATTCCTGTTTCCTGCTGAGAAAGAAGAAAACAACAGTGCTTCCCTGAGGGCGGTTTGCTTCAGCCCCCAGGACTGGAAACTCCATTTTAGGAAAAGTGTTTACAAGGGTATAAAACTCGGAGAGGAAATGGCCTGGGAGTCTCTTGGGAAACCATCTGCGACCCCATCCTAAGGGTTTGCTGCAGAATTCTGTGGCATTCCTCAGCAGTGGGGCTGCCTAGGACATTCACTCTGATTTTGAAAATACATTGAAGTGCAAGTGTGTGTGCCAGTGGGCATCTGAAACAGCCCTGAGAAAATGACAGGCAAAGGTAAAAGAAGTGGGGGAGATAAAGAGAGAAGGAGGGAGGTGAAAGGCCTTTTTCTGCAAAAAGATCTCTTCCATGCATTTGAATATTTTTTAGGTACGGAAATATTCAAACATACAAAAATAGAGAAGATAGTGAAATGAACTACCATGTATTAAGTCATCCGGCTTCAACAAATATCGACATTTTGTACATCTTTTTCACCTATCTGCCCCCTCCTTTTTTTTTGCGGTAGAGCTGGGATTGGTAAATGACAATCCCATGGGCCAAATCCAGCCTGCCTCCTGTTCTTGTAAACAAAGTTTTATTGCAACACGGCCATGCCATTCACTTATGTATTTTCCATAGCTGCTTTTGCAACACAACAGCAAGGCTGAGCAGTCATGATAGAGACCATATGGCCCTCAAAAGCTAAAATATTTGCTATCCGGTCCTTTACAGAAAAAATTTGCTGGCCCCTACACTAGAGTCATTGCTGGGACCATAGGTGTGCACCACCACACCTGGCTAATTTTTATTATTATTATTAGTAGTAGTAGTAGTAGTAGAGTCAGAGTCTTGCTATATTGCTGAGGCTGGTCTTCAATTCCTGGGCTCAAGCGATCCTCCCACCTCAGCCTCCCAAAGTGCCATGATTACAGGTGTGAGCCACTGCACTAGGCTTAGAGTCCTAAAGCAAATACTAGACATCATATTATTTCATCTGGCTTCAAGTTTCCATCTCTAGCAGGTAAGAACTTTATAACTACCATACCAATAATGAAATGACCATGCCTAACAAAATTAGTAATTCCATCACCTCATCTCATTTATAATCTGTGTTGCAAATTACCCTAATATCTTGTGTTTTTTTTTTTTTTAAATAGAAACAGGGTCTCGCTATGTTGCCCAGGTTAGTCTTGAACTCCTGGGCTGAAGTGGTCCTCTCGTCTCGGTCTCCCAAAGTGCTGGGATTACAGGCGTGAGCCACCACGCCCAGCGCCCCCCAATATCTTTAAAAATATCTTTTTACAGTTATTTTTTTTACATCCTGATCTAAATAAAGTTCTCACATTGCATTTGGTTGATATATCTCTTAAGTATTTCTTAATCCGTTGTCATTTCTCCCTTACCCCCTTGCCTTCTTTCAATTACATTTATGTGTTAAAGAAACCAGGTCGTTTGTCCTCTGCAATCCCCACATGCTGGATATGGCTGGTTGAATCCTCACTGCATCATTTATCTCGACCGCAGTGCTTTTTTTTTTTTTTTTTTTGGGATGGAGTCTTGCTCTGTCGCCCAGGCTGGAGTGTAGTGGTGCTATCTCCACTCACTGCAAGCTCTGCCTCCTGGGTTCACACCATTCTCCTGCCTCAGCCTCCCAAGTAGCTGGGACTACAGGCTCCTGCCAACACGCCCGGCAAATTTTTTTTGTATTTTTAGTAGAGACAGGGTTTTACTGTGTTAGCCAGGATGGTCTCGATCTCCTGACCTCGTGATCTGCTCGCCTCGGCCTCCCAAAGTGCTGGGATTACAGGTGTGAGCCACCGTGCCCGGCCAACTGCAGTGCATTTTTAAGTGTCTGGGCCACATGAGGTGAAGTGGGAAAGGCCCCATTGCCCTTTCCAAGGGAGATGGGTGGAAAGATGTAGAATGAGAAGTCAATCGAATCAGACTGAGCATTGCCCCTTCAGGATGTGGAGGAGAGTATCAATTATAGTGACTTCTAAGGCTCGTGTAATGTAAACTGGTCCAGAAAGAATAAAATGTTATTTAACCTAACAAATGTCAGAGCTTATGGTACACAAGGAGTGGGAATAAAATCATATTAACATGAGGAACATCAATAGAATGATACAGGTGAGACACATACCATCTAGAACACTACACTATTTATATAAATTACAAGTACAAACAAAAAACCTCTATCTACTTGACAAGGACCTGCAGCAAACCCCAGAGTGGGTGCCTTTGGAAGGAGGCAGGGTTGGGAGAGACGATTGATGAGGAAAGGAAAAGACCAAGCAGAAGAGGAGGTAGGCCGGGCATGGTGGCTTATGCCTGTAATCCCAGCACTTTGGGAGGCTGAGGCGAATGGATCACCTGAGGTCAGGAGTTCAAGACCAGCCTGGCCAACGTGGTGAAACCCTGGCTCTATTAAAGATACAAAAAATTAGGCGGGCATGGTGGTGCATGCCTGTAATCCCAGCACTTTGGAAGGCCAAGGCGGGCAGATCACCTGAGATCAGGAGTTTAACACTAGCCTGGCCAACACGGCAAAACCCCGTCTCTACTAAACAAAATACAAAAATTAGCTGGGCATGTTTGTGGGCACCTGTAATCTCAGTTACTCAGAAGGCTGAGGCAGGAGAATCGTTTGAACCTGGGAGGTGGAGGTTGCAGTGAGCCAAGATCCTGCCACTGCACTCCAGCCTGGGCGACAGAGTGAGACTCTGTCTCGAAAAAAAAAAAAAAAAAAAAAAAAAAAAAAAAAAAAAGAAGAGGAGGTAGCGATGACCCTTGATGGAAATTCCCTTGAACTGGAGAGAATGATTAACTCAACTCTGCACCAAACAAACAAGCCAACAAGCACTGAGACTGGTCAGTGCTTATCTTGGAATGGTTTGTCACGTTTTTGGGAAAAGCGGTGAACACATCTGTCGCTCCTCTGGCTGGTGAGAAGACTGAACTCCATAGTGATCCCCAACCATACAGTCACCTCGCACTGCAGCATCACAATGGCTCAGCACAGGGGCCTCCACTGGCAGAAGAAAGAATCCCACAAGAGACCTCCTGCTGTAGCCAAGGAGGGGCTAAGGAACCCTGGACCAGGGGATATGGAAAAGTCAGTTGCCTGGAAAGAGGAAAACTTGGAGTACAGAAGAGAAGTTAAAAGAGAAAGACAGAAAGCAGCCTACAGCCCCACCACCTTATTTTGAAGGCCCAGGATTGCAGTTCTTATGGGTTGAATTGTGTTTCTTCCACAGAGGATAGGCTGGAATCCTCACCACCAGCACTTCATGATGTGACCCTATCTGGAGACAGGGTCTTTTTGTATTGTTTGTTTTTGGAGATAGGGTTAAACAAGTTAAAATGAGATCATTAGTGTGAACTCTAATTGACTATGACTGGTGTCCTTCTAAGAAGGGGAAATTGGCCGGGTGTGGTGGCTCACACCTATAATCCCAGCACTTTGGGAGGCTGAGGTGGGCGGATCACTTGAGGTCAGGAGTTCAAGACCAGACTGACCAATATGGTCAAACTCTCTCTTTAGTAAAAATACAAAAATTAGCTGGGCATGGTGGTGGGCACCTGTAATCCCAGCTACTCAGGAGGCTGAGGCAGGAGAATCACTTGAACCCGGGAGGCAGAGGTTGCAGTGAGCCCAGATTGTGCCATTGCACTCCAGCCTGGGCGACAAGAGTGAAACTTTGTATCAAAAAAAAAAAAGGGTAGGGTGGTGGGGGAATTTGCACACAGACATGTCCACAGGAGAACACCACGTGCAGATGGGAGTGATGTTGCCACACACCAAGGAACTAGAGCCAAGGAAGAGAGGCTTGGAACAGATCCCTCCCGAGCACCTTCCGAGTGAGTGAGCATGGCCCCGCTGGGACCTTGAGTGTGGACTTCCTGTCTCTAGAACTGTGAGACAGTAAATGTCTGTTGTAAGCCACCCAGTTTGTGGTACTTTGTTATTGCAGCCCTGGGCAGCTTGTGCAGCAACTCTCTCCCCTTATGTTGCTTTTGAGGCGATGACAGCGTTGTGTAGTTGAAACTCCTGCTCCTCCCACGGCACCGGATCTTCGAAGAACCACCTGGCCATCCACAAAGGATGGCTGACATCACCTCAGCCCCCTGGGGAGGATAGCAAGGCAGGTTCACAGAGAAAACCCCGTCAGGCATCCTAAAGGGACACTGGTGAAATGTCACAGCCCCTGTGTCATCGGGGGTGGTGGCAGCACAGGACTGATAGTTTGCGGTCAGCAGAGAAGATGTCCCTGGTCAGGAAAGAGCAATTCTCTGCTCACCTCAAAGGGACAAGGGATGAGGTGGGAAGGGGGAGGCTGCCACACCTGCGTTACGTGAACTGATAACACCTGGGCTCCAGAGCGCCCCGACCTAAAATGACCACAGCTGATTGAGAAAGCTGAGGACTGGGCTGGAGATTATGCATCTGCGCATGCTTTTTTAGTTCATTCTGTGGGAGCAACTTTTGGAGAATTGGAACAGATCGGGGGCGAATCAGGGGAAGGCAACTCTGAGGGGAACGTTCAGGGGAATTTAGAAGAAGGATGATAATGTAGGTGCAGAAGTCATTGCAGCCCGCCCCTTGAACTCGTCTCAGGAAGGTGTGCACTGGACGAGTCAAACAAGGTGCTGCACTTGAGCCTGAGTCTGGGTGCAGCAAGCTCCGCAGAGGCAGCGACTGTATCCTTGAATGGCTGGGATTGCTGGGGCCACTGCTGCCTAAGCAGGTCTGGAAATGGGGGTACAGCAAAAAGCTGTTTTATTGGGGTGTGTGTGTGTTTTGAGACAGGATCTTGCTCTGTTGCCCAGGCTGGAGTGCAGTGCCATGATCATAGCTCACTGCAGCCTTGAACTCCTGGGCTCAGGTGATCCTCCTGCCTCAGCCTCCCAAGTAGCTGGGACTACAGTTGCACCACCACACCCAGCTAATTTTTTTATTTTTATTTTTATTTTTGTAGAGATAGGGGTCTCATTATGTTGCCCAGTCTGGTCTCCAACTCCTGGCCTCTGGTCTCCAACTCCTGGCCTCAAGCAATCCTCCCACCTTGGCCTCCGAAGTGTTGGAATTACAGGCATGAGCCACTGCTCCTAGCCTGAAAGCTGTTGTTTTTATCCACCAGCTTCTCCCCCTCCCTTGCTACCTACCCACATTTGAGGGTTAGTGCAGGCCTCCTTCCCTTGGGGAAGGTGATCCTGATGAGGCTGCCAATCACAGTTCCCTTTCTTCCCCCTCACTTCAGCCCAAGAGGCAGGCATGAGACCCAAGCCTAGCCAATCAGAGCTCTTTATTGGGAGTTACGTCTTCTAAAGCAAGAAGTCCTCTCCCTCCTTAGGATGGCCAAACTGACATGATATGAGCCTAGAGCTGCCTGTAGCCATGTTGAGCCTAGCCCAGTCACAAATTCTGGGTCACTAAAGGTTAGTGAGAATCCTGATGACAACATATAAATATTTTTATTCTGTCCCTGCCCAACCTGTGGACACATGTCTGAGACCTAAGGAGAGAGATGGCTGTGAGTAAAAAGTGAGATCTCAGTAAAATCTCTACAGACCTCCAGGGCAAGGGCAGTGCATTGGAGAGGAGAGAAGCATCTTGCTACCACTTCAACATAGAGCAGCTCCAGCTTTGGTCCAGTGAGTTCTGCAGGGTGAATAGCTGGAAAGTGGGCCATGGCCCATGGGAGACTTTGGTGCTTGGCAGGGGCACGAGTTCCAGTGGCAACACCATCTCCTGGCAGGAGATGGTGGTATCTTGAAAACCATAGGAAGTACTGGGTGAGAGAGCAAAACAGCACTCAGGGAGAACAGTCTTGTACACACACACACACACACACACATACACGTGAGACTGGTCCCTCTTCTCATGATTCACAAACATACTTCTTATTTTTCTATGGGGGTGGGATGTGTGGGATGGTTGATTAACAGAAGATTGCAGGTATAGGTCTGGCTTCAGCAGATAAGGCAAGAGCCAGTGAAATCTGAGTTTTGGGGTTTTGTATGAGACAGGGTCTCACTCTGTCACCCAGGCTGGAGTGCAGTGGTACACTCACTGCTCACTGCAGTCTTGACCTCTTGGGCTCAAGTCAGTCATCCTCCTGCCTCAGCCTCCTGAGTAGCTGGGATTACAAGTGTGTGCCACCACACCCAGTTAATTTTTAATTTTTTTTGTAGATCTGGGGTTTTGCTCTGTTGCCCAGGCTGATCTTGAACTCCTGTGTTCAAGCAATCTTCCTGCCTCAGCCTCCCAAAGTGCTGAGATTAAGGGCATGAGACATCGTGCCCAGCCATGGAATCTGAGTGTTATTCTTGCTGTGTCCCCTATTGTTCCCATAGGCTGAGGTGGCCTGGGAAACTCAGGTTATATTTGGGTAACCTCAGTAAAGTTGGCCAACTAATGGCCAGTGTTTTGCTTATCTACTGCTGTGTAACAAATTACTCCAAAACATGGAGATTTAAGTAACAGTGAATATTTTTTATCTCTCACAGGTTGGGGATTTGGAAATGACTTAGCTGAGTGGTTCTGACTCAGGGGTCTCATGAAGCCATAGCACAATGTTGGTCAGGGCTGTAGGATCCACTTCTAAGTAGCCTCACTCACATCGCTGGCAAATTATGCTTGCTCAGGGAGTGGGGGTGGGAGCTCAGTTCTTCCCCAAGTGGACTTCTCCATGGGAAGGCTTGAGTATCCTCACAACATGGCAGCTGACTTACCAGAGAGCAAGTGATCCAACTGAGCAAGATGGAAGCCACAGTGAGGGTTATAGCATTGGAAGTTCAACTCTTTCTTTTCTGCAATATCCTATTATTACATAATTCATCCCAACTCAGTGTGGGAGGGGAAGACACAAGAGCATGAACATCAGGAGGCAAGGCTCACTGAGGGCTTTCTCAGAAGCCGGCTGCTACAGCATGGCATCATATTCAAAAGCAGCACCAGTTTGACATCCAAAAGCACTGAAAAGCCATTGAAGTCTCTACCGAAGAAGTATGGGAAGAAGGAAAGACATTGCAGAATGCCCAGTAGAAGTTCAAAAGTTCCTCTTCACTCTTCAATTTTCCCAGTTTTCTCATCACAGCAATTGCTTCCCCAAATCTCTTCTTTCAAACTAACTGAAATTTTCACATCTCTCCTGTTACCCCCTCGCCACCTCCGTTATATAGATCGAATCAACCTCTCCTGACTCTCCACCCTCCCACTTACCCTGAAGCCCCAAGAACCAGGTAGGCAATCACAGGCACTCCTGAGTGAGGCCTAGGAAGTGTAGGAAGAGGGAAGGCAGTGAAGAATGATATACTAACATTTTGTGTCAGTATCACATGTATATCCTAAGTGCCTAGTATGGTGCCTAGAATACAGCAGGTGCTCAATACATGTTGGTGAATTAATGGATAGAGACATTTAACAAATTCTAGATGAAAATGCTGGTATTCAGTGGTAATAATATAGCAACAAGTTTCCATATGAAACACAAAAATGCTATGCTACTATCTTCTTTTAAAATGTCCATGATAGGCTGGGCATGGTGGCTCACGCCTGTAATCCTAGGACTTTGGGAGGCCGAGGCAGGTGGATCATTTGAGGTCAGGAGTTCGAGACTAGCCTGGCCAACATGGTGAAACCCTGTCTTTACTAAAAATAAAATTAAAAAAAAATTAGCCAGGTATGGTGGCACATGCCTGTAGTCCTAGTTACTTGGGAGGCTGAGGCAGGAGAATCGCTTGAACCCGGGAGGCAGAGGTTGCAGTGAGCTGAGATTGCACCACTGCGCTCTAGCCTGGGTGACACAGCAAGACTCCCACCTCCAAAAAAATCAAGAAATAAAAGTCCATGATAAGAATATGTAATGTTGCCATACACACGTGCATGCACACACACACGCACATACACGTGTGTGTGTGCGTGTGTGTGTGTGTGTGTGTGTATAGAGAGAGAGAAAGAGAGAGAGAGAGAGAGAGGGTCTTACTCTGTTGCCCAGGCTGGAGTGCAGTGGTGCAATCATGGCTTATTGAAGCCTTGGCCTCCCAGGCTCAAGTGATCCTCCCACCTCAGCCCCCTGAGAAGCCAGGACTACAGGCGTGTGCCACCATGCTTGGCTAATTTGTAAATTTTTTGTAGGGACAGGGTCTTGCTTGTTGCCCAGGCTGGTCTCAAACACCTGGGTTCAACCAATCCTTCCACCTCGACCTCTCAAAGTGTTGGGATTACAGGCGTAAGTCACCGTGCCTGGACTGTATATTTTGTGTGTGTGTGTGTTCTCTGAACAAGCTTCTTGAAAGCAGGATCTGTGTTTTATTCACCCTTATATCCCCAAAGCCTGGCAATGCCTGACTTGGAGTAGGCAGGAATTTTGTCAGTAATGTACTGAGCATTCACAACATGTGTCAGACACTCTTCCAGGGCTGATACGCATAGTAACTCTTAATTCTCATAATCACCTAATGCGGTTGGTTATATTATCATTTCCATTTTTTAGATTACAAAATGGGGCATGAAGAGGTTGAGTAACTTGCTGGAGGTTATGAAGTAAGAGCTGAGATTTAGACCAGGGCTGTTTTGTTCTAGAGCCCACGACCATCCTCTACCACATCTGCAGTGTTTGTAGAACTGAATTAAAGATGAGTGAGTAGATCTGTCAAACTTGTGCCAGGGAAAGCCCATAAGCTTACACCAGACACAGCTAGAAAGACATTGAGGAAGTCCTGGAAACCACCAGTGTGTTTTTAGGTGACTCATGGAGGCAAGAGAGCAAGTTGCAATGTCTCCGAGGGTAGTTGGTTTAGGAAAGGATGAAATATGTCAGAAAAATCTATGTACATAAATAAAACCAAGCAGCTGTGTTCACATTAAGATCCAAACGGAAACCCAGCTGAAGTAGGAGCCGTTGGATCTGTCCCACCAACCTGTTGTGAGCATGAGCTAGGTAAATATTTGGCTGATACAAGGTCCATCACAGGTTAATAGCTCTGGTCATTACCAAGCCTGGTTATGCTGGAATTGCATGTAGTCTCAACTGGACACTCATGTTTAAGCACAATTTAAAAAATCACCAAGGGAAACCAGGAAGCAACACTTCTATTTGGGAAGTCAACTAATGGAAAGTTTTCTAAAATAAGTAACACAGCTTCAGCTTCAGCAATGGGATTTGTGACATCCCTCCCGTGTCACAGTTAATGTCTACCTTGTTTAATACCACATAATAGTACTTTTAGCCTTCAGAACCTTGAAACTGCATAACTACTGGAACAGTTTAAAAAGAATGAGAACATAATGATTTCATACAGCCCATACGTTTCCCAAATAAGTAAAGGGAAGCTGACTTACGGCAATGAGAGGCGGTGTGGTAACCCGGAGAAACTAGGCTGTCGGTGGGACACATGGGTGTGAATCAGCTCTGCTACTTACATGCTCTGTGTGTCTCCGCAGGACACTTAACCTCTTTGAGCCTTACTTTCGTCATCTGGAAATCAAGAGGGTTGCCCTAGATAATTCTAAGGACCGGCCCAGCTGAAGGTTTGTGAGTGCATGAGAAGCCTGCGGTGGGTAAGGTTATGGTGTCAGCTTCCACGTGGTCTGCGTATACAGTGAAGCCCACGTGCCCTGCTCCATTTGGAGAGGCAGCTTGGCCAAGGTGTAGAATTGGAATCATCTGCATTGGAAGCTGCCTTTTGAAAGTGCTAGCAGTGTGCCCCAAGCGCTTGTTTTCTGATGGAGCTGATCTGCCCTGCCCAAGCACTAACTGGGAAGCTCTTACCCTTATTTTCCCTTTGCCCCAATTCCTTTAACTTTTTTTTTTTCTTTTTTTTGAGATAGAGTCTTGCTCTGTTGCCCAGGCTGGAGTGCAGTGGCATGATCTCGGCTCACTGCAAGCTCCGCCTCCCAGGTTCACACCATTCTCCTGCCTCAGCTTCCTGAGTAGCTGGGACTACAGGCGCCCGCCACCACGCCCGGCTAATTTTTTGTATTTTTAGTAGAGACGGGGTTTCACCGTGTTAGCCAGGATGGTCTTGATCTCCTGACGTCGTGATCTGCTCGCCTCGGCCTCCCAAAGTGATGGGATTACGGGCTTGAGCCACCGCGCCCGGCCCCTTTAACTCTTTATCTCTTTTTATGGTGTGTATTTTTCTAAGCACCTCAAAAAGATTTCATAAGATATGAAATAAAGTGAGAGTATAAAGCTATTCTTTTTTTTAATCCTCCAAAGTGAGTTGTTTTTGTAGGCTAATCATAGAACTATTGTATGACCTGGCAATCCCACTTCTTGGTATATACCCAAGAGAACTGAAAGCAGGGACCTGAACAGATATTTGTACACAATGTTCATAGCAGCATTATTCACAATAGCCAAAAGGCAGAAACCACCCAAATGTCCCTCAACAGATGAATAAACAAAATGTGCTATATTCATACAATGAAATAGTATTCAGCCATAAAAAAGAAATGCAATATTGATATATGCTAAAATATTGATAGACATTGAAAACATTATGCTTAGTGAAATAATCCAGACAAAGAAAAACAAATATTATATGATTCCCACTTATATCAGGTACCCAGAATAGGCCAATTCGTAAGGCAGAAAATAAGATAGAAGGCCGGGTGCTGTGGCTTACACCTGTAATCCCAACACTTTGGGAGGCCGAGGCAGGTGGATAACTTGAGGTCAGGAGTTCCAGACCAGCCTGGCCAATATGGTGAAACCCTATCTCTACAAAAAATACAAAAAATTAGCTGTGCATGGTGGCACGTGCCTGTAATCACAGCTACTTGGGAGGCTGAGGCAGGAGAATTGCTTGAACCCAGGAGGTGGAGGTTGTAGTGAGCTGAGATCGTGCCATTGCACTCCAGCATGGGCAACAAGAACAAAATCCCGTCTCAAAAAAAAAAAGAAAAGAAAAGAAAAAAGGAAAAGAAAAGAAAAGAAGATAGAAAGTGGGACGTGGTGGCTCATCCCTGTAATCCCAGCACCTTGGGAGACCGAGGCAGGCAGATGGCTTGAGCCCAGGAATTTGAGACCAGCCTGGGCAACATGGCGAAACCCTGTCTCTACAAAAATACAAAAAATTAGGCAGACGTAGTGGCGTCTGCTTGTAGAAAAAAAAATAGAATAGAGGTTACCATGGGCTGGAGGAAGGGCCAAAAGAGAAGTTATTATTTAATGGGTACAGAATTTTTGTTAAAAATAATGAAAAAGGTTTTGGTATACATAGTGGTGATGGTTATACAACATTGTGAATGTATTTAATGCCATTGAATTGTGAAGGTTAAAATGATAAATATTATGTATGTTACCACAATAAAACATTTAAGTAGGCTGTTTTTTGTGCTTCTGTCGAAAGCTTTTGTGTGTGTGTGTAAATTGGCTCTCTGTAATGTGAAAGAGAAAGGTGAGAAAATGAGCAAGGAAATAGTTGCTTAATAACGAAATCTGACTGGAAATCATGAAGGGCTGAATTGCACGTGTTTGCATCTGTGTGTCAGCAGTTGGGCGAGTTTGGGAAGACTCCAGGAGGCTTTGGATTTATGAAAGAGGCAGAGACAGCCAGAAAGGCAAGAGGGAACCAAATACCAAATGCAGGGAGTAACTTTTCCCCTAACAGATTTTCTATCTCCAGGCTCCTGAAATTAATCAGAAACTCAGTTTGCTCCTGAGAGGCTGTGGCTCTATGTTTTTGTGTGGTTTTTTTTTTTTTTGAGACAGAGTCTCACTCTGTCGCCCAGGCTGGAGTACAGTGGCGCCATCTTGGCTCCTCCGCTAGCGCCCCCCGCCCCCGCACCCCTCAACTCCCGCCCCCCGCACCCCCTTGCACCCCCCTCCCCGTTCAAGCATCTCTCCTGCCTCAGCCTCCTGAGTAGTTGCGACTACAGGTGCCCGCCCTACCACAACCGGCTAATTTTTCTATTTTTAGTAGAGATGGGAGTTCACCATGTTGGCCAGGCTGGTCTCGAACTCCTTACCTCAAGCGATCCGCCCACTTCAGCCTTCCAAAGTGCTGGGATTACAGGAGTGAGCCACCATGCCCGACCCTGTGACTCTATTTCAATCCATGTCTTACCTTTTTTCAAATCAGAAAAACGATTATTCTAATAATAAATGTTAATTTAAAAATATTCACACAGTACAAAAGAGTGAAAGTTCACCTGTAATCCTTCCCCCAGAGAAGTCCGGTGAATATTCTTCCGGGGCTTTCTGCTCTTATCGGTCAAGGTAGTTTCCGAATGGGCACATTTCTTCCAGAATTAGATGTCCTCCTCTCTCTTCTTACTGTTACTGAGAGGTGACAGCGTGCTGGCAGTCCTCACAGCCCTTGCTCACTCTCAGCGCCTCCTCTGCCTTGGCTCCCACTTTGGCGGCACTTGAGGAGCCCTTCAGCCCACCGCTGCACTGTGGGAGCCCCTTTCTGGGCTGGCCAAGGCCGGAGCCGGCTCCCTCAGCTTGTGGGGAGGTGTGGAGGGAGAGGCGCGGGCGGGAACCGGGGCTGCGCGCGGTGCTTGCGGGCCAGCGCGAGTTCCTGGTGGGCGTGGGCTCGGGCGGGCCCCGCACTTGGAGCCGCCGGCCCGGGGCAGTGAGGGGCTTAGCACCTGGGCCAGCAGCTGCTGTGCTCAATTTCTCGCCAGACCTTAGCTGCCTTCCCGCGGGGCGGCGCTCAGGACCTGCAGCCCGCCATGCCTGAGCCTTCCCCCGCTCCGTAGGCTCCTGTGCGACCTGAGACCCGAGACTCTCCGACGAGCGCCGCCCCCTGCTCCACCACGCCCAGTCCCATCGACCACCCAAGGGCTGAGGAGTGCCGGCGCACGGCGCGACTGGCAGGCAGCTCCACCTGTAGCCCCTGTGCGGTATCCACTGGGTGAAGCCAGCTGGGTTCCTGAGTCTGGTGGGGACTTGGAGAACCTTTATGTCTAGCTAAGGGATTGTAAATACACCAATCGGCACTCTGTATCTAGCTCAAGGTTTGTAAACACACCAATCAGCACCCTGTGTCTAGCTCAGGGTTTGTGAATGCACCAATCGACACTCTGTATCTAGCTACTCTGGTGGGGACTAGGAGAACCTTTGTGTCAACACTCTGTATCTAGCTAATCTGGTGGGGACGTGGAGAACCTTTGTGTCTAGCTCAGGGATTGTAAACACACCAATCAGCGCCCTGCCAAAACAGACCACTTGGCTCTACCAATCAGCAGGATGTGGGTGGGGCAGATAAGAGAATAAAAGCAGGCTGCCCCAGCCAGCAACGGCAACCTGCTGGGGTCTCCTTCCACATTGTGGAAGCTTTGTTCTTTCACTCTGCAGTAAATCTTGCTACTGCTTACTCTTTGGGTCCACACTGTCTTTATCAGCTGTAACACCCACTGCGAAAGTCTGCAGCTTCACTTCTGAAACCAGCGAGACCACGAACCCACCAGGAGGAAGGAACAACTCCAGACGCGCCGCCTTAAGAGCTGTAACACTCACTGCAAAGGTCCGCAGCTTCACTTCTGAGCCAGCGAGACAACAAACCCCACCAGAAGGAAGAAACTCCGAACACATCCAGACATCAGAAGGAACAAACTCCTGACACGGCCGCCTTTAAGAACTGTAACACCCGCCGTGAGGGTCCGCGGCTTAATTCTTGAAGTCAGTGAGACCAAGAACCCACCAATTCCGGACACACTACCATTGTAACCTCTGTGACTTAGTTTCCCCATCTGTTTTACACGGGTCACTCTCACCATTACCTTTGAATAGAGTAATTTCTTAAATGTGCACAGTGCTTGACAGCTCAGAGAATAGTCTGGTAGGCTGCCCCACCAGATGTGGGCCTCATCGGGGCAGGGATTCTTTTCCGTTTTGTCATCTGCTGTATCCCCAGCATGAGGAACAGTGGTGCCATGCAGTAGACATGCAATCTGTGTTAGCTGACTATATGACTAGATGTCTCATGGAGTTCTTAGAGTCATTTTGCAAGGGATTTCTCTCCTTTTCTTTTAAATTTCTTGTAGAGACAAGGTCTTGCTACGTTGCCCAGCCTGATCTCAAACTCCAAGGCTCAAATGATCCTCCCACCTCAGCCTCCCAAAACGCTGAGATTACAGGCATGAGCCACCATATCCTGCTTTTTCTCCTTTTTTTTTTTTTAAACAGGTAAGAAAACTGAATCTCAGCAAGACTGATTAATTTACCCGGTTATCTAGGATTAAGATAGGCTATTTGGCTCCAAGTCCAGTGGATAAGAAGTATATTGTACATAAACTTTTTCTCTTAAAAAAAATTTTTTTTAAACAGGATCTCACTCCATCGCCTAGGCTGGAGTGGAGTGGCACGATCATGGCTCACTACAACCTCGACCTCCTGGGCTCAAGCAATCCTCCAGCCTCAGCCTCCTGAGTAGCTGGGACTACAGATGCACACCAGCACACCCAGATAATTTTTAAATTTTTGTAGAAACAGGGTCTCATTGTGTTGCCCACACTGGTCTTAAACTCCTGATCTCAAATGACCATCCCACCTCAGACTCTCAAAATGCTGGGATTACAGGAGTGAGCCCCTGCGCCCAGCTCACACTTCTTTTATAAACCCCTGTGAAGTGAATGAAGCAGAAACTTTGAAGTCTTTGGATGCTGCTGGTTTCTTCCATTGTTCTCTTGTCCTCCAGCCCATTTTTCCTGGCTTCCCTGTTTTCCTCTTCCCTTTCATGTCAGCTGCCTTTTGTTCTTACCCTGCATCCACCTCCTTACTCTCTCACCTATTTGAGAATGCCCTGTGGGGTCCTACCCTCTTCTTCAGGTGGCTTGTTGAAGAATTCCTTCTAAGCACTCAGGTTCTCTCCCTGGGAGAAGTTCTGTCCTACTACCCTTCCAGTGACAACGTTACTCCTCTGTGGACCGGGCTTTGGCCACTGCTAGGTGGCCCATTGCTCATGGTGTATTATTAGAGGGTTTGTTGCACAGAATTCCCAGTTGTTGTTTTTTTCCCCATATATGATTCCAAGTCTTTTGTGAAAAGCCCCTCTGTGTCTACAAGCAAGAGACAAATCGATGTTGTGAGCCTCCTAATGTGATGCACTGAAAAGAGCACAGCATCACTGCTGTGGTGTTCCTGCCAAAAATATATACAGCGTGAGGAAGCAATCGGATGAATCCAAAGTGAGGGACATCCCTGCGCTCTTCAAAATGTCAAGGTCATGCAAGATAAGAAAAGTCTGAGGAACTGTTCTAGATTGAGGGAGGCGAATGAGACGTGACAACTAAATCCAACCTGTGATACTAGTCTGGATGCTGGACCCATAAAGTGGGGTCTGTGGATTCGATGGTATTATCGAATCAGTGTCAATTTCCTAATTGTTATGGTCGTGCTGTGGTTATAAGTAGGAACATGTAACACTCAAATATTAGATATATAAAAGTCCTGTGGGGCATGGGACAATTCTTGTGAAACTTTTCTGCCTATTGCAGGAGGACTTCTGGCCGTCCTGGTCTCTGCCCACTAAAGCCAATAATGCCCTCTCCATCACCGAAACAACTAAAAAAAAAGCCCCTACAGCCAGGTGCTGTGGCTCACACCTGTAATCCTAGCACTTTGGGAGGCCGAGGCGGGCAGATCATGAGGTCAAGAGATCAAGACCATCCTGGCCAACATGGTGAAACCCCATCTCTACTAAAAATACAAAAATTAGCTGGGTGTGGTGGCACATGCCTGTAGTCCCAGCTACTCGGGAGGCTGAGGCAGGAGAATCACTTGAACCCGGGAGGTGGAGGTTGCAGTGAGCCGAGATCGCGCCACTGCATTCCAGGCTGGTGACAGAACAAGACTCCATCTCAAAAAAGAAAAAAAAAAGAAAAAGAAAAAAAAAAACACCTACAAATTTCTAAAACACATCCCAGTGGGCAGTAGTCTATCTGGCGAGAACCACTGCTGTAATGGAGGAGAGCAGAGAAATTCCAAAGATTCCTGTGGAGAAAACAGAGAAGGTCTGACGAGTATAGAAATGAATTAACCAACGACGAAATGATGTGTGCAAGACAAAAAGCCCATGCTACCTGTAATAGGTAGGATCGCTGTGTGTGGAGGAGAAAGGGGGTCTACCACCCCAAAGACCTCAGCTGAGGCCCCAGTTCCTCTAGGAATCCAGCACCTGTCAGGGTCAGTCAAAGGTGAGCCCTTTTTAACACGTCTGTAGTCATCTGCATCACGGGGCTCTCAGCTGCTAGGGTGTTTCCCACGCCAAAGGTGATGCATGGAAAAAGGAACTTGAGTGCCCTATGGTGTTCCCATTTTAATCATTGCACCCCAATAGTTGGGCCTCTCCTTAGAGATGAAAGATAAATCTCAGGCTTTACTGGGGCTATTCAATAAAAACTAGAACCTTCAAGGTGCTCTTTCTCTCTTTTTTTTTTTTTTTTTTTGAGACAGAGTCTCGCTCTGTTGCCCAGGTTGGAGTGCAGTGGCGTGATCTCGGCTCATTGTAGTCTCCGCCTCCCAGGTTCAAGCAATTCTCGTGACTCAGCCTCCTGAGTAGCTGGGACTACAGGCGCACACTGCCATGCCTGGCTAATTTTCCGTATTTTTAGTAGAGACAGGGTTTCACCATGCTGGCCAGGATGGTCTTGATCTTCTGACCTCGTGATCCACCTGCCTCGGCCTCCCAAAGTGCTGGAATTACAGGTGTGAGCCACTGTGCCCAGCTGCTTTTTTTTTTTCTTTTAAACAAAGCCTTATTCAGGAACCTGAATTTCAGACCCAATATATCTTTTATTTTATTTATTTATTTATTTTATTTTATTTAATTTTTTTGAGACGGGGTCTTGTTCTGTCACCCAGGCTGGAGTGCAGTGGTGCGATCTCGGCTCACTGCAACCTCTGCCTCCTGGGTTCAAGTAATTCTCCCATCTTAGCCTCCTGAGTAGCTAGGACTACAGGCGCATGCCACCATGCCTGGCTAATTTTTGTATTTTTAGTAGAGATGGGGTTTCACCGTATTTGTCAGGCTGCCTCAAACTCCTGACCTTAGGTGATCCACCCACCTCGGCTTCCCAAAGTGCTGGGATTAGAGGCATGACCCACTGGGCCCAGCCCAGACCCACTATATCTTTTAAAGTCCTGCCCCTGGGCCTTTGCATCTGTCACCTGCCCTGTCTAGAATGCCATCCCCGCTGCTGGAAGCCTGTCTAAAGCCTGCCCATCCTCAGCCCCTCTTCCATCATGAAGCCTGGAGCACCCAGCCCGGCCTAAGGAGAATTCTCTTCTCCCCAACATAACTCTGTCCCTTATGCTGGGACACAGACCCTTGAGTGCTGCAGGTCCCACAGGCTACCTTTGTGCAATATTCTTCTCCTCCCTTGATGTTTTCTTAAGGACAGGGATGGATGGGGCTGGATGCCTTTGTGTTTCTACGTACCTCCCCACAGCACCCAGCCTGGTGCCTTAATCAAAGTAGAAGTACTTTAGATTAATTCAACAGGAATGAAACTTTACAAAATCTGCCATTTGAAATATGGCAGTTGTAACCTCCTGAGGTCAAAGTGAACCTTCCCATCACTGGGCATTAATGACTAACATTTTCAGAGCTTCCCTCCTTCCCATGAGAGGCTGAACAATTAATTGCCACTTTAAACAATAGCGCATTCTTTTTTTTTTTTTTTACAGTAAACGTTGGGAACAGCTGCAAGGGAGGGAAGGCTGCAAAGGTCTGAGTCAGGAAGGCAAGAGGGCAGGTGGGGAAGGGAGTCAATTCTCCTTGGTCTTAAAGAGGCATGGCCCCGAATCCCTTTCAAGAAGGAAGAAGCCAGCCTGAGAGTTTCTTCAACTATGGTCATGTGTCGCTTAACAACGGGGATACATTCTGAGAAATGTGTCCCCCAAAAGGCGATTTTGTCCTTGTGTGAATATCATAGAGTGCACTTGCACAAACCTAGATGGCATAGCCTACTACTCACCTAGGCTCTATGGTGTAGCCTATTGCTCCTAGGCTCTAAACCTGCACAGCATGTTACTGTACTAAATACTGTAGGCCAGTGTAACACATTGGTAAGTATTTGTATATCTAAAAAAATCTAAACCGGCCTGGGCCCCATGGCTCACACCTGTAATCCCAGCACTTTGGGAGGCTGAGGCGGGCAGATCACCTGAGGTCAGGAGTTCAAGGCCAGCTTGGCCAACACGGTGAAACCCCGTCTCTACTAAAAATACAAAAATTAGCTGGGCGTAAGGCGCGCGCCTGTAATTGCAGCTTCTAGGGAGGCTGAGGCAGGAGAATTTCTTGAACCCAGGAGGCAGAGGTTGCAGTGAGCTGAGATCACGCCACTGCACCCCAGCCTGGGCAACAGAGTGAGACTCTGTCTCAAAAAAAAAAAAAATCCAAACCTAGAAAAGGTATAGGAAAATACAGCATGAAAGATAAAAAATGGTACACCTATATAGGGCACTTACCATAAATGGAGCTTGCAGGACTGGAGTTGCTATGGGTGAGTCAGTGAGTGCGTGGTGAGTGAATGTGAAGGCCCAGGACATTCCACTACTATAGACTTTTAAACACTGTACACTTAGGCTATACTAAATTTATATTAAAAATTTATTTCTTCAATAATAAATTAACCTTAGCATTCTGTGACTTTTTTACTTTATAAACTTTTTAATTTTTAAAAACTTTTGACTTTTGTAATAACAGCTTAAAATATGAACATATTGTACAGCTGCTTTTTTCTTTATATCTTAATTATAAAAATAGCTTTTTTCTATTTTTATAATTTTTTTTTACTTTAAAAATTTTTTGTTAAAAACAAAGACACACTCACCCACATAAGCCTAGGCCTGCCTAGGGTCAGGATCATCAGTATCACCATCTTCCACCTCCACATGTACCACTGGAAGGTCTTTAGGGGCAATAACATGCATGGAGCTGTCATCTCCTGTGATAACAGTGCCTTATTCTGGAATAGCTCCTGAAAAACCTGCCTGAGGCTATTTCAAAGTTAACTGGATTTTTTTTTTTTTTTTTTTTTGGAGCCGGAGTCTCATTCTGTTGCCCAGGCTGGAGTGCAGTGGTGTGATCTCGGCTCACTGCAACCTCTGCCTCCCAGGTTCAAGCAATTCTCCTGCCTCAGCCGAGTAGCTGGGACTACAGGCACCTGCCACCATGCCTGGCTAATTTTTGTAATTTTTTAGTAGAGATGGGGGTTTCACCAAGTTGGCCAGGCTGGTCTCGAACTCCTGATCTCGTGATCCGCCTGCCTCAGCCTCCTAAAGTGCTGGGATTACAGGCGTGAGCCACCATGCCCGGCCAAAATATGTTTTTTATAAGTAGGAGTACACTTTAAAATAATGATAAAAAGTATGGAATAATAAATACATTAACCGGTACCATAGCTGTTTATCATTACCCAGTAGTATGTACTGTAAATAATTGCATGTGCTGTACTTTCATACGACTGGCAGTGCAATAGGTTCGTTTATGCCAGCATCACCACAAATATAAGCAACGTGTTGCACTAAGATGTTATGATGTCGCTAGGCAATAGAAATTCTTTGGCTCCATCATAATACTGTCATGTAGGCGGTCCATTATTGACCAAAATGTTGCTATTTGGCCCATGACTGTACTTAAAGAGAGTCATCCAAAATTATTATTTTCCTCAAACTTTATGACCTACTCACATTTCCATGCCTAAATTGTCAGTAAATTATTTCAAAGACCACCAGAGCCCCTGTATGTAGTTTCTCTGCCCATAAATGGTAAGAACTTTCAGAAATCCACTAAATTACCAGTACTTCATTTTAGTTTATTGGAGTGTGTGTTTTTATACCACAGGGCCTGGATTCTGTGCTTTCAGAGTATCTTTGCTCTTGTTCTGTGACCTTGTCTATACCCTCAGCAAACCCAGAAGCTCCATAAGACCCAGCAATTGCACTTCTAGGTGTATATCCGGAAGAATTGAAAGCACGTGTTCACTCAAAAATATGCACGTGAATATTCATCTTAGCATTGCTCATAATAGCCCCAAATGGAAACAACCCAAAGTGTCCATCAACTCATGAATGGATAAATAAAATGTTATATATCCATACAATGGAATATTATTTGACAACAAAAAGGAATGAAGTGCTGACACGTGCAACAACATGGATGAACCTTGAAGACTTTAAGTGAGATAAGCCAGACACTATAGGTCACTTATCAGCCAGGTGCAGTGGCTCATGCCTGTAATCCCAACACTTTGGGAGGCGGAAGCAGGTGGATCACCTGAGGTCAGGAGTTCGAGACCAGCCTGGCCAACATGGTGAAACCCCATGTCTACTAAAAATACAAAAATTAGTCAGGCGTGGTGGCAGGTGCCTGTGATCCCAGCTACTCAGGAGGCTGAGGCAGGAGAATTGCTTGAACCCAGGAGGCGGAGATTGCAGTGAGCCAAGATTGTGCCACTGCACTCCAGCCTGGGCAACAGAGCCAGACTCCATCTCAAAAAAATAAAATAAAATAAAGGTAACTTATCACATGATTCCATTTACATGAAATGTTCAGAAAAGGCAAATCCATAAAGACAGAAAGTAGATTGATGGTTTACCAGAGACTAAGGGCAGGAGGTAATAGGGAGTAACTATAGTGGGTATGGGGTTTTGTTTTGTGATAACAGATATGCTTTGATATTAGAGAGTGGGGATGGTTGCACAAGACAGTGAATATATTAAAACACATAGGCCAGGTGCAGTGGCTCATGCCTGTAATCCCAGCACTTTGGGAGACCAAGGCAGGATGATTGCTTGAGCCCAGGTGTTGGAGACTAACCTAAGTAACAAAAAGTACCAGTCCATACAAAAAAACACACAAAAAAGTTAGCCAGGGGTGGTGGCATGCACCTATAGTCCCAGCTACTCAGGAGGCTGAAGTGGGAGAATCATCTGAGCCTGGGAAGTTGAGGCTGCAGTGAGCCATGATTGCATCACTGCACTACAGCCTGGAAGATAGAGTGAGACCCTGTCTAAACACACACACACACACACACACACACACACACACACACACACACATGCACGCACACACACAGAGAGAAAACTAATTGTAAACTTTAAAATGGTGACTTTTATGTTATGTATATTATACCTCAATTTTTAAAATACTGCCTTAAAAATATATTTATCGAGTGAGTGATTCATCACTGAAAAAGACAGAAACTCTGGGAGCTCTGGATCAACTCTGTAATTCTTCCTGGATGTTCCTGCTGGTTACAGTTCATGAAAAAAGATTGCATCTAAAGGTTGCAATGTTGGCACCCCGTGTGAGAAAAGGGTGTAGCTGTGATTTATCTGTGACTGGGTGTTGGTTGCCAGCACTCTGGCTGGATTGTGTCCATCATCCATTTTTATTAACTTCAAGAGAGGAAGTCTGTGTTAGTTCCTTTGTGTTGGCATAAAGGAATACCTGGGACTGTGTTATTTGTAAAGAAAAGAGGTAGCTGGGTATGGTGGCTCACACCTGTAATCCCAGCACTTTGGGAGGCTGAGGCAGGCAGATCACAAGGTCAGGAGTTCGAGACCAGCCCGGGCAATATGGTGAAACCGGTTTCTACTAAAAAATACAAAAATTAGCCAGGCATGGTGGTGGATGCCTGTAGTCCCAGCTACTCGGGAGGCTGAGGCAGGAGAATCTCTTGCACCCGGGAGGCGGAAGTTGCAGTGAGCCAAAACCATGCCACTGCACTCCAGCCTGGGCAATAGAGTGAGACTCTGTCTCAAAAAAAAAAAGAAAAGAGGTTTCTTTTGGCTCACGGTTTTGCAGGCTGTACAGGAAGCATGATGCTGGCATCTGCTTCTAGGGAGGGCCTCAAAAAGCTTACAGTCATGGATGGAAGGCAAAGGGGGAGGAGGCCTGTCACATGGTGAGAGAGGGAGCAAGGTGCGGGGCAGGTGCCACATTGTCTTAAACAATCACATCTTCTACAAACTCATAGAGTGAGGACTCATTACCATGGGGAGGGCACCAAGCCATTCATAAGGGATCTGCCCCCATGACCCAAACACCTCCTACTAGGCCCCACCTTCATCACTGGGATCACATTTCAATATGAGATTTGGAGGAGCCAAATATCCAAACCATATCCAAGCCAGAGAGGGAAACTGTGAACCTTTTGTGACAGGCTAACAGAAAAGTTCTGTATTTCAAGGCTAAGTACATCATCTTAATTATATGGTGATGGGGCAGATGGTGAATGCTTGGGTTAGAATTTTGATTTATTTTATCATAGGCTTTGGAAGTTTACATAAGAGGTAAAAGAAAACTTGTTGGTATTCTCTGGGACATGGTGTAGAACAGTCAAGAATCCCTCCCCCCAGGAAAGTGCTGTCTGTGGTTCATACCCTGCTAAGATGGGTGTAGAGCTGGTGCCAGGCACTCCTCTTGTGGATATACTCAGGGGCCCTGTCAGTTTGGTTGGACCAGCAACATTTTCAGGGTTTGTCCTTGCAATGCGTCTCTTCCGTGGGTGAATGAGAAGGTGAGGACTGATCTTTACCTCTTATGGAGAAGTAAAGAGATTCTGATAAAAACCTGTTTGGACTAGGGAGCAACCACTTCTGCAGGAGAGACAGTTACATCCAGGGCTGCCCTGATTCTTCACTCCCATCCCCAGGTCTGTGCCAGGGCCTCTCAGAAGACAAGAGTGACCCACAGTTACTTCCATTTTTTTGAGGTTCCTAGTATATTAAAATATGAAGAAATGCCAACACCCCCCACCAAAAGATGGTGAGAGCGGTGGTGTTTTTTGTTTGTGTGTTTGTTTGTTTGTTTGTTTTGAGACAGAATCTCACTCTGTCACCCAGGCTGGAGTGCAGTAGCGCGATCATGGTTCACTGAAGCCTCAACCTCCTGGGCTCAAGCAATCCTCCCACCTCAGCCTCCCAAGTAGCTGGAACCACAGGTGCATGCTACTGTGGTGTATTTTAAATGTTTACATTTGACAAATTAATACTTCTATCACAGAAAAAAATAGTAAAGGTAATGTGTTTTTGCATGATAATTCCAGGGTACATTTTAAATATTTTACAGTGCTCTACAGGCAGTGAGGAACACAAGTTGAGAGTTCTATCCTGAACATTGCTTCTTTCAGACCTGTCATCTGGAGCTAATGTCAAAAGCCAGAATGTGGGGCCCTTTGTTAATTGTGAGATGAGAGCCTGTGCCCCTCTATACCTTACCCTCACCCCTAAATAGGCCCACAGGCTCCCTTACACCTAACAGCTGCTGCTATTCTCTTGGGTTGGAGTGAGATGGTGGAGAATCAAAAGCTGTGTTTTAGTGCTGAAGCCAGTTCTTATTACAACTTTTCTCTGCAGTTTATAAACAATTTGCTCTTAAGATCTTAGCAGTCTTTCTGAACAATCCAGTATGTTTGTTTGCTGCTGCCCAGCAATGCCTGCATGTTTTTGTGGATTTTATTTTGTTTTTAAATTTTCTTCAAAAGCTGTAGTTTATTATAAGGGCAAAGGCAGCAATTATTGGCTCTCCAAATGCAGTCAATCTGAGTGTCAAGTAGATCCTTATTTCAGTCCTCATGGGTCTTGCTTGTTGACCTTGCTCCTGCAAGGAGTGTCTATGAGCTTGCCTTGGCCCTGGTCCTAGGCCCCTCTCTTTTTCTGTAACCTCAAACCCAGATGGCCATGCCCCTTGGATGATGTGGTAGTGGTACTATAAGCCCAAGGATCCACTAAAGGACTCATTTTGAGAAATTTGGCAAAAGAAGTTTGGCTCTATTAGGACATCTTTAAACAAGAGTGAGAGGACATGTGGCATCCTGGATGACTGCCAAGGTCGAGCTGGAGTTCTCTGGAGTGATTTGGGTGCTAAATCCTTGGGTGGGGTCCTGACTATGAACTGTTTCTTTATTTTCCAATTGTAACAGTCTCTGAAGGTAAAACTAGCATCAGCAGTATTAATCGTAATAACAATAGGAAATAGGCTGGGCGCAGTGGCTCATGCCCGTAATCCCAGCACTTTGGGAGGCCGAGGCAGGCGGATCACGAGGTCAGGAGATCGAGACCATCCTGGCTAACATGGTGAAACCCCGTATCTACTAAAAAATACAAAAAAATTAGCCGAGCGTGGTGGTAGGCGCCTGTAATCCCAGCTACTCGGGAGGCTGAGGCAGGAGAATGGCGTGAACCCAGGAGGTGGAGCTTGCAGTGAGCCGAGATCGCGCCACGACACTCTAGCCTGGGTGACAGGGCGAGACTCCGTCTCAAAAAAAAAAAAAAAAAAAAAAGGAAATATTTCAGCATACCTATTATGCACCAGGTATTAGTCTAGTCTCATTTAATCTTCACCATGACTCAGTGAGATACAAACTATTCTATTATACCTATATATTTTTAGAGATGAGGTCTCACTATGTTGCCCAAGCCGGAATGCAGTGGCAATTCATAGGCATGATTGTAGTGCACTACGGCCTCAAATTCCTGGGCTCAAGTCACCTTCCTCCCTCAGCCTCTTGCCAAGTCACTGAGAACACAGGTGCATGCCACCACACCCAGCTTTGGGTACTCTTTTTATGTCCATTCCACAGATGAAGAGACCAAGTTTAAAATGGATGACTTGCCTCAAATCACACAGCTATTGAGTAACAGAGCTAGGATTTAAAGGCTGGTTCATCTGACTCCACATTTCAGGAAGTCTTATTTGGGGGTTTCTAGAAATAAGAAGCCTTATTTGGGTTTCTAGAGAAATTTCTTTTTCCAAATCAACTTTATTTTCCCCAGACCCTTTTTGTGAACAGAGTTTACATCAATGAAAAGAAGGCTCCTACAGTGTGGCGTGAATGCCAGTGACGGGAACACCAAAAGCTCTGAACCTCAGGATCAGGGAGACCACAGCCTGCTCCTGGGATTGTCATGAGCCATTTGGCAGGAGGTGGATCTGCACAGTCATGGAGACCAGACTCCTAAGCAGGTCACCTAAGTAAGGTTTCCCTGTACGCTCTCCACAGGGCCTGGGAACTTCAGAATCTTGCCACAGGAGGAAGCTTGATGAGTATTCACCCTCTGATGTTGTAGACAAGGAAACTGAGGTCCAAGGAGATTAAGTAAAGTGCACCCTGTCTGCACGTCCAACATGGGTCTCCTGGCTCTCACACCATTTAGAGATGAGCCATTTTCTCAATAACAAAGGCAAGGCCCTGAGAGATAGTGTAATTGACCAAGCTTCTTCAGGACAGGGATGTGGACTCCACTCCCTTGGGGTCCAGCAAATGCCTTAGTAACAGTGGCTTGTGGATGGAAGGTGTTATTCAAGCCCTTGCTGGATGAATAAATTATATGCACCTGTTTCTCAAAGTTGCCTTAGTGAAAGAATCATTTGGGGCACATGTTAAAGATGAAAGTTCTAGTCTGAATACTAGACTAGAATGAGTCTATTCAGGACCCTGATAGAACAGTGTATATATATATATATATATATATATATATATATATATATATATACTTGTAAATATATATATATATATTTGCAAGCTGTATATATATATATATATATGCAAGCTGTATATATATATATATATATATGCAAGCTGTATATATATATATATGCAAGCTGTATATATATATATATATATGCAAGCTGTATATATATATATATGCAAGCTGTATATATATATATATGCAAGCTGTATATATATATGCAAGCTGTATATATATATGCAAGCTGTATATATATATATGCAAGCTGTATATATATATATGCAAGCTGTATATATATACACACACACACACACACACACACACACACACACACTATATATATATATATATCTCCACACACACTATATATATATATATATCCAGTATATATCCAGGCAGGACCCTGATACACTGTTCTCACTCTTGATCCAGATAATCCCTAACCCATTATCACCTCCCTTTCATGAACTGAAAGTAGTTTGTTTTTAGGTTTGGCTCTATTGCAGGGCTGGATCTATTGCGATTCTGAACACTCATTTTAACCATGACCTTCCTTACCTCCTCTAGGGGGCAGAAATGAACCACTTGTTCATTCTTTGGGGCTGAACTTTGCGACTTTCTCAGACTTTCATAAGAAAACAAATACCCAGAGGAGATCAGAAAGAAAGCAGATCTTATACATGCTTTTCTTACTAGGTTGAAATGCAGTTGCAATCTAGACTCCTCTAAGAGACAAAATACTGTTAGGCACTCTGGCGTTGAATTCAAGCTGACCCAAGTTCAAATCCAGAATCAAACAAGGGTTGGAGAATGCCTCCCATCTTTATGATCCTAGCAGGCTATTTAAATTAATGAAGCCTTAGTTTCTTGTTCTATAAAATTCTAATACAGTCAGCTTTCCATATCCACAGTTTCCACATCTGTGGATTCAACCAACCACAGATAGAAAATATTGAAAAAAACCCAACAATAAAAACAACAATACAACAAAAATAATACAGATAAAAACAATATAGTATAACAACCATTTGCATGGAATTTACATTGTATTAATATTTGACATGATAAGTTATCTAGAGATGATTTAAAGTATAGGAAAGTTGGCCAGGCACAGTGTCTCATATCTGTAATAACGGTACTTTGGGAGGCCAAGGCAGGAGGATCGCCTAAGGCCCCAGGAGTTTGAGATCAGCCTCGTAAACATTAGTAAGACCCTGTCTCTATAAGAACTTAAAAAAAAAATCAGCCTGGTGCTGTGGTGCACCTGTAGTCTCAGCTACTCAGGAGGCTGAGGCAGGAGGATTGCTTTAGCACAGGAGTTTGAGGCTGCAGTGAGCTATGATCATGACACTGCACTCCAGCCTGGGCGAAGGAGTAAGACTCTGTTACAAACAAACAAAGAAACAAAAAAGTATATGGAAGGATGTGCCTAGGTTATATGCAAATACTATACCATTTTATATCAGAAACTTGAGTATCCGTGGATTTTGGTATCCAAGGGGGTGCTGGAGCCAATCCCAGCAAGATACTGAGTGATGACTATAAATAATACCATCTTAACAGGATGGTTATGAACCTTATACTGCAACTGCTAAGAGAAAAAGTCAGCTGTTATTATTACCACAACTATTACTACTGCTTCCTATAAAGGCATGTGATTATTAACTCTGTTAGGAAGGTAGACTCCACTTTTTTAAATAGTTGGCTAAAGCTCTCTAAAGAGACATTCAGCCCACTCTTTTCTGGGTTCTGTACTAGGATGACATTTCACATCCTGGGAGCCAACAATGTGAATAACACAGAGGCTACATTAGACAGAAGGAAACGTGTTGGTTTCCTTAATAAAATCGAACTCATATTTCCTGAGATTGGCTCTGGCTGGCAGGAGACTCTCCACATGGGAAAAGCGGTTAGATCTCTTGGCTGTGTTTTGCCCTCCAAGGCTCACCTTTCCTGGGAGATTTCTCCCTCGTCTCACTGGTACCACCAATGGGTAAGGAAAGCCACACCTCACTCCACCCCACCCCTGGGGGGACTTCCCCTTCACTACCAACATCACGGAATCTGGCTTTGATTTGATTGAGGGTGGCAGTGAGTTTCTTTACCCAGAGACTTGGGGATTATCTTCTTTTTAGCTTCACCTGGAATAGCTTGCAATGTCGGGATCCTTGTTTCCTAAATTGAGATAATAAGAATGAAAATGATAGCAGTGGTTTCCATTTGTTGAGCACGTCTTCTGCGCGACGGCTTGCTCTCATTCCATCTGTACTACAACCCAGTGAATTTGTCCCCATGACGACTGTCATTGTAAAGATGGGGAAACAGAAGCACGAGGAGGAGGTTAGGTCACTTGCTCAAGGCCTCAGGGGTAGTCGGTGAAAGAGTTTAGGACGAGAACCCAGCAGTCTGAACTCACTTGGCTCTGAATGGAGGTGGATAACCACAGACACTGCCTTCCCACCCCTAGAGACACAGAGAGAGCTTCAGTTCCCTGGGTGTGACCCTTTGCTAAGGCACATGGTGGATGAAGAAGGTGTGTACAGCTCCTTTAGGGCAGTCAGCTTGCAAATGTCTGGCCTAGGTGAGAAGAGAGACACCTTTGAGGTCCTCCCACATCAGACAAATTGAGCCCTGCCCCTAAGCACAGATGCTGCTCCCTCTTGTCTTACCTTTTCACCTCCTTATTTATTTACCACTGTGAGGACAACACTCCACAGGGCATGTGAAGACACAGCCCCCGCCCTGGAGCCTCAGAATTTGTCACCGTCACTGGGAGTTGAGGAAATTGCAGTGTTGAGGTTTCTTGCTTCTTCCTCACTGAGAGAGAAAAACCCCAACTGTCAACAAACCTCAAACCCATCGATCAAATGATGCCTGCGGGCAGGAGCTGGGCAGCAGGGTGTATCTGTGGCAAATGAGATCACGAGAGGGCCTGGGCACAGAAAACAAGGTGATAGAAGACAGACGATGAGAAGAGAGGAGGAAGATTGTGCAGAAGGGGAGGAGTGCATGGAAGGGAGGGAGGCCCTTGTGCATGGATTCCCTGGGGAACCAGGCTGCCAGGGCAGAGGGCCAACAGGTGAGGAGGAGAGGAGGGGGCTATAAGTGGGGGGGATCTGAAGAAAGAGCTTCTGTGTCCTAAGAGGTGGGGGAAAAAAAAGAGAGAAATAACCCAAAGAAAGTGTTGCAGAGAACCAATAAGATTAGAATGTCAACGATCCAGACCCATGACCCTGGGGACTGTTGTCACACAAGGGTCTGGTGGTGGGGTTGGGGCAGCTGTGGAGGTTGCTGCTGGTCCCAGTTTTGTCCATATAAAGCAATTCGCAGAGAAGGCTGAGTGGAGGAGGAGGAAGCTGAGATAGTAAAGGAAATAACGTTTAAAAGTTTAGCACAAGCTGGGCGCGGTGGCTCAAGCCTGAAATCCTAGCGTTTTGAGAGGTTCATGTAGGTGGATTGCTTGAGCCTAGTTCAAGACCAGCCTGGGCAACATGACAAAACTCTGTCTCTATAAAAATACAGAATGTTAGCTGGGTGTGGCGGTTGTGCCTGTAGTCCCAACTACTCGGGAGGCTGAAGTGGGAGGATCACAAGAACCTGGGAAGTCAAGGTTGCAGTGAGCTGAAATCTTGCCACTACACTCCAGCCTGGGCAACAGGAGTGAGACCTTGTCTCAAAAAAAAGAAAAAAAAAAGCTACATTTTACATGATTTTATTCATATAAAATTCTGGAAAAGGCCAAATTACTGAGATGGACATCAGGTCGGTGAGGGGGTAAGGGGAGCATGACTGACTACACAAAGGTATGAAGAACCTTTTCGGGGTGATGGAATTGTCCTTATCTTAACTGAGGTGATAGTTACGCAATTGTACACATTTGCCAAAACTCATTGAAAGTTACGTTTTTTTTTCAGACAGTTTCGCTCTTGTTGCCCAGGCTGGTGTGCAACGTCGTGATCTCGGCTCACTGCAACCTCCGCCTCTCAGGTTTGGGAGGCCGAGGTGGGTAGATCACCTGAGGTTGGGAGTTCAAGACCAGCCTGACCAACATGCAGAAACCCTGTCTCTACTAAAAATACAAAAATTAGCTGGGCATGGTGGCGCATGCCTGTAATCCCAGCCACTCAGGAGGCTGAGGCAGGAGAATCGCTTTATTAAGTTTTATTTAGTTAGTTTTATTAAGTTAGTTCAGCCTCTTCTTGGATAAAATTTCAGCCAAGTCCCTGCCTGGACTGTCACCTCCTCTCTGGGTGTGTCCCCTTCCTGCCTCTCCCGCTCCCAGCCCCACCCTGTGGATAACTCTGGGTGCAGGGCTCTGTGTTGCCCTCTGGTCCTCAGTGGCCTTTACATCTGCTGACATCCACAGTCAGGGGTCTGGCTGGGAGGACCTGGTGGTTTACCCGGCTTGTGGGTCCTGTGCCAGCTTTGCTGGTCCTGTAGATACAAACCGGAACCCCTCCCATGTCCCCAGTGCTTTCCATTTATCTCTGGGCTTCAGCCTGAGGCAGGTCCACAGGCTCTCAGCTCTCAATCACCTGTGCATTCCCTAGGGCCTCCTAGGGACTTCTGGGTTTCTCCCAGCCGCACTCAAGCCAAGGGGAACTGAGGTGGGGCAGTGTGAAAGGGGTGGAACACCTAAGGTCCCTGTCCCAGCTTCAACACACCTTGCTGTTGTCTCTACTTTGCTGGAGCCACTCCAGGTGGACATAAGGACATGCTGGAAGGCGACTGACTGCTCCAGGGCTCCAATCAAAAAGTGGGGCACGGCCGGGTGCGCCTGTAATCCCAGCACTTTGGGAGGCCGAGGCGGGTGGATCCCTTGAGGTCAGGAGTTTGAGACCAGCCTGGCCAACATGGTGAAACCCTGTCTCTACTAAAAATACAAAAATTAGCTGGGCGTGATGGCACACGCCTGTAATCCCAGCTACTCAGGAGGCTGAGGCAGGAGAATTGCTTGAACCTGGGAGGTGGAGGTTGCAGTGAGCCGAGATCATGCCACTGCACTCTAGCTGGGGTGACAGAGTGAGCGAGACTCCAACTCAAAAAAAAAAGTGGGGCACACATGGTTTTTTGGAGTGGGGAGGGACAGGGTCTCACTCTGTTACACAGTCTGGAGTGCAGTGGCACAATCATGGCTCACTGCAGCCTCAACTTCTGGGCTCAGGCAATCCTTCAGGCTCAGCCTCCCAAGTAGCTGAGACCACAGGTATAAGCCACCACACCCAGCTAATTTTTTTATTCCTAGTAGAGATGAGGTCTCACTATGTTGCCCAGACTGGTCTTGAACTCCTGGGCTCAAGCAGTCCTCCTACCTTGGCCTCCCAAATTGCTGGGATTACAGGCCTGAGCCACCACACCTAGCAACATATGTCATTTTTGTCTCTGACATGCTCTTGACCTCTGTGGAGTTTTTCTACTGTTGTACATGCCACCGACAAGGTTTGACAAGGGTGAGAGAGCACTGGCATCTGATGTCCATCCCCACTTACCCGCTTTCAAGCTCCAGAGGGTTCACACTTCCTCTTTCTGTTTTTCAGAGACTTCCTTTCCCTCATATTTTCCCTCTTCCCTGCCCTGTGGATTTTTCTAGAAAGGTATCTACCTTTCTCCTTCCCTAGGACACAAGCCCTGTGGTGCAATGACAGCATATGGCTTACTGATAATGAAAATGGTTTTGAAAGTGGTTCAAAACAGTATCTCCATTACTGTAGGGTTTTAAGAATAAGATAGTCATGTTTTTGTTTTGCCTTTTTTTTTTTCCTTAAGACAGGGTCTTGCTCTGTCGCCCAGGCTGGAATGCAATGGTGCAATCATGGCTCACTGTAGCCTCAACCTCCTGGGCTCAAATAATCCTCCCACCTAGCCTCCTGAGTAGCTGGGACTACAGGCATGTGCCACCATGCCAGGCTAATTTTTCTATTTTTTGTAGAGATGGGGTTTCACCATGTTGCCCAGGCTGGTGTCCAACCCCTGGGCTCAAACAATCCTCCCACATCGGCCTCTTGAATTGCTGGGATTACAGGTGTGAGCCACCACACCTAGCCAAGGTAATCATTTCTAAATGCCCTTTAAAATAATACAAGTTTTCTAAACTAGAGGAGTTTCATCCATTCAGACATACAACACACATTTGATTATCTTTTCCCCCAAGCCTTTCATCCTTTTGTGTTTCTAATCCACCCAGGCACCACTGTCAGAAATTGGGACCCCTTGTTTTATTTGACTTCTGCCCCCACTCTGTCACTGTACATTCTTCCTCTTTAAATGAGAACAATTTTTATCTCTGCATTCTCTCCCATGCCCACTGCTACTGCCTTAGTGGAGTCCCTCAGTCTTTCTGGCTTTTGGAATGATTTTCTGATTGACCCCCGAAGTTGCCACTGCTCATCCTTCTTGCCACTGGTGTGGTTTCCAAACATGTCAGACTGCCGATCCTCTGTAGGTCCCTGTGCCGGTGTGATGTGGCCCCTGCCCATCTCTGAAGACTTGACTCCTTCTCCTTTACATGCAGCCTCTGCCCCAGCCACACCACATGACTTGCAGGGGCCTAGTGTGCTGTGCTGGTCCACAGCTCTGTGCCTTTGTGCATGCTGTTCCTCCTGTTCCAATGTCCCTCATCACCTTCTTATAATTTGACATACAGCACAGAGATCTCCTTCTCCCTGGGGCCTTTCTGATCCCTCCCAGCAAGAATGCTGTGCTTTGGGTTAGCATGGTCTCAGCTTGCCTCCATTAGGATGCTTGTCACATGGAATTGTGTCACAGTGCTAGGCTGTGAGCTCCTCGGAGCCAGCGATAGGCACTAGTAACCTCAGTTTCCCCAGCATTTAGCACAATGCCTGACTCAAGCCAGCCCATTGAATGAATAACGACAAGCACTAGCCCTGGAGCTAGTCAAGACCTTGAAGATCACTGGGTTCCAACTTTCCAGAGAGTCTCAGAGAAGTTAAGTGACTCACTCAACCTCACACAGCTAATTGGTGACAAAACTAGATCTGGGCCAGGCACGGCGGCTCATGCCTGTAATCCCAGCACTTTGGGAGGTCGAGGTGGAAAGATCCCCAGAGGTCAGGAGCTTGAGACCAGCGTGGCCAACATGGTGAAACCCCATCTCTACTAAAACTACAAGAATTAGCCGGGCGTGGTGGCGAGCGCCTGTAGTCCCAGCTACTTGGGAGGCTGAGGCAGGAGAATCACTTGAACCTAGGAGGTGCAGGTTGCAGTGGGCTGAGATAGCACCAGTGCTCTCCAGCCTGGGCAACAGAATGAGGCTCTGTTTCAAAACAAACAGGCCAGGCATGGTGGCTCACGCCTGTAATCCCAGCACTTTGGGAGGCCGAGGCGGGTGGATCACCTGAGGTTGTGAGTTCGTGACCAGCCTGACCAATATGGAGAAACCCCGTCTCTACTAAAAATACAAAAGTAGCCCGGCGTGGTGGCACATGCCTGTAATCCCAGCTATTCGGGAGGCTGAGGCAGGAGAATCACTTGAACCTGGGAGGCGGAGGTTGTGGTGAGCCAAGATTGAGCCATTGCACTCCAGCCTGGGCAACAAGAGCAAAACTCCGTCTTAAAAAACAAAACAAAACAAAACAAACAAACATACAAAAAACCACACACACACACAAACTAGACCTGGTCCTTTGACTCGAAGTGCACAGCTCTTTCTACCACTCTGACCTCTAGACACAAGAGAGGGATGAGGTAGGTAGGGGGAGTGGTGGGGAACCAGGCTGTGGGCAGGGGATGATGAGAAGACACCAGAGGCAGAAACTTAACTCAGAGCTGATTGAACTTTTTCTCAAGCTGGAAAATGGGTCAACTCCACAAAGGATTCTTTTTGTCAAACCCTGTTCCTCTCACCTATGCCATTGGGATGATGCAGTCTATGTCAACAGCAGCTGACACCTGAAGTTACAATAACAATGGCGTGGAATCAATTTCAATAAAAGCCTTGCTTCTTTTTACTGCTGATTTGTTTGAAGCCCAGACAATTCATCTAGCCTGATTACACGAGGGTTCTCACAGAGATTTTATTGCTTCATTTCCTTTTCTTTTCTTTCCTTTTCTTTTCTTTCTTTTTCTTTCTCTCTCTCTCTCTTTTTTTTTTTTTTTGACAGAGTCCCACTCTGTCACCCAGACTGGAGTGCAGTGGAGCGATCTAGGCTGACTGCAACCTCCACCTCCCAGGTTCAAGCAATTCTCCTGCCTCAGCCTCCCGAGCAGCCAGGACTACAGGCACGTGCCACCATGCCCAGCTAATTTTTGTATTTTTAGTAGAGACGGGGTTTCGCTATGTTGGCCAGGCTGGTCTTGAACTCCTGACCTCAGGGGATCTCCCACCTTGGCCTCCCAAAGTGTTGGGATTACAGGCGTGAGCCACCACACCCAGCCACTTTGTTTCTTTAAAAACAAAATTTGTATGTTGTGACTTTAAAAGTAGCTGTGCTAAATAAATCCTCATCTCATTCCCTCCTGGAGACTCAGTGTGGGGTGGCAGAAAGAGCACTGGGGTCACACGGACCCAGGGCTGAATCTTGGCTCTGAGGCTGGCTAATGGCACAACCGAGGGCAAGTCATTTAACTGCGCTGAGCCTGAGCTTTGCGTTTTTAAGAATGGAGGTCGTGATACTCTTCCCGGTGGTTGTTCTGGAAATGAAGATGGGCCCTAGAGAAGTAGCCAGCAGAGCGGGGAAAGCCTGGTTCTGGAGCCAGAATACCTGGGCACCTGGGTTTGAATTCCACTCCTTGCCAGATGAGTGACCTCAGACAGGTTACAAACCCTCTCTGTGTCGTAGCTTCCTTCACTAGTGTGTGGGGTACTTGGACAATGCCTGGCACATAGTCAACATCACCTTAGTGTAAGCTGGAGAAAACATGCAACATGGTGCCAGGCACTAAACACACACGAGTTCCTTTCTTCTTCCCCTCCCAGAGGAGCCCAATTCTGTGCGTCCCTCTGGTGGATACACAGGACCTTAGCCTAGGCTCTTCAGCCTAACCCTGTAGCAATTTATGATACTTCTGAAGAAATCAAGTCCTCCCTTTTCTCTGTACATCCAATGATGAGTAAACTCTCACTTGTCACTGTAGTCACCACGTTTTCACTCTCTCTGGCCCCTTAAATGGAGCCACAGTCCTAGCAGGCCTGTGCTTATACCTCCAGCCCTCATGCTTATATCCCAGGAAGCATGAGTGAAAGCCTAGCCCAGGGACAGGGCAGCGTGATCTCCTGCCCGGCTTGACTCACGGTGATTTGTTCAGCTCTGTGGCCTGGGCCCTGGCTCCCGAAGCCTCCCTGGGGCCTGTTTGGACCTGTTCTTTCTCAGGTTCATTAGTCCCAGCTCACTAGCTAGACTCTCAACTCTGCATGCCAGCCCCAGTCACTTTCCCCATTCTGACACGCCCGTTTGCTCTCAGAGGCCCCAGCCCCCAGCCCTGGAACTGGTAGAGGGAGGCAGCCTGGGCCAGAGGCCAGGGGCCAGACTCTGAATCTAGAAAAGGAGCCAGAGTCTTGTGATGCTGAAAACCAAGACAGCGAAAATCTGTGGGTCCTGCTTCTGTGTCTTATAGAAACCCTTCTGGCTGTAGCAGTTCCAGGCCCAGGATCTGGATCTCAGAAATAAAAGAGACATTAGAACTCATCTGGGCTGGCTCTTCCCTTATCTGAAGCAAGAGGCCACACTGTAGCATCCCAGGCAGGGTGTCCTCCAGGCCCTGAGTGAAGTGCCCTGTAATGGAGAACTCACTGCCTTTCCACCCCGCCCACACCATGGCTATACCCGTGTCTAGAAATTCGGCTTCTGGAACTCTGACCCAGTGCTAGCTGAGGCAGGAGGATTGCTTGAGCTCAGGAGTTTGAGATCAGCATGGGCAACCTAGTGAAATCCTGTCTCTTTTTTTTTTTTTTTCTTTTTTTGTGAGACAGGGTCTCATTCTGTCGCCCGGGCTAGGGTGCAGTGGCCCGCTCACTACTCACTGCAACCTCCCCTTCCTGGGCTCAAGTGGTCCTATCGCCTCAGCCTCTGGAGTAGCTGGGACCACAGGCATGCACCACCATGCCCAGCTAATTTTTGTATTATTTAGTAGAGATGGGGTTTCGTCATGTTGCCCAGGCTGATCTTGAACTCCTGGGCTCAAGTGATCTGCCTGCCTTGGCCTCCCAAAGTGCTGGAATTACAGGCGTGAGCCTCCGTGCCTGGCCAGGAACTGGATTTTTTTATTTAAAAATTTGTAATTGAGTAACATGTAAATTTAAATTGCCACATGTGTAAAGTACTATCTTGAGTAGAAAAAAAGCCAGCACAGTGGCTCATGCCCGTAATCCCTGCACTTTGTGAGGCTGAGGCAGGAGGATCACCTCAGCTCAGGAGTTTGAGACCAGGCAGGGCAACATAGTGAGACCCTACATCCACCAAAAGAATAGGAGAAATTAGCCAGGTGTGGTGGTATGTGCCTGTAGTCCCAGCTACTCAGGAGGCTGAGGTGGGAGAATCACTTAAGCTGGGGAAGTCGAGGCTTCAGTGAGCCGTGATCTCGCCACTGCACTCCAGCCTGGACAACAGAGTAAGACTCTCAAAATAAATAAATAAATAAAAATAAAGAATAAATTACCAAATGTGGCTAGTGGCTGCCGTATTAGACAGCACAGGTCTGGAAGGCGGGGGAGGCTCAAATGGACACGCCCTGTTGGCTCTGCTGACTTCATCCCAAGAGGAAGAGGGAGGCTGGGGGAGGACCAGAGTGGGGCTCCCAGGGCCTAAGGAAGATACTAGAGAGGGAAATGAGCCTGTCTCAGAAGGACACTGCCATATAAGGCTTTGTTCCTGGTGGGAGGAGCCCTCCAGATGTCTGAGGAGAGGGAAGCTGAGGGCCGGGGGCAGGGGGAGGGGGAATGATTTAAGGGCACCCCCAAAGAAGTCCTCCTGAGATTTCTTTTGAGACGGCGTCTCACTCTGTTGCCCAGGCTGGAGTGCAATGGCACGACCTCCTGAGATTTTTACAGGGACCCGTTTCACATAAGAGGTCTGCTTTGGTAGTTCAGGCCTGCAAGGACTGTGGGTCTTGGCAGAGAGAGGAGGCACTGTTATTTTTTCTTCTGAGGCCATGTGAACGGGGCAGGCCGTGTGCATAGTTTCCATGGCATAATCTGACTATAAAGCCCTGTGTGTCTGTGGGGGAGGGACAAGGAGAGGCCCTCGGCCCAGCCTCAGTCAGAGCTGGGCATGGGCCCAGGAGGCACATTCCCTCCCAATTCCTGCAAGGTCCCGAGCCGTGGGCAGGGCAGGGCTGGCCGGAGCTCTGGAAGCTCATTTGGTTGCTGACTGGGGTGAGGGTGTTAGCTCTTCCAGATGCCAGGACATGAGACAAAGGAAAGGTAATCTCCCAAGAACTGGGCCAGGCTGAGGCTCAGGCAGAACACAGGATGTGAATTCACTGGGAGGCACAGCAAAGGCAGGCGAAGGAAGGCCTCCTTGTCTGCACCTGGCTACTGCCTCCTACCTGCAAAACAGAAGCTACTGCCAGGCTGGCCGGGGCCCAGCCCTGAGGAGGAAACTGAACAGGATCATTCGCCTAGAGTGATTGTCAGCGGGTTCACCAGACACCTTTCTCTGCTGGAGAAAGGATGCCTCTAAAGAAAAGAGGCCACTCTGTTAGCCTCTCCAAAACTGCGGCTTCCTGGACAGAAGTCAGGGATGCAGAGCACAGGCTAGTATTTATTAGGCAGCTACTAGGTACCAGGCTCTGTGCTAAACATTTTGCTTTTCTAATTTATTTGGAACAATATAGATTAATAATCATTATGACAGCTAATATTTCTTGAGTGTCTACCAGGGATCTGACATCAATTCCTTTAATCCTCCCAAACCTCCCTATCTATGGGTTGAGGGAAACTATGCCTTATCTGCAATTTTGCTATAAATCACCCAGCCAGCGAATGCCCCAGTGGGGATTTGAACTACACACCATCTCCTCATAACCACTGATTTTCCTGACAAATCCTGGCTGTAGATTCTGTGACGCCCTATGCCAGGGTCTTTGAAAAAGTTCCTACCGCTCCGAATTACCCATTTTGTCCCAAAGCCCCCACCTCGGCCTGCTTCCCGTTTCTGCCCTGGCTCCTTGGGGCCTCTAAGACTGGAGTCTCAAAGCGGCTCTGTCCCTAGAGGGTGGTTGTCCCTTCGCCCGCTCTGGGTTTGTTATGACGTACTGGTCGGCAGCCCCAGGCCGCAGAGGTTGCCCAAGACAATCATGCTTTTCTGAGAGGCAGGCTGTGCTGCGAGTCTCAGGCCGCAGCCGCACACACAATGCCCTCTGTCTCCGCTGGGGCAGAAAGGCGCATTATTGCGGGTCAGGTGACTCTGGCTCCACTGGCCGTGATGTTTGTGCTCCACATCTCCCACGAGGCACCTCCCCACGATGGCAAGCATGGCCAGGGGCTGGGCAGGGAGGGGGCACAGGGGCACTCAGGGCCTGGGTGTCCCTTCCCCTGGAGGTCCCTGCCTCACTTCCCCTATCAGACCTGTCCCTCACCCTCCATCCCCACCTGTAGGTCCTTCCCCTGGGTCCCAGGTCTCCCTCTCCTAAGCCTTTTGAGTGCTAGAATTTATTTATTTACTTGTGACAAGGTCTCACTCTATCGCCCAGGCTGGAGGGCAGTGGCATGATCTCAGCTCACTGCAACCTCTGTCTCCTGGGTTCAAGCGATTCTCGTGCTCAGCCTCCCCAGTAGCTGGGACTACAGGCATGTGCCACCACGCTCAGCTAATTTTTGTATTTTTAGTAGAGACAGGGTTTCACCATGTTGGCCACGCTGGTCTCAAAGTCCTGACCTCAAGTGATCCGCCTGCTTTGGCCTCCCAAAGTGCTGGGATTACAGGTGTGAACCACTGCGCCCGGCCTAGAATTTAAATTCCTCTGGGAAAGCACACAGCACCGTGCCTGGCACAGTATGCCCTCCACAACATGGCTTTCTCTTCTGTTTTCCTCTTCCAGTTTCTCATGTTTGGACTTTGTGCAGGTTGGAGATAATTTTGTCATCAGGAATTTTGACAGAGACCCTGAAAACAGCTGTGTTCTTAATAACAATAACAGCCACAGTTTACTAAGCCCTTAGCATGTGGCTGGCAGTGGGCCAAACCCATGGAATCCTCACAACAGGCCTGGGAAGGCGATGCTCTTCCCAGTCCCACTTTAAGAAACAGAGGCTCCTAGCACTTGAGTGACTTGCCCAGGGCGGTGACGCTGGGTGGTGGAGCTGGATTCAGACTCAGTTCCATGCTCCTGACCGGTGTGCTATCGTGCCTGTGTTACTTTCTCAGGGACGTTCTAACAAGCCACCAACATTGGGTGGCTTAGAACATTTACTGTCCCATAGTATGGGAGGCTTGAAGTCTGAGATCAAGGTGTTGGCAGGGTTAGTTCCTTCTGAGGGCTGTGAAGGAGAATCTGACCCAGGCTGCGGGTACACATTCACATGTTTTATTTCACATAGCCACACACATACATGTTTACACACAGTTGTACACATGTGCTTACACAACCACACATACATGCTCTGACCCAGCTTTGGGCGCTTGCTGGCCATCTTTGCTGCTCCGTGGCTTGCAGATGCATCACCCCATATCTGCCCTTATCTTCATAAGGTGTCCTCCCTATGTGTGTGTCTCGAAGTCTAAATTTCCCCCTAAAATTAGGACATCAATCGTACTGGATCAGGGCCCACCCTAACAACCCCATTTTAACTTGATCATCAGCAAAGTCCCTATTTTCAAATAAAGTCACACTCACAGGTACTGGGAGTTAGGACTTCAGTATCTTTTGGGGGGATACAATTCAACCCACAACAGGGCCCTTCCCTGCTTTGTACCTTTGTGGCTTGGGCTTTCTTAGGAGCATTAAAAGGAAGTGGTGCGGCCGGGTGCTGTGGCTCATGCTTGTAATCCCAGCACTTTGGGAGGCTGAGGAAGGCAGATCACAAGGTCGGGAGTTTAAGACCAGCCTAGCCAACATGGTGAAACCCCATCTCCACTAAAAATATAAAAAATTAGCTGGGCGTGGTGGCATGTGCCTCTAATCCCAGCTACTCAGGAGGCGGAGGCAGGAGAATTGCTTGAACCCGAGAGGTGGAGGTTGCAGTGAGCTGAGATCAAGCCACTGTGCTCCAGCCTGGGCAACAGAGCAAGACTCTGTCTCAGAGGGAAAAAAAAAAAAAAAAAGAAGTGATGCTACCCTCAGCTCCAAGGGCAAGATAAGCCCCTTTCCAGGACTCCTTGCACTTGTTCACACAGTATACACACACACACACACACTCACATGCACTCACACACAGAGGTTCAGTAGCCTGGCAAGAACATCAATGCTCAGGATAGATGCTGAACTGCCACATTAACATCTGCATTCCATGGAGACAGTGGAACATCTGGCCAACATGAGGCATGGAGGGTGCCAGGTGCTCCAGCAGGATGAAGAGGAAACTGCCAGCAGTATAGACACTCGCCTTCCCAGCACAGCAGTTTGCACCAGACCACAACAAACCCACTCAAAATATTCTCCACGTCCCCTCCAATCCCCATACCTTCCCTCTATGCCTGCCCACTCCACCATCCCTTCCCTAGGCCTGGGCCCTCCCCACTCTCTGAGGTGGGAGAGGCTGGGGGCTGTGTCTCTGCAGCTCTAGCGTTTGTGTAGGAGTTACTACTTGTGGAGCATGCAGCGCAGAGGGAAACAGCTTGCCAGTGAGACGCAGACACTTCCATCTCCACCTCCAGCTGCACCGAATCAGCTTACATGGTTAATGACTGTTCCTGCTGGGGCTCACCGGACCAGCCCCTACTGTCTGCTGTGGGTGGGTCCAGGAAAGGCCTCCTCCAGGGGTAGCAATGCTGTACCCGAGCTCTGGGCCTGGTGGGTACTTGCCCTGAGGACTTCAGACCCAGGCATGGTGGTGCTCCTCAAGCGACCAGCACCTTGGGCCTTCTCTCCAAGCTCCAGGCCCAGCTGCACTCCAGGCCTGCCCCTGCCTCCTCTCCTCCCCCTGCTCCTGCTCCCACGGCTTTTTGTCTCCTCAGGGGCTCCTCCACCTCTGCAATTGGTTTCTTCCAGGCCAGGCCTCCCAGGCCTCAGGTGCACATCCACACATGCTTTATTTCACATGGTCTCACACATACATGTTCACACGCATTCATACACATGTGCCTTACACAACCACACATGCATGCTCATACACACGCACACACACTTTACACAGTCATACACGGTGTTGACACACTCACATGTGTGCTTTACATAGTCACACATTCACACACATGCTGTATAGTCTTACACGTGCATATTCACACACACGTGTGTTACACAGTCACACACAGTCACATGCTCACACACACTCACACAGGCCTGCATTCTCGCACATGTGCACACATGCACTTAGGTACTTACGTTATTTCTCTAAGTCTGCTTTCTTAGTTGGAACATGAGGATAATTTATTTTCCCATACCCATTTCACAGAGTTGCTAAACTGAAAAAGAGAGTTGAAAGATATCGACTGGCATAAATGAGGCATTTGTTATTATTTATTACAAAATTCAATTTTATTTACATTTAAAAATATGGCCGGGTGCAGTGGCTCATGCCTGTAATCCCAGCACTTTGGGAGGCCGAGGTGGGCGGATCACCTGAGGTCAGGAGTTTGAGACCAGCCTGGCCAACACGGTGAAAGCCTGTCTCTACTAAAAATACAAAACAATCAGCCGGGCATGGTGGTGTGCGCCTCTGTCCTAGCTACTCGGGGGCTGAGACGGGAGAATCGCTTGAACCCGCGAAGCAGAGGTTGCAGTGAGCTGAGATCATACCACTGCACTCCAGCTTGGGTGACAGAGTGGGACTCCGTCTCAAAAAAATAAAAAATAAAATCAATCAATCAATCAATCACACAGTCACATGATTCAAAATTCAAAAGGTAGGGTCAGTCGTGGTGGCACGTGCCTGTAGTCCCAGCTACTCAGGAGGCTGTGGTGGGAGGATTGCTTGAGCCCAGGAGTCTGAGGCTGCAGTGAGCTATGATAGCAACACTGCACTCCAGCCTGGGTGGCAGAGCAAGACCCTGTCTCAAAAAAAAAAAAAGTAGAAAAGTGGTTTCCCTACTATGTGTCTCCAAATCACGTGGTTTTCTTCCCCACAATTAGTGTTACCAGATTCTTCTATTTCTATCAGGAGAGAATTTTACATGTACAAATAACTACATATGTATGTACTCTTCTTCCTTTTTTTTTTTCACAAATGTACACAACATACTGTGTGTGCCTTACTTTTCTCACTTAACAGTACATCTTGGCTGGGCGTGGTGTCTCACACCTGTAATCCCAGCACTTTGGGAGGCCGAGGCGGGCGGATCCCTTGAGGCCAGGAGTTCGAGACCAGCCTGGCCAACATGGTGAAACCCCGTTCTCTACTAAAACATGCAAAAATTAACTGGGCATGGTGGCACAGGCCTGTAATCCCAGCTACTCAGGTGGCTGAGGCATGAGAATCACTTTAACCCGGAAGGTGGAGGTTGCAGTGGGCCGAGATCATGCCACTGCACTCCAGCCTAGGCGACAGAGCAAGACTCCATCTCAAAAAAAAAAAAGAAAACAGACAAAAAAAACAAAAAACAAAAAACAGTACATCTGGAGAGTGTTCTGCATCAGCACATAAAGGGCTTCTGCATTGTTTTATGGCCATAGTAAATTCCATTATATGTAAGTACCATCATTTATTTAACCCAATACTCAATAAACAGGACATTTAGGTTGTTTCCAACATTTTGCTATTTCAAACAAAGCTGGAGTGAAAACCCCTGGATAGACATCCTTTCTCACAGATGTGAGTGTATCCACTAATATTTGAATATATAAAATGGACACCAAAAGCTGCTTTTCTTGGTGTCTGAGTCTCTTTTCCTCCTTAATAGGCACTCACTTGTACAACTTCAGACGGCAAGAAGTCTGGTGGGCATTACTAGGTTGATGCCAAAGTAACTGTGGTTTTTGCCCTTATTTAAAAAAAAAAAAGACAAAAACCACAATTACTTTTGCAACAACCTAATACATACACTGGAGGGCCCTGGGTTGTCCTAGTTCCCTAAACCAACCCAAGAGGACCTTGCTTTGGCTGAAGAGACTGAAGAGACAATCCTTTCCTTTGATTCTCAGCATTTCAGTTGGATTTAGTCTAAATGTAATGAGCTGACGCTGCTTGCATGCAGAAGGACAGAGGTGAGTAAGTTACAGACCTGCTGAGGAGAAGGGCGTTTGCAAACCAAAGAGCATATCAATTCTGCATGTGCCTAGTGCTTCATTCAGTCACCTGCGGTCTTCCAGGCACGGTGCTGGGCATGAAGATGCAGTGGAGACAAGACAAGGTAGGTTCTCCCCTCATAGAGCCTGCAGTCATATATATGATGGAGACAGGCACAGAGCAGACATGATATGAGCTATGACGGAAAAGCAGGAGGAGAAAGAACATTCCTCAGCTTAGGTCAACCCAGCATTTGGAGGCAGAAGGTGGCACCCCTCGGCTCTCTTTCCCGAAGCTCCTTCAGGTTTTCCCTAGAGCCTATGGCTCTTTCCCTAGGGTCTTTTGCCCTGGTTTTCTTTTGACCTCCTGACATCCTTTTTCTCGATTGCTCTGGACAAGTGGAAGCCTGCAAGGCTGTGTTGGGGAGGCGGCTGCTGCCAGCCTGGCACTTCTGGAGCTGCAGCGGCATCTCAGCCTTTTAGCAGTGTTGCCAACATCAGCCTCCGCACACCTTAGTCAGCAGTGAGAGTGGGAGCTGGAAGCGAGGAAAACTTCAGCTGCTACCCACTGCCCTTCCCAGCGGGGCTGGCTGGCGACTGGGAAGTCAGGGAAGAGCTGCCTTCCCCTTCTGCCATGCAGCAGCTCCACCTGCTTGGCGTCCTGTGCTTATAGGAGCTGGCTCACCCTTCCTGACATACAGGAAGGCAGCAATCTGATAAAATGGGTTGCACCAAGGTGTCAGCTGCTTAATGTGGTGGCCCTCCCAGGAAGATATTTGTGGAGAGATTTGCTTAACTGCAAAGGTGTGAATTACTGATTACAGAGGCAAGTCAGGCAGGTGGGAAGAATTTATTTGGGTGGATCACAGGGGACCTTCCCATACTGGCAACGATTGACTTCATTTAGGATGATATTCTCCATAATCTGTGCCCTGATATTATTGTTGTTTTAATTGTGAGAAATTTGTAGAAATTAAACATTTGCATAAGTGTGGGAGATTCTGAGCCCTCGTATTCATCAAACACCTTTGTAACCAGGTATTCTCCACAGCTGATCAAAGGTCGTCTCCCTTATGACAGTGGACCCATAGAGAGGGAACTGTGGTGCTGTCACACTGAGTGAACAATATTGACAAAGTCATAATCATGTAAACATAGTGTATAGGTTTTCAACCTCTAAAATCAATCTATGGTAAAATAAGAAAGACTGAATTAAATGTTATCAACCACAATGATATAAATATAGAAGTAAAACTAACAGAAGTTGGGGATAGGAGGGGACGTCTTGGTAGAAAGACAGATAAGAGTTCAAGTTAACTTATTTTACAAGAGGAGACTATTGAAATTTGACCCAACCAGAAATCAAGCGAGCTTTAAGTACATAGTTAAATGTTACAAAGATAACCAATAGAATAACTGAAAATTGTAAAGTATTAAAAACAAGAGGATTAGAAAGAAAGGTGGGGGTTGGGTGACTGATCTAAAACCTCATTTTAGGCTAGGCACAGGGGCTCATGCCTGTAATGCCAACACTTTGGAGGCTGAGGTGGGTGGATTGCTTTGAGGCCAGGAGTTTGAGACCAGCCTGGGTAATATAGTGAGACCTTGTGTCTACAAAAAAAATTTTTTTTAATTAGCTGATTGTGGTGGTATGTACCTGTAGTCCCAGCTACTTGAGAGGCTGAGGTGGGAGGATCGCTTGAGCCCAGCAGGTAGAGGTTGCAATGAGCAGAGATATCACCACTCTACTCTAGCCTGGGTGATACAGTGAGACCCTATCTCAAAAATAAAATAAAATTAAATTAAATTAAATTAAATTAAATTTTAAAAACACCCTCATCTGCCCCGGTGCGGTGGCTCACGCCTGTAGTCCCAGCACTTTGGGAGGCCGAGGCGGGTGGATTACGAGGTCAGGAGATCGAGACCATCCTGGCTAACATGGTGAAACCCCATCTCTACTAAAAATACAAAAAAAAAATGAGCTGGGCGTGGTGGCGGGCGCCTGTAGTCCCAGCTACTCGGGAGGCTGAGGCAGGAGAATGGCGTGAACCCGGGAGGTGGAGCTTGCAGTGAGCCGAGATTGCGCCACTGCACTCCAGCCTGGGCAACAGAGCGAGACTCCATCTCAAAAACAAACAAAACAAAACAAAACACCCTCATCTTTCTTAGGCAGGAGTCGTAGATATCTGAAGTTGACAGATAAAAATTTAGTAGCAAATTACTTGGTGTTAGGGTAATGATGATCTAAAAGTAGAAAAATCATTTGTCCAGAGACAAATGATTGTCTCTGGAGAGGAGGCCCAGAGTAGGGCGGAGAATTATGGCTTTTTTCTATTCTTATTATATCATGTTTAAATGATGGGCAGGTTATATATTCATAAAACTTGCAGGCTGGGCGCGGTGGCTCACACCTGTAATCCCAGCACTTTAGGAAGTTGAAGTGGGCGGATCACAAGGTCAGGAGTTCGAGACCATCCTGGCCAACATGGTGTAACCCCGTCTCTACTAAACATACAAAAAATTAGCTGGGCATGGTGGCAGGTGCCTGTAATCCCAGATACTTGGGAGGCTGAGGCAGGAGAATTGCTTGAACCCAGGAGACGGAGGTTGCAGGGAGCCAAGATTGTGCCACTGCACTCCAGCCTGGGCGACAGAGTGAGACTCCGTCTCAAAAAACAAACAAACAAACAAACAAAAAAAAGTGCAAGAAGTACTTTTCCAATTTTCCACATTTTTCATAATGGGCATGTATGATAAGAGAATATATGAAAAGCTTGATGATTTTTTTTTTTGAGAGGGTCTCACTCTGTCATCCAGGCTGGAGTGCGGTGGTACCATGAAGGCTCACTGCAACCTCTGCCTCTCCGGCTCAAGCCATTCTCTCACCTCAGTCTCCCGAGTAGCTGGGACTATGGGTGAGCACCATCATGCCCAGCCAATTTTTGTGTTCTTTGTACAGACAGGGTTTCACCGTGTTGCCCAGGCTGGATTTTTTATTTAAAAAAACTTAAATTGTGATAAAACATAAAACTTACCATCTTATCAGTTTTTAAGTCTCTAGTTCAGTAGTGTTAACCATATGCACATTGTTATGTAATAGATTTCTGGAATTTTTTCATCTGGTAAAACTGAAACTCTGTATCCACCAAAGACTAACTCCCTGTTTCCCCTTCCCCTCAGCCTCTGGAAACCACCATTCTACTTTCTGTTTCTATGAGTTTGACTACTTTAGATACCTTATGTAGATGGAATACTGCAATATTTGTCTTTTGTGACTGGCTTATTTCATGTAGCATATTATCCTCAAATGTCATCCGTGTTGTAGCATTGACAGGATTTTTCTTCCTGAATAATGTTTCAGGAATATTCTTCTCAAATAATATTGCTGAATAATATTTCATTGTATACATATATCATATTTTCTTTTAATTTTTAAATTAAATTTTTTTTTTGAGACAGAGTCTTGTTCTGTCGCCCAGGCTGGAGTGCAGTGGCATGATCTCAGCTCACTGCAACCTCCACATCCCAGGTTCAAGTGATTCTCCTGCCTCAGCCTCCTTAGTAGCTGGGACTACAGGTGTGCGCCACCACACCCAACTAATTTTGTATTTTTAGTAGAGACGAGGTTTTACCGTGTTGGCCAGGCTGGTCTCAAATTCCTGACCTTGTGATCTGCCCACCTCGGCCTCCCAAAGTGCTAGGATTACAGGCATGAGCCACTGCGCCTGGCCCATATTTTCTTTATCCATCCAACCATCCATGGACATTTGAGTTTTTCCCCCTTATTGGCTATCGTGAATAATGCTGCAATGAATATGGCTGTGAAAGCTTAATTTATTTTTTTAAAAAGGACACCTCCAAATAGATGTGGAAGCTATGGTCAGAGAAAGCTCAGAACTTGTGTAAGTCCCTCCTGTGCCAGTGCAAGCCCGGGCATGAGCTCAGGTCCTGCCTTCACCCTCCTCACAGCTGGGAGTTGGTCAAGGTCCTACCTCTTGGGATGGTTCACCCTGTAAGCTAGAGGAAGAGTGAGACAGGGAAGGTGCACAGAAAGGAGCCAAGTTGACATCAGCCTGGCACATGGTCCTCTTTGTCATCCATCAGCCTCTGCAGTATTTCCCACAGTCGGGTTCTCCCAGCCCTGTCCCCACCAGCCCAGTGCCCTGGTCTGGCTTCTGGTGGCTGTGAGCAGCTGGGATCTGAGTTTAATGGAAGTAACCATCTTATTTTCTTATAAATTCACTGTTTCTTTTAGTCTTTTCAGGACTAGTTTAGGTCTCTCTTGGGTTAGCAGAACCCATCCATCTAGTCACTGGCTGTCCTGATAGAGCAGGTCCCTTTCTAGGCTGGAGGCTGTGGGTGGGGCCCAGCATCACTCCTACTATCTAGCTTGGATGGTTTCCCACTGTGTTAGGTGGCAGCTTGTTCCTGGACAGGAAATTATTTAAGTTCAGCTTTTCCTCTGCTGATCTGGGAGGCACTCAGTTAACACACACATAACTGAAATCCTGGAGGGACTGGACTATTGATGGACATGGACGTGTGACTTTGGGTCCTCAGGCACAGCGTGAGATACTTTCCATAGAAGAGGAAGAGTATGGGATGTGGGGTCTCCAAAATCATGGGGGAGATTTCCTGTGGGGCTATTGGAAGGTGTGGAAGGTATTTCCTTCCTCACTGGACCATGGTTTTGGGGCCACCTGGTAGCCTCAGATGACCTTTTTTGAAGTCCTTTTCCGAGGCAGTGACTCTCAGAATTCTGAACACTTGCCAGAGTTCAGGCAGCTGGTGTCTGTGTCTAGGAAGAAGGTTGACACTATGGTCTCCCCTGTTTCCCATTCTACACCATCTGCTTTTCCTGGCTTGATCACCGATTGGGATGTTCTGTTCTAATTTATCCTGTCTTTTTCTCTTCCAAGCCCTGGAGGTAGGTAAAGGAAGGATGTTCACTGAGGCTTAGTGTGTAACATACAGTCACTAGCTGCATTTGGCTATTGAAATTTTAAACCAGTTTCAGTTAAATAGAATAAAAAATTCAGTTCCTCAGTTGCACCCAGTTGCCACAGTGCTCAATAGTCACATGTGGCAATGGGCATTGCAGATGTAGAACATTTCACCATCGTGGAAAATTCTGTAGGACATTGCTGCCCTGAGCCTCTGCTCCCTTTTCTCCTCTATTATTCTGACCTGGAGAATTGGAAGCTGCTACTCCATTAGGCTGTGGGGCCCGGAACTCACTGCCTATTGAGAATTCAAAAGCAGAGAATGAGCAGGGTGGAAATGCCTTCAATATCCACTTAATATTCAGTCCAGGGCAGCGTTAGGCTCTGAAGTCTTCTGAGTGTGACATCTATAGTTTAAAAGCTGCCCCCCAAGCCCTTTGAGTTCTGGCCTGCAGCAGGGATTTCTGTTCTGCTTACCTGCTCATCACCAAATCCATTTAAGGCACCTTCTCGGCTGTGAGCATGTGCCAGCCTAACCTGGTCTTCTGATCTCGGTTCCTTTCCTAAAACACCACATGACCTTGGATGTTTATGCTGGTGCCACCCCTGCTGCAGTGCCTTGTGGTAGGCAGCTGTCTGTACACAGGCTCTCCTGGGAATTCTTTTTACTCTGTGAAAAGATTCTGGCCACTGGGGTTGGCAGGAAGCAGGGACCTGTGTCTTTCTGGGGAGTTTGTAACAGGGATGAGGTTTTCCAGAACAAGATATCATAGCCTTGCTTTCTTCCCCAGACCAGCCAGAGGTTGTCCTTTTAGTCTTTTGGGTCCACTCCCATGGCACCATTTATTTCCTATGTGACAGCCAACTTCAGGCCTCCCCAGGGAACCCATTTCACCTGCTTTGTCTAGGATATCAAGAAGGAGCTAAGAAGAGAGGCCAGAGAGAAACTTCCTCTCTTTCTACTGGGTTGCTAAGCTCAGAGACTATGAGTGTAGGGTTGCCAGAAGCCATCCTCCTTGCCTTACCAGGAGAGCCAGCCTGTGAAGTAGATCTCAGTAGAGTAGCAAAAGGGAGAGAAAAGGGAGCCCTGAAATATTATCAGGGCTCCTAGAACGAACTGTGTTGTAATACTTTGCAAATGAATAGACCTCTATGCCTAGACTTTGCAGTTATGAGACCATCAATGCCCTTTCTGTTTAAGTTAGTTTGAGTTGAGTCTCTGTCATTTGCTGCGAAAGTATTAGGGTCACCAGGCCAGAAAATTTTTGGGGAGGATGCCTCTGTTTGAAGACCAAGTTCAGGTTGTGGCCAGACTGAAATTACAAGTGACCCAGAGGCCAATCTTATTCACGGGTTTGCCTTCCTGAAACTCTTCTGCTCTGGATATTTCCTTCTCTTCAGCTCCCCAAATCCTCCCCATCAGTCAAGACCCTGGTTAGACTCCTCCCCGTCCAAAGCCTTCTCTGACCATCTCTGCCTGCACTGAACTCTCTACCTTTTGCCTTCTATTACCAATTATGATTATCAAGGAATTGTGAACTGTCTTATAGGATGTCTGCTTTCATTGTGTAGCATGGCACTTTAATAATTTTACTGTTTACAGTTTGCTACCTTCTCCCACCAGGTCAATGTCAGAGACAGGGTCTGATGCTTTTGTGTTCCTGGCAGGAGCCAGCATAATGTCTGGCATATAACAGACCTCATTGAATGTTTGGGGATTAGAAAATTAGTGGAAACATGATTTTAAGGTAGAAAACAGCTGGGATCTCATCATGTGAGAGCTATTGCAATGTGTATACAGCTCTTTTTAGTTGAGAGATAAGCACTCAACTTAAGCGCCCAGAATGACAGTGGGTTGCATTCCTCTATTAAGGCTATCTGGTCTCTTACCAGAGAACTCTTTCATATCAGGGAGTGGGGCTGGAGGAAGGGGAAGAGTAGGGACAGGGGGAGGGTAGGAGTGGCTCTGAATCAGCTCCTCTTTGGAGCTCCAGAATTGCCTCAGGAGCCACACTGGAGAAACTGGAATACTCATTCCACTGTCACTCTTCATTCTGGATCCAGTTTAAACAGCTGGAGATGACATTTCCACCAGACGTGGGTCTGAATGGCATTCTGCTATTTCCCATACATCCTGCCCCAACATTAAGCAGTCCAGGATTTGCCAGCATTGAAGCCATTAAAAATAATTTAAATAACTTTTGAGTGACAAGAAGATCCTTGAGATAAGCCTATATCCTCGTTCTTTGAAAACAATACTATTTGAGTATATGGATTCTGGGTCATCATTAAAAAGGGAGAGAATCTCTCTCCTCCTTTCAAGTGTGATAATAGTCACACCTGAAAATGCGGCACCGTTAGGCCCTAAACTATTCTCTAATTGTTTTCTGGCTCTTCTCTTTTTGATTTGGTTATAAATTTCCCTCCTGGGGAAATATCATGTCTTATACTAAGTGTACATCTCCCAGCAACCAGGATGCTCAATAAGTGACTATTGGATGAATGCATATTTACCTAGACAAACAAACAACAAAACCCCCTAACATTTATTAAGCACTTACTATATCCAAGGCACATACTAAGTACTTTACTGCTATTATTTCATTCTTAGAGATGTATATGTGTGAAAATCACAAAGGGAAAAAATAATTATATTAGGGTGACTTCTAGGGCTTCTTTCAGCTATAAGATGCCCTGACTTGATGTGGCATTAAGGAAACTAAGATATTGAGGTGGGGCTTGGGAACCTAACACTTATCAGCAGAACTATAAATAATATTATTAGCGACCTCTTTCTGTGAGCTAGGAACTATGCCAAGTATCTTAAAAATATTTTCTCATTTATTCCCAAACAGCAACACTATATGATAGGCACTACTGCTAACCCCATTTTTAGAAGGGGAGAGTGAGGCACGAGGAGATTAAGTGGCTAGTCTAAGAAGCAGTGCTAGCACCCAGGGCTATGGTGTCTTAACCACCATGCTCCTGAAGAGACACCAAAGCCCTCCATACCTGAGAAGGTGTATTTCCACTGGGCCACAGGGATGCAGGGGAGGGGGAGGAGGGAACGTTGCCATAGAAACAGCAGGATCCTCTCTCAGGAGGGTTGGCACATAGGGCAGCTGGGGCTGAGGAAGGCTCTGGAGATAATTCCGGGGCATCCAGCCTCTTTAGATCTGCAAGAGTCTGTGAGCCCAGTAGGAAGCCAACTCCCCACTCCACTCAGCAGCACTTGGTAAACCTCAGCTTTGCTCCCCAGAAGGGTAGGACAGGATGTTCTTTGAGTTATAGCAGCAGGACTATTAGGCAGCAGAGCTGTGATTAGGGCATAAAAGTCTGTGGTTGCCAGGCACAAACCGTGCTTCACCTTTTATAGCCAGCTAGCTTGAGATGTCAAAAGTATTTAGAGACTTTTGCTTTTTTTCTCTACTCATCAACTTTATGACCCTAAACGCATTCTTCCTTCTCTTTCTGTCACACATTTACCAGTCCCTGAACCGAGTTTGTAACTCACTTGTGAGTCTAGAAGGCTTTCTGAAGAGCTTTAAGTTATTTCAAATCAGATTGGTTGGGCAGAGTAGAGAGTGGGGGCATTTCTTTCTTTCCTTCTTTTTTTTTTTTTTTTTTTTTTTGAGACAGAGTCTTGCTCTGTCGCCCAGGCTGGAGTGCAGTGGCGCGATCTCGGCTCACTGCAAACTTCGCCTCCCTGGTTCAAGCAATTCTCTGCCTCAGCCTCCCGGGATTCCAGGCACCCGGCACCACACCCAGGTAATTTTTGTATTTTTAGTAGAGACAGGGTTTCACCTTCTTGGCCAGGCTGGTCTCGAACTCCTGACCTTGTGATCCACCCACCTCAGCCTCCAAAGTGCTGAGATTACAGGTGTGAGCCATTATGCCAGGTAGGGGCATTTCTTTTTTGGGTTTATTTTGCTTCAGTTACTCCCAGCTTCTCTGCTCTGGCCTAGTGGCTGGCTCCTTGGGAGCTGGGGTGGGGTATTTTGGTGGTAGAATGGTGGCTAAGAGCATAGGTTTAGGCTGCAGAGGGTCCTGGGTCATGTCCTGACTCTACCATTAAGGACCACATGACTTGGGACCTGTGACTTAACCTCTCTGAGTCTCAATGTTCTCATCTGTAAAATGAGAGAGAATGATCACCTGCCTCAAATGATTGTTTTGAAGATGGGGTGAGAATACTTATGAAGCCCTTAGCCCTGTTCCTGTCACCATTCTATCCCCTAATTTTCTCAGCAGACCTAAGACAGCCACAGGCCTGGGATGAGGGTATCTGAAGGAGGGTTTATGAAGCCAGGTTTTTCTCCCTAGATAAACTTGGAGGTCAAGGATAAAGACAGCTTGTTGTAGCAGAAAGATCCAGTTTGAGGTTTCTTAAGCTGGTAGAATCCAAGACTCGCAGGATTAGAAGAGATCCTGGAAATCCTGTAAGACTGAGAAGATGGCAGCTTTGTTGCAGGAAGGTGGAAAAGATAGTGAACCAGGATGACCTCCACAAAGTACCACTCATGAAGGCAATTGAGGTTTTGATGGGAGTGCCTGGAGGCCAAGAGTAGGATGGGGCCATGTGGGGTCTTTGAGCTCAGTCACTGTTCGAGTGAAAGCACAAAGTTACTTTATCCTCCCTTGGACCAATTCCTCATTTTTCCAGGAGGAGTTGCTGGTGACTTAGGAAACCTGATGGAATAGGTCCCAGTTGCCCTAATCGGGTTATAACCAACCCATGTTTCCCGTATGGCCTGGCACAGAAACCAAAAGAAGGTTGTGCAGATCTGGGGGTCACAGCTGTCCTGTCCTCTTTGAACAAACTAGAGAAGGCTAAGAGGAAAACATCAACAACCAAAATTACAGTCAGGAAGAAGTGCCTCCATCTGCAAGTAACTGGGCAATTACCTGCTAATTAAGCTCTCAGTTTGTTTTCTGAGGCTTAAAGTGTAGTACTTGGTAGATGTGCCCTGCCCTGCTTGTCACCAAGGTGTTGAAGATGAAGCATTTCACATGAATCAAGATGGAACTCTTCCATCTGATTAAATATAATAGCTTGATTTATTTCAACATCATGAGGTCTTAAAAGCAATGCCCTTTTATAGTTGGAGCACTGGGAGGGATTGCAGGGTTTTGAGTCCTCTGTATCTGCGGGTGGCGGTGGGGGAAGAGAACGCACCAAGAAGGGAATAGACACGCAGAATACACACCAGTGTTTGTCAAAGTATGGACTGTGGATTTATCTCTTTTGCATCTGAATCACCTGCCCATTATGAATACAGATTCCTGGGTCCACATCGGTCCCAAGTCAGACATTTTCCACATGATTCTTCAGAACATCCAGGTCTGAAAATCTCAGGTAGGGGTGGAAAGTCTTCTGGGGATATTAACATTGATCTATGAAGTCCACAGACCAATCAAAACACCATTTCAGCCAATAGTGTCTACACATACCCCAGGAAATCTTTTGCTTTAGCATTAAACAGATGATGGTTCCATGTTTATACCTCATCTCCCTATAGGTGGAGATGCAAATAGAAAAGCAGCCCAGCATCCCGAAGCCAGCGAAGAAACAGCACGCCTGTGTAAAAATTAACCCCCAGATCATCAAAGGCAGGCGTCTGCGTGCCAACTCCCTAGTCTCAGGTGTTGTAAATGCTGACTACTGCCAGTTTATCTACTGATAACGAAGGTGAACATAAGCAATCTCCAGAAATCGTTCACATGGGGCTCCCAGGTTCTTGAAAAACCACAAGAGATTGACAAATGCTTCTATTGTAGACACAAATGCAAACAAACAGCTCATTTCCTCAAGAGCTCCCCACTGCAGTGGCTGTAAACAGTATAGGGAAGGAGGGGAGAAGTCTTCTTTTCCCTTCCCCCACAGCTTCTTCCCCTTTCTGATGTCAGATTTTTCTGACACTAAGAAGTCCAGACTAGGGGAAAGAAGCTATTAATACAGAACTTCAGGAAGGGGATCCCCTTCCCCCAGAGGCCGCAGTTCTTTCAAAGTTTGTTACAAACCCTCCTTTTTTCTAGTTTCAGAGAGTCTGGGGCCCTAAAGCTTTGAATCCCTGAGTCTTCTGAGACATTGTGTTACAGTGCTTCTCAAACTTCATTCAGTGTGCTCTGGTGAAACACAGAGCTGGGTCCTGCCCACCAAAGATTCCAGCAGATTGTAATAGATTGTGATTATAGGCAGCCCCCAATACTCAGGAACAGGGGGTAGTAGCTCACATTAAATTAAAAAAATGCGGCCGGGTGCTGTGGCTCACGCCTGTAATCCCAGCACTTTGGGAGACCAAGGCGGGAGGATCACCTGAGGTCAGGAGTTCAAGACCTGCCTGGCCAACATGGTGAAACCCCACCTCTAGAAAAAATACAAAAATTAGCCGGGCATGATGGCGGTGCCTATAATCCCAGCTACTTGGGAGGATGAGGTGGAAGAATCGCTTGAACCCGGGAAGTGGAGGTTGCAGTGAGCCAAGATCGTGCCATTGCACTCCAGCCTGGGCGACAAGAGCGAAACTCCTTCTCAAAAAAAAAAAATGTTTTATTGAGATATATTTCACATACCATACGATCCTCCCATTTAAAGGTTTTTTTTTTTTTTTTTTTTTTTTTTTTTTTGGAGACGAGGGAGTCTCGCTCTGTCACCCAGGCTGGAGTGCAATGGCACGATCTTGGCTCACTGCAACCTCCACCTCCTGGGTTCAAGCAATTCTCCTGCCTCAGCCTCCTGAGTAGCTGGGAATAAAGGTGCATTCCACCACACCCGGCTACTTTTTGTATTTTTAGTAGAGACGGGGTTTCACTATATTGGTCATTTAAAGTTTTTTAGTATATTCAGAGTAGTGCAACCATCAGAATATTTTACAAGATTTGTATCACTCCTAAAAAGAACCCTGAACCCGTCAGCAGTCTCTCCCTATTTCTTCTAACTTTCCTCAATCCCAGCCCCAGCCCCAGGAAACCAGGAATCTACTTTCTCTCCGTATGGATTTGCCTATTCTGGAGAGTTCATATAAACGGAAGTATACAGCATTTGACCTTTTGTGACTGGCTTCTTTCACTTACTATAATGTTTTCAGTGTTCATCTATGCATCAATACTTCATTCCTTTTTATGGCTGAATAATATTCCACTGTACAGATACACCACATTTTGTTTATTCATTCATCAGCTGATGAACATTTAGGTTGTTTTTCTTTTTTTTGAGACAGAGTCTTGCCTTGTCATCCATGCTAGAGTGCAGTGGCATGATCATAGCTCACTGCAGCACTGACCTGGGCTCAAGCTATCCTGCTGCCTCAGCCTCCCAAGTAACTGAGACTGCAGGAAAGCACCACAACACCCAGCTAATTAAAAAAAATTTTTTTTTTGTAGAGGTGGGGTGGGGTCTTGTTATGTTGACTAGGCTGGTCCTGAACTCCTGGGCTCAAGTGATCCTCCCACCTTGGCTTCCCAAAGTGCTGGGAATGCAGATGTGAGCCACCACTCCTGGCCTGGTTGTTTCTACTTTTTGGTTTTTATGTATTAGCCATGAATTAATGCTGCCATGAACAGTTGTGTACAACTTTTTGTATGAACAGGTGTTTTCGTTTCTCCTAGGTATATAGCTAGCAGTGAAATTGTGGAGTCAAGTAGTAAATCTATGTTTAACCTGTTGAATTGCGCCACTGCACTCCAGTCTGAGTGACACAGTGAGGTCCTGTCTCAAAAAAACAAAACCAAGAAACACCTTTTGAGAAACTGCCAGACTGTTTTCCAAAGCAGCTGCACCACTTTACATTTCTGCCAGCAGTGCAAGAGGGTTTCAATTTCTCCACATCCTGGCCAACATTTATTATTACCTGCCTTTGATTATCGGCATCCCAGTGGGTATGAAATGGTATTTCACTATGTTTTTAATTTGCATTTTCCTGATGGCGAACACTATTGGGCATCTTTTCTCATGCTTATTGGCCATTTGTATGTTTTCTTTGGAGAAATGTATATTCGGATCCTTTGTCCATTTTTAAACTGGGTTATTTGCCTTTATTAAATTGTAGGAGTTCTTTATGTATTTCCGTAAGTTTCTTATCAGATATATGAATTGCAAAAATTTCCCCCCATTTTTTGGGTTGTCTTTTCACTTGATGTCCTTTGATGCATAAAAGTTTTAAATTTTGGTGAAGTCCAATTTATCTTTTTCTTTCCTTTGTTGCATGTGGCTCACATTTTTGAGAAATGTTGCTAAAATGCAACTTGGAACTCTGGAAGCTTTGAGATCTCAGAGCTTGGTGGGGCTTTTCAGGTCACTTTTGAGGGGGATTTTCTCCATGTTTGAGGTTTCATTCCTCCATCCCAGCCAGGCATGGCTCCTCTGAGCCAGGAGCACAGAGCCCCAGGGAACCTTTACTAGGCTTACGTTCCCTCCCTCTCCTGAGGTCTGCCACAATAGAGCAGCTGAAATGACAGTCTGGAAATGTCCTTTATTGTGAAAACTCAATGGCTTTTGTCTCTGGGATTTGAAATTTTCATGCAAGTATTGGCAGCCAAGAATTAGGAAGGAGGAGGGGAAGAGATGGGGGAGTAAACCCTGCCACTAATTTCCATAGTGAATCATCTCAATTCTCTGTTGTCTTGGTTTTCTCATCCAAACAGTTGGGAAAATACCTCCATCTCCTCATCTCAGCTGGGGTACTGTGAAAGTGAGTTCACCTGTATTTGTTAGAACACCTTGAGATCTTGGATTAAAGGCATTGCTGAGACACAAGGTATTATAATAATAATAAATGATTTAATAGCAGGGTGAGGCCATTGCAACAAGAACTGGTAGGAAGAGGCTCCGAGCTGTGGAGGGGCTGCAGCCTGGAGCCCCTGGCCCTTGACACAGGGTTTTATTATCGGAGGAGAGACTGTGCGATTTCTCACAAACTCTTTAGATTGTTTCAGTTGAATTCAGCATTGTTTTACTGAGTGCTTCCTATATGACTTCTACCACAGGGAGATTACAATCTTTTTAGGAAGTAGGTGATATAAATTAAAACAATTATTAATAGAAACAATATATTATAATCAAGTGAATTGGGCATAACAAGTGTCAGAAAGAAACTGGAAGCAGTGATGGTGAAGGGCAGAATTCCCTGTTATGACTTCCAGGTCTACCACCCACTAGCTGTGTGACTTTGCCTCAGTTTCCTTTTCTGTTACTGCAATTGTTTTTGTAAAGTACTTAGAAGAATGGCTAATACATAGTAAGCACACTCATAGTAAGCACACACCCATCTAGGCACTTGCCCGACACTGCTTTTGCTGGTTGTGTAATCTTTGCCAAGTTGCTCCTTGCCCCTAAGCCTCAGTGTTCTGTCTGCAAGATGGGGATTAGGATATCTCCTACCTCGCAAGGTGGCTGTGAGGATCCAGGGACACAGTTTGTTAAGAGTGTAGCACAGGCCCTCTGCATGGTAAGCATTCACTAAAGGACAGTTATGACTGCCACTAACACTGTAACGTGTCCTGGCTAAGGAGTGAAGGGTCGCTCACAAGTGGCTAAGTCAGGGGGCTTCTTTGGAAGCTGGAATTTGAAGCGGACCGGAAGGCATTCGTAAGATTCAGGTGATCAGATAAGAAAGCATAAACAAAAAAAGGTGAAAGCCTGAGGTTGGAAGGGGTGACCACAAGTCCTGGAAGGCCAGAAGGGGGACTTGTCACTTCTCCCCTGGCCGGCGGGGTCTAGCGGAGCCCCAACTAAGTTGATCTATTTCCGAGCCCCTCTTCTGCAATCTCTGCTCTCACCTTCACGGTCCGCGAGTCTGGGGCTCTGCAAGCCTCCAACACACCCTCCCTCCCTAAGGAATGTGGGCCCCGCTTTCTGGGCCTGCCAGACCGAGCGCCTACCGCTTCCTCCGCAGGCAGGAGCCGGGACGCTGCCTTCACCCCACCCTCCGCCAGGATCCAGTTTCAAAGTCACCTGAAAGCCATTTCCTTCCGCGCCTGCCCCGCCTCTCCCCTCCCAGTAGATCACCTGGAGCTTGCATTTGCCCAGAGCAGCATTTTGGGGCGGGCGCTTGTTTTGTTTTAAATGATACCTCTAGAAATCGTTTGCTGTACACCTGGATAACAAATATACCCCGTGGTTCTAATATCAGCGTCCTATTCCTCCTCCCAAGGAACTAGTGATAGCGCCTAACCAGTGGGCGTTGTTCCTCTTCCGGAGCCCCACTCTGGGCTTCCCTCCTCCGGGCTTGTTGTTCTTCAGGATCTTTACTGATGAATTATTATGGGTTTTTGGATTTATGCTCTTGCTCAAAATGTATTGAATGTCTCTGTCCCCCATCCTCACCCCTTGCCCCCCAGTTTCCAGGTGTGTACCTTTCCATGCATACACGGTCATATACAGAGACATAAAGACAAACGGTTCTCTTTGTTTTATAAAAACGGGTCCTCTATCATCCAGGTTTCTGTGTTTTATTTTTCCTATTTAACAGTTCCTTGTGGAGTTGCCTTCACGTTGTCTCCTTTATCTCTTTCCCGTCAGCTTCTCAGAGGTCTGCATTTACCACTGTAAAGCGTCACAGGGACCGAGTTATGGTGAGGAATTCAAGACATGCCTTTCTGACTTGGAAAAGCGGACACGGCCGGCTCTGGTAGGATTAGGATCCCCAGATCGATCCCGGCTGGTCACTCACTTGGGAAAGCCCTCAGCCCCCTTCGCAGGGCCCGGTGTTCCCTGTCCATACAAGGGGTACGTTCTGGCAGTCCATGCTGTCTCGGGAGGCGGTGATAGCAGGTCTGTGACACCAGGGTGACCCCACCACGTGCGTCTTGGTATCCTAGAGCATCTAGGCTGCCCGGGGGTGCGCGCTCATCACCCTGCGGGCGTTAATCGTTAACCGCGCCCAGGCCTCGCCGCCGCCGCAGCCTTACCCCGGCTCTGGCTCGCCGCGCCGCGAAGGTTGCCCCGGCCCCCGCAGAGCCGCCAATTGCTGGACTGCAGCCGCGAGCTGGAGTCTCCACCCACAGGAAAAATTCCTGGCCCGCCCCTCCCTCGCTCCCTCGCTCCCTCGCTCCCTCGCTCCCTCGCTCCCTCGCTCCCTCGCTCCCTCCTGCCCTCCCGCTGCAGCTCCGGCTCCGCTCGACTTCCTGCCGGGCGCTGGCAAGCCGCGCGCTGCCTGGGGTCTCCGGGGGCCGCGCTTGCAGCTGGCCGAGTCCGGGCCAGCTGAGGGGCTGGCGGTGGGCGGGAGCGGTCGGCGGCCTCAGCCCCTTCAGAGAGCGACTTTCAAACTCGCGCCCGCGTCGCGGCAGCACCTGGGCAGCCCCGCACGCCGTGCGCGTCCCGAGCCCGCGGGGCAGCTACCGCTCGGTGAGTGTCCCCTGATTCTCCTCTCTCCCCTCTTATCTCCCTGCATTAGGCTGAGCGGCGGTGCCGGCAGTCACGCTGGGGCCCCAGTCCCTTCGCGGCCCCCGTGCCAGCCCCCTGCGGGGTGAGGACCGGGGCGACCGAGGAGGGCCTGGAACTGTGTTGGCTGCTTCCCGGGCCACCCTGCCGCAGAGTGCGCGAGCGCAGGAGGGTCGTATGGGGAGACTTTTTCTGTCTTTTTTTCCCTCCACTCCGGAAACAAAAGGGGCAAATGCGCCGGGCGGCTCCAGAGAGGCTCAGTTTGAAATCCAGGAAGCCCGCGAGGCCGCGCGCGCCCGAGGGCTGGTGTTTGGCTGGAGCTGTGGGCCTGGCGGGTGGACCCTTCTGCGCGAGGACCCGAGCCTCGGCTCCTGCCAGCCCCGGAGGCGCCTGCAGCCTGTTCCGGGTTGGCGCCGCACGGTGCTCGCTGTTGGGAATCTCGGCTACCTGTCCGGCAGGGAGGAGAGTGGGGGCCAGAAGCGGGGAGCGGAAAGCCCGGCCACCAGCTGCCTCGACCTCGTCCACTCCTGAAGTCGGTTTGGTTCTTCGCACCCCTACACCCAGCCCTTTGGTTTGGAAAGCCAGTATAAGGCGTGCAAGCTTAAATTTTTAAGGCGTTAAATAGCTACTTTGACTCTTCGGGGCGCCTTTGGAACACAAAAGGAAGAACGGAGGGGAGAATGGAATGGTTGGAGGCTGGAGAGGTGTGGCTTTTGGGGAGGGTGTTGTTAGAGGCCGCGAAAGAGTTTGATCCTCGAGGTCACTCGCTAATCTGTTGGCATATGTAGGTGCCTGTCCCCTGCTCTGGGGGCCCCAGCAGGAGACCCACACTGCGTTCACCTTACGGGGAACCCTGGAGTGGGGGTTCCCAGAGTCTCCCCAGCCGTGCCTCTGCACGCAGCCCAGTCACATGGCCCTTGCTCAAGAAATAATAAGCAGGGAGGGCAATGACAGTCCGGAGCGGGGGAGGGCCTCCCCGTTGAGCACATCGGCCACCTCGCCTTCAGCAGTGTGGTTTTCCGGGCCATCCTTTGTTGGACAAGGATGGGATCCTGAGTGATTAAACCCCAGCTGTTCCCCAGGAGGAAACTAGGGAGTGAGAACCAAAAGTGTACATTTATCTCTCTGTTATACATCTCTCCCCTGTGGTTCCGGGCTGGCCCCCTGGATGCAATGGCCTCACTTCTCCTTTCGACACCTGCTGTCCTCCACTCCCTTCCTGGAAGATAGGACAACCCATTAGCTCCCTGGGTAACTTGCCCTGGGGATGGGGCAGGAAGTTGGGGGAAGAGGTACCCAGAGGCCAAGTCCTAGCTGCTGAGGGAGTGATTTGTTGAAGAGCTGCTTTGGGGGCTTTTCTACTGCCTTTTATTAGAAGTGGCATGGCAGGGGAAGTGGAAAGAGCACTGGCCTGATAGTCCAGCACGGGTTTATGCCTGAGTTTTAGACCTGGCTCTTCTGCATAGCATGGAAGATTGGTAGAGTTGAAGAGTGCGAGTCACTTGGGCTGGGGGGCCCCTTGGATTAGCCTACTTCATTTACTCGTGAAGGCAGCAGAGCCCAGAGGGGTGAGGTGATTTCAGCCTTAGACCCTATTGGCCAAGTAGAAACCAGAGGTCAGATGTCCTCATTGTCTGATCTGTGTTTTCTCCAACATGATCTGGCCAATTCACTTATCTTTTCTGACTCAGTTTCCACATAAATAAAGTGGGATTACTTGCCTGCTCTTCCTCATAGGAGCTGTGGTGAGGATCAAAGGAAGCCTCATTTGTGGAAAGTGCTCCATAAACTCCTGTTAAAACTAAAGGGCTCACAGTGGCTCGGGAGGGAGTCTCCCAAGGGTTTTACAATTTGCTGGCTATGTCCCACGTGTGTGCCACAAGGAGACGTTAGATACCAGGAGCCATTGTTGGATGTTTAAAACACCCTGGTCTTAATATCTCAGCCCCAGAGTAAACATTTGCCTTACCAAATCCGCAGCTATCCCACGGTCACTGTTTACGCTGGAAGAGGCCAAAGGCCACGGCCTGCGGGATGACCAGGGCTGGAGGGGGAAGGCTCCTCTGTTGCAGAGGTATGCCTTGCCCGTTCTCTTCTCCCAGCTCCCAGAACCTTGTGAAGGCTCCAGCTGTAAGCCAGGGGTGCTGCCACAAGCCCAGGCCGCCCTGGCCTTGGAGGGTTAAAAGTGAAGCCCTCTGGCTATTCTCTGTTGTGTTGGGGGTTGCAGGGACTCTGGGAGGGTGTTGCTTTTGCAGCTGCACTGAGGGCTGTCTTCAGCTCCTCATCTGTGCCCCCTCCCCCATCTCAGGCCGCCCCTCTGGCCCAGGCCACTGCTCTGTCCCGCCTCTCTGGCCAGCTGCAAGTCCACAGGCCTTTGTTCCGTGGCTGCAAACCCGCCCTACTCCATCCTCCCTCCTCAGCAGAAGCCCTCCAGCGGGGGCCCTGGCAGCTGGAAATCACAACTGCCAGGAGGAAGGGGCTACTGGAGCCCCCAGCGGACCTGGCAGATCCTCATTTCCTCTTGTCAAGCTCATCTGGGCCCCACAACTCACCTCTGGCCAGATTCCCACACCGTCTTTTCTCATCTCTCCTTTCTTCTGCTGAATGGACGGATCACCTTTTCCTCCCAGTACTCATGCCCCTTAGTTCTATTTTAAAGTACTCTATTCATTCATTTAATAGTTAAGGAGTTAGCACCTACTATGTATGAATGCCAGATGCAGAAGACACAGCAGTGAAGAAAATATACAATAATTATTGACCCAGTGGAGCTGACTTTAGCAGAAGTGACAATAAACAAGATTGAAATAGCAAGTGTGTTAGTGATAAACAGAAATAAAAAATATGATAGGGAAGGTAGGTGTGAATTGTCATGGAAGGGGTGAGGTGACAGTTTAGATAGGGTGGCCAGGGAGGCTTCCAGGAGGAAGGTACTTTTGAGGTGATGCCTGAAGGCGGTATTTTTCTTCATCGCTGCCTTTTCTAACTTGAAGCCCAGTTCATCCCACTGTGGCATCGAGGAACAGAGTTTGGAGTTGGACACACCTTGGTTTCAAATCCCTGGCTTGACAGCTCACTAGCCCTGTGGACTTTGATGTGGTGCTAAATTCCTTTGAGCTGTGTTTCTTACCCAACGTGGAGTTAGTCATCATACTTACCACATGCGGCATCATGGCAATGTACAGTGAGATAACGTATGTTGAATGCTTAGCAAAGACTATAGAGAGGTTCGATAAACTATTTCTCCAACCAAATTCTGCAGGGGTAGCATGAGATATTTAATGTCATTGCTAAGGACTGTAGGTGCAAAGCTTTTCATTTTAGATATTGGGCAGGAGTGGGGAATTAGAGGGAGGGGAAAATAGAAAACCTTGGCAAAAACTTTCTGGTTAGGGAGGCTTTCCTGCCCTACCCTAGATTGCAGATGGCTGAGGACGTGGGACTCCCAGGTATGTCCTATGCCCACCCCCATCCTACAGATAGGATGACAGGGGCAGCCCTGACCACCCCCCTCTTGCTCTGGAATTCCCCCTGCTTCCAGCCAGACTCAATGAATCACACCTTCTCCCTGACCTCCCGACTCTGCCTCACAGCTGGGAAGGCTGTCCACCCCTCCCCCAGCCTCCGGCAGGTAAATTATGCCTGGAGGTCGGAAGCGGAGTGGGGCGGGGACAAGGGGTAGGGAAAGTGAGGGAGGGGGCAGATGGTGGGTGGAGCTGTCCTAGGAAAGCCCAGAAGGGTGGCAGGAGGATTCTGGTGGAGGCTTCGAGATGGCTCGGAAGACTTTGAATAAGGGTTCGCCAGGGACCAGAATTTAAAGTAACAGAGTGACAGACACAATGAGAACTCAGGGTCGGCTGCCTAACTCCTAGCCGCTTCTACCCAGCTGATCTGCTGAGTCTCCGACCCTCTCTGCTGGAACCACGGGCCTACAAAGGGAGGGGTTTAATCTAAAGTACCGCTGTCAAAGTTTGTGGTGAGTGGCTTCCTGGAGACCCTGCCCTAGTTCAGGAAGTGAGAGATGGGCAGTGGAGGATGAGGCCTAGGGAAGTGGTCATGGCCAGTTCCACCCCCCCGCCCCACCCCCCAAGTATGTCGCTGCACACTCGGCAGCCAGGCAGGCCCTGTGATGAAGGAACTTCCTGGGACTGCCAGTTGGTGCCTGGAGACGGGTAAAAGCTAGATGATCTGATATTAGAGGAAGTTGCAAAGAGGGCCCTGAACAGCCCCAAGCATGTTAGTGTTGGGTGACCTGAAGTCAGGAGAAAGAAAACTGGACAACGTGGACTAAACTGATCAGCAGGGGGCCCATCTAGAGCTGCTGGTAGCCCCTCTGTCTGTCAGCTGCCTGGGGATAAAGGTTGGCCATGCTAACTGGGTTGCTATCTGGGGACAGGAATGGTGCTGGACTCATCTTTGTGCCCAGACAGCATTGAGAATGGTACAAAGTGTGATCAACAGGGAGTGATGGGCTTCAGCCGTGGTCCCACCCTTAGAGTAATCTGGGCTTGTGGTCTCATTTGCTACAGCTTTTGTTCCATGGGATTAGGGAGAAGAAGGTAGTGTTAGGGTCGAGTCCAGCCCTAGGTGGGCTGTTGCCATCTGGGAATGCAAGCACTAGGGAGAAGAGGGCTTTATACAGTTCTGGCGGCTGGCCTTTGGGGAGGGAGCCCTACGTAAGCTCAAGGAATGGATTTTTAAGGACTTGCACTCTCTTTCATGCTGAGCAGACTTGGGCTGAACACAACCCAAATAGGGTTCTCGTGGGCACAGTGGTAGCTGTGCATGCAGCCTTTTGTGAAACACAGTTTGAGGGTCCTAGAAGTTGATCTGATTATTGCCAGAATCGGAGCTGGGACTGGAAGGGAAAGATGCAGGAGGAATGAAGTCGATTTTACCTTGGGAACAGGGTCCCAAAAGGAGAGATGGTTTCTACAGGTGCCGGAAGCTCTTAAAAACTCACATCCTTTACTTCCTAGGCTGTGAGACTGTGTGTGTGTGTGTGTGTGTGTGTGTGTGTGTGTGTAGTATTAGAAAGGAACCAGTATTCTCATATAGCTTCTATTCCTTCAGTTCATTGCTACATCCCCAGTGCCTGTTGTACAGTAGGATTCCAATAAGTATTTGTTGAATAAGTAAGTAAAACCCTACTGTGTGACGAGACCTTAGGAATTAAGGAAATGCTCACACTATGAATGTTCTGTTCCTGACAGAGAATGTCCATAAGATTCTAAGAAGTTAACCTGTAGTCAGCTGTTCTGACAGTGGGACAGGAAGCCCTGTATTCCTGCAGCATGTAAGAAGGAGACCTACAGTCATTGGGACCTGTCTTCCAAAGCTTGCTACACATTTTGCTCCCATGCAAGTTGGCCCCAAAGTGGACAGCAGGGTGTATTTATAGCGTTGGATATAGTTCTTCCCATAATGTGTTCCATAATATCCAATAACACCTCTCCTACCCTAAACTCTTATTTGGAACTCAGCCACCCAGCACCCTTGCTTATTTGCATGTAGCCAAGAAGGTCGAGGACTCAAGGTCCTACATTTTTCTTCATGCCAGTCTTCTCAGACCCTGTTTAACTTCTACATATAAGCTATGTCATGCTATGTTCAAGCTGGGAAGAAGCAGCAAATGAAAGAGGATAAAGGCCGGGCGCAGTGGCTCATGCCTGTAATCTCAACACTTTGAGAGGCTGATGCCGGTGGATCACCTGAGGTCGGGAGTTTGAGACCAGCTTGGCCAACATGGTGAAACCCCGTCTCTATTAAAGATAACAAAAATTAGCTGGGCATGGTGGCGGGCACCCGTAATCCCAGCTACTCGGGAGGCTGAGGCAGGAGAATCACTTGAACTCAGGATGTGGAGGTTGCAGTGGGCCGAGATTGCGCCATTGCACTCCAGCCTGGGCGACAAGAGCAGAACTCTGTCTCAAAAGAAATTAAAAAAATAAAATGAAAGAGGATAAAGAAACAAGCATAGAGGGGGAAAAATGACTACAGTGCAGAGTTGGCAGTGAGAGCAGACTGAGATAAAAACTCCAGGAAAAGCAAGTGCTAGCAGAAGTGCCGGGGATCTTTTTTTTTTTGGAGGGAGGGGGTGTGGAGGGAATGACTTGGCACACCTTGGGTGTCTGGGGATCATCAGTTTGATAATTTATGCTTTGCTGGTAATTGTGACCCAGAGTCATCAAGAAAAGGTTAAATTATGTTCCCTTGACTCTGTTTAGGAAGGCAGGGAAGTGTGTAACGGATTTTTAAAAGATTCCCAGTCAGGTTGGCTAAAATTTTAAGTGTTGATACTTAGGTAATAATATCACTAATCCTTTAAATAAGACCAAGTAGGTGGTTTACCCACTTCACCCACCCCAGATGAGGAAACCAAGTCCCCACGAGTTGGGTAACTTGCTCAGGATCGCTCAGCTAATACTTGGCAGGGATGGGGTTTGAACTTTTGGAGCCCGCTCTTAGCCCTACCCCACACTGTTTTGAAACTCTGCATGCTCTTGCAAATGCTGCTTTTTGGATGCCCTCTCTCTACAGAGGTTCCAGCTGGCCAAAGTTTGACTGTGTTACAGTAGAGCCTGGATGAGTCCAATCTTAATTCGGCTCCACCCAAGCAGATTGCCAGTTATCCCAAAGGGTGTTTGCCTCAGTTGAAACAAGAATGCTTTTTTTTTGTTTTTTTTTTTTTGAGACGGAGTCTCACTCTGTTGCCCAGGCTGGAGTGCAGTGGCATGATCTCGGCTCACTGCAAGCTCCGTCTCCCGTGTTCATGCCATTCTCCTGCCTCAGCCTCCCGAGTAGCTGGGACTACAGGCACCCACCACCACGTCTGGCTAATTTTTGTATTTTTAGTACAGACAGGGTTTCACCTTGTTAGCCAGGATGGTCTCGATCTCCTGACCTTGTGATGCGCCTGCCTTGGCCTCCCAAAGTGCTGGAATTACAGGTGTGAGCCATTGCGCCCGGCCAAGAGTTCTTTATATATTCTGGATACAAGTTCATTGTCAAGTATACGATTTACAGATATTTTTTCCCATTCTGTGATTTGTCTTTTCACTTTCTTGGTAGTGTGCTGTGAAACACAAAAGTTTAAAATTTTGATGATGAAGTACAATTTATTTTTTCTTTAGTTGCTAGTGCTTTTGGTGTTACACCTAAGAAACCATTGCTCACTCAGGTTCATAAAGATTTACTCCTATCTTTTCTTCTAAGAGTTTGATAGTTTTAGCTCTTACATTTAGGTCTGTGACCCATTTTGACTTTTTTGTATATGGTTTGAAATAGGTGTCCAGATTCATTCTTTTGCATGTGAAGATCTAGCACCTTTTGTTGAAAAGACTATTCTTTCTCTATTGAATTGTCTTGGCACCCTTGTTGAAAATCAGTTGCCAATAAATATGTTGTTTTATTTCTGTAATCTCAATTCTCTTTCATTGATCTATATGTCTGCCCTTACACCGGTACCATATAGTCTTGATAACTATAGCTTTGTAGTAAGTTTTGAAATCAGGTTGTATCAGCCCCCCAACTTGGTTCTTTTTCAAGGTTGTTTTGGGTATTCTGGGTCCCTTGCTTTTCCATATGAATTTTAGGATCAGCTTGTCAATATCTGCAAAAAAAAAATCAGCTATATTTTGATAGAGATTGTATTGCATCTTTAGATTGGTTTGTTGAGTATTGCCATATTAACAATGTTAAATGTTCCATTCCATGAACAAGGAATGTCTTTTAGGTCTTCTTTAATTTCTTTCAACAGTGTTTTGTGGTTTTCAGCATACAAGTCTTACACTTCTTTCGTTAAATATATTCCTAAGTATTTTATTCTTTTTGCTGCTATTATAAATGGGAGTCTTAATTCCATTTTATGATTGCTCATTGCTAGTGTACAGGAATAAAATAGATTTTTGTGTGTTGATCTTGTATTCTGGTACATTGCTGAACACTTTTATTGGTTCTAATAGTTTTGTGGTAGATTACTTAGGATTTTCCATATACAAGTTCATGTTATCTATGAATAGAGATTGTTTTATTTCTTCCTTTTCAACCCAGATCTCTTCTATTTCTTTTTCTTGTCTAATTGCCCTGGCTGGAACTCCAGTATCGAATATAGTGGCAAGACTGGATATCCTTGTCTTCTTACTAATCTTAGTGAAAAAGCATTGTCTTTCTCCATTGATTATGATGTACCTGTGGGTTTTTCATGGATGTTCTGTGTAAGGTTGGGGATATTCTCTTCTCTTCCTAGATTGTTGAGCGTTTTTATCATAGAAGAGTGTTGGATTTTGTCAAAATTTTTTTCTGGGTGTATTGAAGTGATCAGGTGATTTTTACACTTTATCCTATTATCAACCTGAATTATTTTAATTAATTTTTAGATGTTAACCTAATCTTGCATCTCTGGGATAAATCCCACTTGGTCATAATGTATGGTTGTGGTTGCTAGATTCAATTTGTTAGTATTTTGTTGAGGATTTTTGTGTCTATATTCATAAGGAATGTGGGATTGTAGGTTTCTTTTTTCTGATATCTTGTCTGGTCCTGATGGCAGGGTAATACTGGCCTCATAGAATGAGTTGGGAAGTATTTCCTGCTGTTTTTTTGTGGGGTGAGAGTTTGTGAAGAGTTGATATGAATTATTCTTTAAATGTTTGGTAGACTTCACCAGGGAAGCCGTCTAGTCCTGGGCTTTTCTTCATTGGAAGTTTTAAAGTTACTAATTTAATCTCTTGTTTAGACTTTTTCTTTCTAAATCTGTCAGTGGTTTGTGCCCTTCTAGAAATTTGGCTGTTTCAACAAAGTTATCCAATTCATTGGCATATAGTTCATGACATTTCCTTATCATCCTTTAAGATATTTTTTGTCTTTGGTGTTCTGCATATATACTATATACAGTATGTCTGAATGTGGGCTTATTTGAAGTTTAGCTTGGTGTGTGCCTTCAATCTGAGGACTAAAGTCTATCCTTAGTTCTAGAAAGTTCATATACATTATCTCTTTGAAATTTGCACCTTCCCCCATTTCCTTTTTTTTTCTCTGTGGACCTCTAAGTCTATTAATGTTTATATTTCCTATCTTATTTGTTTGAATTAAATTCAGGATGATTTCTTCAGTTTATCTTTCACTTAACTAATTCTCTCTTTAGCTGTGTTTAATTTTCTATTTAACTATTGGGTTTTATATTTCAATATTGAATATTTTATTTTCATGTATTGCTTTTTCTAATTGGCCTGTTCCTTACCCCCTATACTACCATCTTCTTTTATTAAGATTTTTATCTCTTTTATATTTCCAATCATTTAAACTATTCATCTTTAAACATCTTTTGTAGACCTATTCTTTAATTTCTAGTTCTTTGAGTGCCAGTTTGTTCAATTTTCTGACTTCCTTATGATGGTTTGTTTCCTTGTGTGGTTTGAAATTTCTGTATCAGGTTCCTCTTCAGTGGTTACAGAGGATGGGATACTTCAAAGCAAGGTTTTGGAAGCGTGCACTTATTGGTGATGATGAGGTCTGGGGCATATGAGACATGTGAGTGGATGGCTATGGTGGGGTAGAGGAAAAGACTGTTGGAAGGCTCATCCCCCAAAGCTTCACATGTTTGGCTGCTTCTTACAATACAGGTCTCTCTGCTCTAGAGTCACCTCTTTAATGCCTTCCCAGGCCTCCTTAGCTAGTGGAAATTCCCATCTCTCAGAGTATTCTGTTTTCCCTCCTCTATCTTTTTCATAGCACTTACACTTTCCAAAAATGTGTTAGTTATTTGTCTACCTTTTTGTGGCCGTCTTGCTTACTGGAATGTAAGCTCCATGAGAATGAGGATGTGTCTTATTCACTGCTGTGTCCCTAGCACGTGGCACATGGTTTATACTGTCAATACATGTGAGTGAATTTGAGTAGTCTTCTTTTCACACAGGAAGTCATCCCAGCCATGATTCTGAAGCTTTCTTCTGGGCTGGGTATGACCAGGCAGCGGAGAGGAGGTGAACAGCTTGGCCTTCCCTTCCCAAACTTAATATCTGTGCTCCCACTGGGGATGCCTTTTTCTCCCAGCACAGCGGCCCCCAAAATACCATCCATGCTGTGTGCTTCCACCTTCTGGCATGTTTTTACACAGTGGCCAAAATGAGAAGTAGGGATTTGAGTGCCAGAGGACCTGGGGGGAAAAAAGCACAAAACACTGGAAGACCTGGTTCTTACCTCTAGGAGGTTGTTACTGAGTTGAGGCAATAGAACACTCAGAGAAAACAGCTTGGGATACTTGCTACTCACTGAGACCCCGTGCAGGTTGGTACCCCCACTGCAAGAGTGTGTGGGTGGAGAAGGAAGGCCTGTGTCTTGGGGTTGTCTACTGCTGGTTACGTACTGTTTTTGGAGGCATCTACAGGTGAGTTATGAATTCCCAGGTGACTCTATTTGGCTCCTTTCTGAGGTTGCCCCATACTCTAGGAACTTGTGAGCAAAAAGTGTTACTTGTAAAAAAAGCAAAAAGTGCATGAGAGCATTCCTATGAGGTAGGGTGAGAGATGGCCTTCTTGGCTTCGTCTCTCGGGCCATGTGGGAGGTTGTGGAGAGAATGGTGAAAGGCACAGGGAGTGTGGATTCCAGCAAACCCTGGCTCCTCTACTTCCCTGACTGTATGGCCCTGGGTACCAGAGTGTTGTGAGGAGATTATATAGAGAATGTGTTTTGCCTTATGTCTGGTATACTCGAATAAATGCTAGCTGAGGTTATTTCAGCCAGGCATTTGGAGAGCCACTTGTGCCTCAGTTTCCTGACCTGTAAAATAGGGATGGCCACCTGCCTTTCCTCTCTGCCCCCACTATTGTGAGGGCAGAAGGGTTAATTATCCTTCAGCCTCGAGGGCCTGGGGTGGGGGAGGTGCTGCATAAACAGAGCATTGTTGTGCTGGTGAATGATCTGGCTTTGTTCTGAAGTCTTCAGTATTTGATTCCTGCAGTTAGTATCCCCTGTGCTTAATTGCTGGAGGTTTGTGCAGGTCCTCAGCCCTGTGGCGCTCACCTCCCAGGGCTGTGGCCTGGGTCCCTACCCAGCGGGGACCTGCAGAATTGTGTCGGGAAGTTGCATTTCCTGGGCTAGGGCCCCCCAGCAATCAGGAATGAGAGAAATGCAGAAAGTATGACCCACACGCAGAACTGGTTCTGAATAGAACATTTATTGACGAAGTTTTGCAGGAGGCGGCGGGCGCTTTAATTCCCGAGGCTGTTGGTGGCAGCTCGCTGCTCACCCCAAGCCTGTTAACTGCTAGGTTGCCGGTGCTGGGGACAATGCGGCTGCCCGGCCCCTCGCCACCCTCGTGGTGCCCGGATGGGAGCTCTCCTGAGGAAAGCGGTAGGTACCCGGCTGGGGCCAGGCCAGGGGATGGGAATGGGGTGGGATGGGGACTCTTTCAACTCCGGGCCTCTAAGCCTTGCCGGACTTCCCCCAGGAAACCCAGCCAATCACAGGCTTTAGGGTAAAAGGCAGGTTTTTCCCTTGTGGGTTAGACACTGAGGACCATAAAGGGAGCAGGCATAGGTGAGCTGCTCTTCTTAGTGGACTGTCATGTGTCTGGGTGACACAGCAAGACAGCCCTTTTGGAGGCAACTGTAAATGGTTCTGCCGGGGACTTCAGGGGGACTTCATGTCGTGAACATTTGGAGTTGAGTGGTTAGAGAAGGTCATGTAGGGCCCTACACACACACACACACACACACACACACACAACACACACACACACAACACACACACACACAACACACACACACACACACACACACACACACACACACACACACACACACACACACAAAGCAGAGTTAATCTCCCACTTCTTCCTGATGTTTCCTTTTCCCAGAATCCACAGAGGGTGGTTGTTTTGGATCAAACCAAGCGTCAGCTGGTAGAGCAGTTGAAAGGAGGTTATTCCCCTGCCCTGTCTCCTCCCTGGTGGGCAGCGGACCCCGACCCTGGCACCCACCACTTCATAGTTCAGAGCAGCAGGAGTGTGGAGGTCGGGGCAGATCGACTGCAAATCAAGGCCTCACTTTTCAAGGAGTAGACGCTGCTTCCTCGGCCGTGTCTCTACACGTGTGCACCCCAGAATTGGGATTGGGTAATACTGCCCCACCGGTCTGAATTCTGGTCCATGTACGCTCCCAGCTGAGGCAGGAAGTGCCCCTCCTCTACCCAGGAACTGGTTGGATGAGTTTCTTAGGCGTCTCTGGTGAGGCCCCTTAGTAGGGGAAGCGGGGAACATGGGGGATGGGGGAAGGAGCTATGGGTAGAGAGGGGCCCCCTGGGCCCTGTAGGATAGGGGAAGTGTGTGTGGCCCTGCTGGCTGAAGGGCTGGCCGCCTTTGGGAATTTACACGTGTGTGTGTGTGTGTGTGTGTGTGTGTGTGTGTGTGAGTCCATAAGGTCTGCTTTGGAAAATCCACTTTCCTAACTTCTCTGGGTCAGGCACCAAGCCCAAGGTCAGAGCCCAGGGCAAAGAAAGGGGATGTGTTGGAGCTCTTCTCTTGCTGTATCACCTTCGAAGAAGAGGCGAGGCCTGAGGGAGGGGGAAGGCCAGGGTTGTCTACATAACTTTCTGGGTTTGGATGCTCATGCTTGGAATTGGGAAGGGAGTTGTGTTTTAGGGAATTGCCCTGGCAGCCTTGCCTCCAAGCCACCATTCTGATGGGCTTGGGAAGGGAAAGTGAGAACTGGGGGAAGGAAAAAACCCTTGGGTAGTAAGATGCACACAAACTCCTCCCCCAGCCCAGTTGAGAGCTGCTGGCCTGAAATTCCTCTGAGAGATTTCTTCCATTTAAGAACTGGCATCTCAGTTTTCTAGGGTAGGTGTTCTCTTCCTGCTCCTAGAGGCAGTTAATTTAAATGTAGTTTCATCTCTTGACGTTCATATTGGGTCTCATTTCTTCCCCCTTTGCAAGGGTTGGAATGGGTCTCATTCTTTCTAGCTAATGTTCCCTCGATCTCTCGCTCCTCCTCGAAGCTGTCTCTGAATAGCCAGCACCTTCCTGGGCTTCTGCATTCTTCTTGAACACTCCCTGGCTCTAGGGACACCTGCAGCCACAGCCCATATCATGGTTTGGACCTTTTTAGGGCACATTCTGACACCTCGTCTCATGGAGCCCCATTTCCACGTGTCTTGGTAGTTGTTCTTCCAGACCTGGCTTGGATCTGTCCTTTCCCACAAAGCCACGTGGATTCCTTCCATCTGTCCTTGGCCTGCCTTGCAGCCTGGCCTCTTGTTGCCAGTTGCCCGGGGCGTGGGGGTGGTCTGGGTCCTCTCGGGACTCAGCTGCTCTCTTGGCAGCAAATGCACTCAGATCTCTTCACCTGGCAAAGCTTACTCGTCATTTATGACTCAGCTAAGATGTCACCTTCTCCTAGAAAGCTTCCTGGTCCCCTAAGTAGCACTAGCTACTCCTTCTGTTAGCACAGTTTATTTATTCATGCTTTTGTACTAGGACTCAAGGCATTGTTTTGTGAATACTCTGTTTATATGGCCATTTTTCCTTCTGAAGTTCAAGTTCTTCAAAGACAGGGACAATGTCTTTTTCATGTCATATCCCCAGGCCCTGGCATTCATGTTCAGGAGTGTTGAATGAATTCCCAAACTGGAGGCAGTCTTGAACTCCCATACTGCTCATGCCTGGATTCTCTCCCTCCTTTTCTTACAGATGCCTTGTCTTGTTTTGCCTTATAGCATATAAGCTCTGAAGAGTGGAGTCTGTGTGTGACTTGTCCTAACTGCAGGGCTGCCATGATGTCTTTGTGCACAGTAGGTGCTTGGTAAACAGCTTAGGTTGGAAGATTACTAGGGTTATCTTCAAATCAGAGAGAGATTGAGGCACAAAGAGCCCGCTGACTTGCTCCTGATCATACAGTGGCTAGGCAGAGCCAGGGTAGTTTGGAGGAGTGCTGGCTGTAGTCCCTGGGCTCTTTCATACACATTCTTCTGCTTTTCCTTTTTTTGATATTCCTCGTGACTTAGGAATGGGTCCGCACTAGAGCCTTTCCCAGTACCTTGCTGTTTTGTCTTATGCCCTGGCCCTCCCAGATGTCTACCCTGCAGATGGGTTTAAAACCCACGGACCAGTGTCAAGGATGGTTTTTGTTAATCACTTGTGCTTTTGCTCTCTCAAGTTGCCTTAACTTCTGCTCTTGCTCAGGCCTGCGGTGCCCCCTGGCCCTGTTTCTCTCCAGCTCCCAGTAGTACATGCCGTCTCTCCGTGTGGATCCCAGAGGAATGCGCCTCTGGGATCTGCTATAGCTGCGGGATTCGGACTCACTTAATACTTCATTTCTTGGCTTGACCTCCTGTTGGGTATGGGTGTCAGACTACTTTTCCTTTCCAGCTGAACTGCTGTGTGTCTGCCCTTAGAAGATCATGGTCTATATGGATGTTGAGATCATAGAAGATGGATAAACACACGGGTGGTGGGGGAAGGTTAGGTCATGCTGGTTCACCAAGTTTAACTTGTATCATTATTATTAATTTGAGATGTGGGTCAAACATGGTAGGTACAAGGCAGAAAAATCTCATTGTCTTGATGCTTGCAGAACAAATAAGTGATTTATCCGTTATCATCATCACCACCACCACCATTCTCGGTGGGCTTACTGTGTGTCAGATGTACGGGTTACTTACTTGTGTCATCTCAACCTTGGAGACAACCCAGTCAGGTTGGCAGTATTACTGTGCCTATTTTCCTCATGAGGAACTTGATGCTTGGTGAGGTGAAGTGACTTGCCCAAGGCCACATACAGCCAGGAAAAGTGGAGGGCCTGGAAGTCAAATGGGGTCTGCCTGACTCCACAGCCTGTGGATGAGTTTACTGCATTTGACCTCTGTGGGCTCTACTGCATCTGTGCATATTCTCTTTTCTGCCGAGGAAGCAGAGGGACCCAGTGGGGGCCCCTCCACACCCACTTGGTTCCCACCGAGATTCTCCAGTGCCTTTGAACCTGAGGCAGTAGTAAAATGCAGCTTCCTCCTACCCACCCACCCCGCTCCAGCCTAGAGGCCTCAAAACAAGCAGCCCCTGAAATGGGGATGAGGCCGGAAAGATGGCGAATTTGCAGGGCTGGGTTCTTGAACTTTGCTGGTAAGTAGCAGCGGTCCTGTGAACCTTTTTGACCTCAAGATGAGAGAGGTGGGGCCTCTGGGAACTTTGGATCTGTCTGTGATTTCCAGGGGGTAATTTCTAGTAACACCTTTTAGGGCTTTCTTTGGCTCTTCCGGTTTTGGGGCACATTGCATAGTGACAAGTTGTGCTGGCAGCCAAGTTACCTCTACACTGGCTGTGAACAAGAGCAATTTATAATAAACAATACTTGCCCCCATTTGGCTTTAGCATATGTTTACATGAAACTTCCTGGCAGATTGCTTTTCCTGGGACATTTGCAGGGAGACCAGATCATCACAGCCCCTTTTCTAAACTTGGCTACTTTCCCCTTCCTCCCAGTCTCTTGTGGCTGGTCACCTAGTATGTAGCCCAGCGGGGCAGCTATGCCGTGCTCTAGCTCCCTGTCTGGGGCCAAGTAGGATGGGACTACCGGGGTGAATGAGCAGTCATCAATCCTGGCGCTTCTTGGTTGATCGGAAACTTGCTGGCAGTGACTAATGTGGAGACTCATTAGGCTAGGAGGAACTGGCTTTGGTCTTGACCTCACCCACTGTTTACCTTTCTCTTGACTGTGTGAGTGGTGAGCTCATCCCGGCGCCATCTCAGAGTCCTTCCAGCAGGCATTTATTGAACACCTAATGTGCCTTGCTCTCTGGGGCTGAAGGGAAGGTATGGGAAAGAAGGCCCAGCCCACTGGGTTTTACTGTATTGTCCAGAAGAGATGCATGTACATATCAAGCCCCAAGACCAATGCTTTAAGTGATAGGGTGTTTCGAGTTCAGAGGAGTATATTACTTCCCTATTGCCACTGTAACAAATTCTGCAATCTTAGTGGCTTAAATCAACACACATTTGTTGTCTTAAAGTTCTGGAGGTAAGAAGTCAGACTGGGTTTGCATGGCTGGGTTCCTTCTGCAGGATCCAGGGCAGAATTTGTTTCCTTGCTCTTCCTAGCTTCCCAGGCTGCCTGTATCCTTGGCTTGTGGCCCCTTCCTCCATCTTCAAAGCCAGCAGTGTAGCATCTTCCAGTTCCCTTCTCTCTGTCCCTCTGCTTTTATTGTCAAACTTCTGTCTGACTCTGACTCCTGCCGGATTCCTCTTACGAGGAGCCTTATGATCACATCAGGCCCACCGGGCTAATCCAGGATAATCTTCCATCTTAAAATCCTTGATTTGATCACATCTGCCTTCTATGTGTCCCTTTTGCCATATAAGGTGACATTCATAGGTTGAGGGTCAGGCTGTAGATATCCTTGGGTGGGGGCATTATTCAGCTTACACTAGTGTGTATGTTGGGAAATGGTTGAGGAGGCCTTTCTCTGAAGGAGATGATTGCTAAATGTGTATAGGCAGAGGGTCTGGGGACACATTCCAGGTTTGGGAGACAACATGGGCACATGTTGGGTAGGTGGGGACAGGGGGGTGTAGATGAACAGCCCTCCCTCTGAGCTAGGTGCCTGGCTTTCCTTTCCTTCCAAGGTCAGGCCGAGGGAACTTTCTGGACTTCAGTTGCAGGCCCAGGCTTTCTCCTGGAGTCCATGTGGGAGGGCTCCCCTGGCAACACAATCCTTTTCCTTCCTGGCAGCTGTGGTCCTGCTGCAAGGGACCCAGCCAGACTACATGGGCCCTGCTGCTCTTAGGTGGTGGGAAAATGCATTCCTGAGGGAAAATGAATTTGAACCAGCTGGGCTGGGTTTGGGTGGCCCAGAAACCTTGGTCACACTGTTGGCACAGCCTCTGCAGGCAGTCACGTTGCTCACATGCACACAAAGTCACTCCCCGGGGAGCCTTCTCTCGCGCTTTATTACGGTGCTCAGGGCTGCTGAATCTCCAGGAGGGATGGGAGGGGTCAGAGTGAGGAAACTGCTGGGAAAGGGGGCAAGGGTCCCCTAGGAGGGGGTCCTCCCCTCCCCCAGGAGAGCCCCTAGGGTGCAGGGAGCAGTGGGAACACACAGGCAAGAGCTGGGCCTCTGGGGACAGTTTGGGAGCCGGGTGGCCCAGAGTGGTGCCGAGCTGTGGGTAAGAGCACAGCCGAGGGATTTCACCATCTTAGTTGAGATCTTAGTTGAGAGAGATCTCTCTCTGGAAGTTCACATTGCTCCCACACTGTTTTTTCTGGAAAAGTTATAGCTTTTCTCTATTGCTTCCTTCTGGCACCCTTTTTGAAGGGATTCCGAAAGTGCCGTCTTGGGGATTGTTTGGGGGAAGGACAAAAGCCGCTGGGCCACCCTGGCTTTGAGAGCCCTTGGAATGTTTAGCAGATGATGTAGTTGAGGGATGAAGGCCACACAGGAGGGCTGCGCCATCGCCGTTCCTGAGTGAGGACTTTCTTTCTTCCTTTCTTTTTTTGTTTTTGAGATGGAGTTTCGCTCTCATTGCCTAGGCTGGAGTGCAGTGGTGCGATCTCAGCTCACTGCAACCTCCTGGGTTCAAGCAATTCTCCTGCCTCAGCCTCGCGAGTAGCTGGGATTACAGGTGCATGCCACCACACCCGGCTAATTTTTGTATTTTTAGTAGAGATGGGGTTTCCTCATATTGGTCAGGCTGGTCTCAAACTCCTCTCAAACTCCTGACCAAAGGTGATCCGCCCACCTCGGCCTCCCAAAGTGCTGGGATTACAGGCGTGAGCCACTGCGCCTGGCCACGAGGACTTTCCCTGTGTGCAGGTGCCGTGTGGATTCCTCCCCAGCTGGGGCCTTTGGAGCAGCTGCCCCATGGGGACCCTCCTTGCTCGTTTTCTGCCTGGCTCCAAAGCAGCTGTGGTGCGGTGTGGCTTCTCATTCTTGAGTGTGGGGTGAAGGGCAGTGGATGAAATGACGACATCAGCCTCTGAACCAGAATGTTTTCTGGGGAGTCTGGTGTGCCCACCAGAGGGTTCACCCCCAAGTGTCCTCTTCCCCTCTCCTGCCTTGTCCTCAACTCACTGGCCTGGGAGGGAGAGCCAGTGGGAGTGGGCTGACTCCTGGGCATTCCCCAAGACCAGAGACACAGAGTTCCAGAAGGCTCCCCGTAATCCTGTGGGATAGGGGAGGAGCAGGGTCCCATTGCCTCAGTGACAGGAGACCTGAGGACAGAACACTGAGGCTGTTGTGGGTTATGAGGGTGTGCCTTTTTTCTTTCCTGTTGGGTCAGAATGGGGCATGGTGCTGAGGCGTAGTGGGGAGGGGAAGGATGTGGCCCCAGTCTGCTGTGCTCGGAATCCAGGGGCCTGCTGTAGCCTGCCTGCCTCTGCACCTGCAATATTCAGGGAAGCTCCTCCAGAGGGTAGGTGTGGGTGGAGGAAGGGTGTGGTGTGGTTTAGGCTTAAATTTAAAGAAAAAGAAAAGAAACCTCCCTCTCTCCCCCTCTTCTGCCCCTGGATCCTTAAAGGTGTATGTCTGAGCTGCTGCTTAGGCCCATCAAAAAGAAAGCCTGGCTGGGTGTGGTGGCTCACACCTGTTAATCCCAGCACTTTAGGAGGCTGAGGCAGGAGGATCGCTTGAGGTCGAGGCTGCAATGAGCTGTGATTGCACCACTGCACTCCAGCCTGGGTGACAGAGGGAGACCCTGCCTCAAAAAAAGAGAAAAGTCTTTGGGGACCTGCTCAAAGAAGGTTTCACAAGTATAGGACTTGAGAAAGAGTTTTCTTTTTTCTTTTTTTTTGAGATGGAGTCTCATGCTGTCACCCAGGCTGGAGTACAGTGGCGCGATCTCAGCTCACTGAAACATCTGCCTTCCAGGTTCAAGCGATTCTTCTGCCTCAGCCCCCCGAGTAGCTGGGATTACAGGCACCTGCCACTATGCCCAGCTAATTTTTGTATTTTTAGTAGAGATGGGGTTTCACCATGTTGGCCTGGCCAGTCTCAAACTCCTGACCTCAAGTGATCTGCCCCCCTCTGCCTCCCACAGTGCTGGGATTACAGGCGTGAGCCATCATGCCTGGCCGAGAAAGCGAGTTTTCTAGAAGACTGATTCACTGATTGATGACTGACTGGATTGATTCATGTTGCAAGATGGAAGAGGTCATGGCTGGGGCATACTTAAGAGAACTGGAGACCCGTATGTGGTAGGATGGGGTAGGCGTGGGTACCTGGTTTGAGGGTTTGGTTGCTGCCTGCCTCATCACCTCCTTCTCTGGCCTCCTACTTCCCTAGCAGACAGGGTCTTCCGAGATGTGTTTGAAGACCTGAGTTCTCATCCTGGCTTGGGGGAATCTTATAGTATGGAGTGGTGCTCTTCAGGTAGGAAGGAAAGGCTGACCCCGCCCGGGGAGCACCAGGGGAGGCACTTTAACTGTCTCTGTGGGAGTCTGAGCTACACACACATAATGGTTCCAATCCGGTGTCTTAGGGCCAGAATGCACTCCAGCTGAGTGCAGTGCACTCAGAATGCACTCTGAGAGCGATGCCTCTTATCCGTCACCATCAAACGGTGCCTCCTGACAGTCTGCACTAGTGTCCTGCTTTGTACTCAGTGCCTCATTTGTTCTTCAGCCCTCCCTTTCTTGGGCTCTTGGCTCTTTTCCAGCAAGTCCTCCTGCCCAAGAGAGAGAGAGCCTTGTGATCGTGGGTCTCCTGGTCACTACAGGGCTTCTCTCGTCATCCAAGAAGTTTATAGTCCAATCCTGGTGACCTCATACTTTCTCCCTCTTCCTTTCTGCTTACCCATGACCTGTGATCCTTTGACCGGGAATCTGTATTTTACCATATTGTTCCAGCCAGAGAATGAATGGCCAAAGGTCACATAGTAGCAGGCCCAAAAACTGCCCTAAGGAATCTTGACTCAGTCCTTCCGAGTGTCATGTCATAAGCCCCAATCCTTCAGGTCTTCATATGTCCCCTGCAGCTTATGCTGAAGCAAAGCCATGGCAGCCAGGGCTGTGACCAATCCTTTGCTTGTGGCCCTGTCTGGTGTGTAGTCCATTAGGGAGGCAGTGGGCAGGAGAGCATGAACTCTGGAGCCTCAGTGCCTGAGTTCAAGTCCAGGCTCTACCACTTACTACTTCTGTGGCCTCAGTACCTGCATGTATAAAATGAGGGTAGTAATAGAACCTACCTTCTGGAGTTGTTGCAAGGGGTTAGGCACTTTAATATATACAGAGCGCTCAGAGCATTTCAGCAGTTGGCTGTTATGCTTTGTTTTAGCCTTAGGAGATAGGAGCTTAGTTTGCAGACAGGTAGCCTATGATCAATCAGAGAGAAAACTTCTGTAAGTAGAAAAGACATATTAGTTTCTGGGTTTGAAGTGTGCTTATGTTGCTATCCTCTTACAGTGGGATCCCCAGAGAGGGACCCTCAAAAGGTCCCTTTTAGAGACAAATCTCCCTAATGGTGTGTGTGTTGGGGTAGGGGTGGGGCTGTGAGTAATCTTTTGCTTTAAGACTGTGAACTGGCTGGCTGTGAAATCCATTTGGGAGTGGGGCCGTTTCCATTTAGCTTCCCCAGAGAAGCTGACTGACCCCAGATGTGATCTGGGAAAGGTCTTAGGCTGTAAATCCCTGCCCCTTTGTTCCCTGCTGGGATGGTGGTGGTGGGTGGGTGGGGTGCCTGACTGCAGTGCACTTTGAAGGACATCAGAGTGCCACAGGGCTGGGGGTTAAGGGCTGGGGTGGAGCTTGGGTTTTTATCTGTCAGTGCTGGAATGACATGGTGTTGCCCTGCCTGCTGGTTCTGTAAAAGGCATAGCTGATTAATTGTAAAGGCCCTTTTGAGGAGGGAGGAAAAAGCAACAGCCCTACAATTCCCAGGGGGCTCTCTTCTGAGCAGCTCAAAGAGCTTTACCAAAATGATCCTGCTAATTAGCCCTCTGGGCATTGCACTGGGCTGCGGAGGGGAGCACTGGGCTGCCACTGAGTCCCCATCTGCAAGTTGAGAGGCTCATACAGAGCTCCTTGGAGGTGACCCCCTCCAGTGAGACACAGTGACAAAGTGCTGTGCTCCAGAGCATCCCGGCCAGGTTAGCGGCAGGTGGTAAGTAGGTCTTGAGGCGCTTGATCTGTACCTCAGTAAAAGCATCAGTTTGTTCACCATTGTTGTTCATTTGTTAAATTGGCCCTTAAGACCCCTGCTTTTTAGTAACTAATGGTGTAGGGCAGAGGGTCTCAAACTAGTCACACTGTCTCAGGCCAGTGCTACAGTAGGAGAAACCTGGGAGGTAGTAAGAGAACACAGAAAGAGTTCCCCAGGTTTGGGGGATATTGGAAGGTTCCTGGAGGGGGCGATGTCTAATTGGAGACCTAAAGATTGGATGTAAATTACATAGGTTGGGGGATGGTACTGTATGGGGTGGATGGGGACGAGATAACGCCAAGGCAGAGAGAACATTTGCAAAAGCCGGAGACCCAGGGGTGTTGGTTTCCAGGTTGAGGCATAGGCACAGAAAACCAGGGGTCAGTGTCAAGGGTTCCCAGAGTAATGGCAGCTTCTAGATTCTTCTCCTTGTAGCTCAAGTCTCTGCCCTTTAGTCATGTCTGGGGTCTAGTCACTTCTGAGCCCTAGAGCTAGGGGTAGAAGACTCGGGTCAGTAGGGGTGAGAGGGATGCCCAGGAACTTACTGTTTTCCTGTGAAATAGCAATGAAATGTGTACTCTGCAAAGTGGCATTGGTGAGCTCTAAGGGGTGGGCATGGGTGTTGCATGGGTGTCCCTGTCCTTCCCAAAGGCTGCAGCCTGAAGTAGTCTGGCCACTCCACCCTTCCATCCCCCGGCTGCTCCAGGTGGGCCTGCCTGTGAGCCACACCATCTGCTTTGGGAATAAAGTCCACCTGAGGCTCTGTTTGCCTCACCTGGGTGCAGTTTACTGCTTTCTCTGCTGCCCCCGCCCAGCTGTGCCAAGGGGAGCTTACAGAGACTCACTGATGGCTTAGCCCTGGGGAATTTCCTGGGGCCTGGGATGAGTCAGAGGCAGCCTGTACCAGGTGCTGGGGTGGGGCTGCGGAGTCGGGGGATAATGCTGGCTCAGCCAGTCAGTATCCAGAAAGTTTCAGGTTTGTGGTGAAGCCGCCGGTGCCCCTGAGGTTTTGCAGTCTTAGGGAGAATATTACCCCTGTTATGTGTCTTGTCTTAACATTGTAAGAACCAGATCTTTGCCCATCCCTGTACAGTGACCCCAGCACAGGCCACAGACAGGGGGGCACTTGGGAAGTTCTTCTTCACAACTGCCATTATTATCACCATATTGATGGTGTATGGAGCACGTACCCTATGCCAGGCATCATGCTCAGAGCTTTACGAACAGCAGGTGGCTTCATCTGGGAGGACACAGCCATGGGGTAGGCTGTATCCATCCTCATTTTACAGGTGAGGAGCTGAGGCTCTGAGGGACTAAGTACTGTGCCCCAGCAGTGGGGCTGGGCTGTGAATTCCTTAGAGGGTACCTGGACCACTGTGCTGGCAGGTGGACTTGGGCACCCTCATCAGTGCTCATAGAGTCTGAGAACAGGGCCCTTCTTGGGATTCAGTTTTGTTTTGTTAATTGTGTTAAATGTAAATACACATAACATAAAATTTACCATCTTCACCATTTTAAGTGTACAGTTCAGTGACAGTAGGTACATTCATATCATTGTGCAATGTCATCACTGTCTATCCACAGAACCTTTTCATCTTCTAAAACTGAACTCTGGATGCACTAAATAATACCTTCCCACCCCACCTGCCCCCACCCCTGGCAACCGTCCCTCTGTTCTGTTTCTGTGGGCATTCAGAGGTTGACCCTTCATCTGTCTGTCTTGTTGCAGAATCTCCCTGGGGTGCCCTCCCCAGGCAGCAATGCCAGGATGCCTGTGTCCACCTCCCTCCACCAGGATGGCAGCCAGGAGCGGCCGGTGAGCCTGACCTCTACCACCTCCTCGTCGGGCTCCTCCTGTGACAGTCGCAGTGCCATGGAGGAGCCCAGCAGCTCCGAGGCTCCCGCCAAGAATGGGGCAGGCTCCCTGAGAAGCCGGCATCTGCCCAACAGCAACAACAACTCCAGCAGCTGGTTGAACGTGAAGGGGCCCCTCTCCCCGTTCAACAGCCGGGCAGCGGCAGGGCCTGCACACCACAAGCTCAGCTACCTGGGCCGAGTGGTGCGGGAGATCGTGGAGACAGAGCGCATGTACGTACAGGACCTGCGCAGCATCGTGGAGGTGCGTGTCGGAGGCCTTGCGGCACAGTATTCTAGCAGAAGCCTGTTTCACCCTGGGAGGGAAGCTCTCAAAAGACCTGCTTCCCATAAAGTAGTTGGAGAACTGGGGTCTCCCACCCTCGCTGACTGCACTGTGAAAGCTGTTGACCCCTGAGGCTTCCCTAGGACCTTGGGCCAGATCAGTAGCTTGGGCCGACAGGAGTGAGCATCGTTGATAGGGTGGATCCCCAGCCTGCCTGGGAAGATGGCTCTAGAGAGCCTGTGCCACAGAGACTGAATGGAGTGAAGACATGGGCTCTGGGCCTGGCCCCATGCATCCCCTGCCCTGTTGTTTCCTGGCTGTGCGGAGCCTCAGGTTCCTCCTCTGTAAGAGGAAGCGACACCTACCTTGTAGGTGAAGGGCACGGAAGGGCAGCTGTGTGGCTGCCACTGAGGAAGCCCTCTGCCCCACTGGCTCAGGGCGTGGATTAGTTTCCTAGGGCTGCCTTAACAAATGACCACACACTGGGTGGCTTAAAACAGCAAATGTGTTCTCACTCAGTTCAGGAGGCCAGAAGTCCAAAAATCAATGTGTTGGCTGGGTTGGCTCCCTTCAGAGCCTCTGAGGGAGTAGGCATTCTATGCCTGTCATCCAGCTTCTGGGGTCCTGGCAGTCTTTGACATTGTTGGCCTGGAGATGCGGCCCAGCACCTTCCCATCACCTTTTTCTTTGTGTCTCTCTGTGTCCTCCTTCTCCTCTTATAAGGACAGCAGCCACTGGATTTGGGGCCCACCCTAAATCCTATCTGAAGTCATCTTGAGATCCTTAACTAATGGCATCCACAAAGACCTTATTTCCAAATAAAGTCACATTCTGGGGTTCCAAGTGGACATGAATTTTGGGGTGGACACTGTCTCACAGTAGGCAATGTCCGTGAAGTGGTGTTACAGCAGGGCCGAAACGAGGTGTGGCTAGGGAAGGTAGTGGGCAGGGTTGTGCCGGGGGCTAGGTTCTGACCACCTCCCTCCACGCAGGACTACCTCTTGAAGATCATTGACACACCCGGGCTGCTGAAGCCAGAACAGGTCAGCGCCCTCTTTGGGAACATAGAAAATATCTACGCGCTGAACAGGTGTGTGAATGGGCCTGACACTCACCATGTTCTGCCTGCGAGGCCCACCTCAGGGCCTAGGGAGGAACCCTGGATGTCCCTGGTCTCATGGGCCTGTGACATGTGGGCCTGGGGCCTGATCTCTGAGGACAGGGAAGGGTTGTCCATCTCTGTGCCCTGGGCTGATCTGCTTTCTCTCAAGGGCAGACGGGGAGGTAATTTGAGGTTGTGTGCATGTTGGGTCCATCCTGAGCCGGTGCCCCCTCAAGGGGCTGCTGGGCCCTACCTTGCACACTGGTTCTCTTCCCTGTGGAAGAGAACCTTCCCTGTCCTTCTCATCTTCATTTTCCATTTGCACATCTGTTAATTTCTTATCCTCCTTTCCACTGACCCCAAGGGCTCCCTGGAGATGATCTGACCTATTAGTGGATTGCACAACCCAGGCAAGACACATGTGGGAAGCCAAACAAGGCCTGACCAGGGGCTGTGTCAGGGCAAAAGGCATGGGTCTCCTGCCTGGGACCACAGACTCCCCCGGGAAAGTGCACTGCTCTGGAGGGGCAGGGCTTGAGGGAACAGCGGTGCTAGGACAGGAAGAATCGTATCCCAGGCCCCTTAAGATGGGCAGAGGGAGCTCTGGCTGTGTAAGCTGGAGAAGTCTGGGAGGGCAGGGTGCAGGGAGGACTTAGGCCAATGGTGAGGGGTTGGGAAAAGAGGAGGAGCACAGAGGGAGGAGGCAGGGAGCAGTGTTTCTAGGGGTGCCAGGACTCACCTGTCTCTCCCCATGTCCCACATCCTGGGCGCCCTGGCTCCTTTGCTAGTCCCCATTCTCTCTCCTTCACCCTTTAATCCTCTGCTTTTGTGTGTTTGACTCCTTCTGCCTGCAGAGGAGCTGTGTCCCCTCCCGAGGTGGGTATGGGGGTCCCCTCTTCATCTCCCTCTTGTTGAGCCTGTAGGTCTCCCTGACTTCCTGCTTTGTGGCTGCTTTGTGTTGGATACTTTCTGTGGTTGCTGCCTGGGGCAGGACTCCCTCTGAGGCTAGAAGCCCCAGTTCTTTAGCAAAGCAATAGGGCTGGCTGTCAGTCAGGGTTTGGGAGGTTGGGGAGGGGGCAGTGAGGGGCATTGTCCTCTGACTGCAGAGGGTACAGTGGCTGCTCTCCCCTCACCCAGCCAGCTCCTCAGAGACCTGGACAGCTGCAATAGTGACCCCGTGGCTGTGGCCAGCTGCTTTGTGGAAAGGGTAAGAAGGGCTGGGTCCTTGCCTCTGTCCTACCTTGCTGAGAGCTCAGAGAGACAAGAACTGCCAGCATAAGAGGACATCTGAGTCCTGGGGATTCCTTTCCAGGGAAAGTCCTGGGTGCTCTATCTTGAATGAGAAGGGTGTTCTGAGGGGAGCCAGGGCTGCTGGGTGGATGGGATGTCCTTGACAAATAGGTATAAAGATGGCTCTGTAGGCATTTGGGAACAGGGGACAGAGGGTGCTCTGGGGGCCAGGGGCCTATCTGCTACCACCATCTTTACTGTCAAATGAGAATCTCCCTGAAATCACTATTTTTGATCTCTTCTTAGAGCCAAGAGTTTGATATCTACACTCAGTATTGCAACAATTACCCCAAGTGAGTAATTGGGGTGAGAGGGAAGGCAGAGCCATTTGGTGAGTCCAGAGCCCCCCACTTCCTCATCCAGGCCTTCCCCAGGTGGTGACTGGCCCTTCTCCCACTCCCAGCTCCGTGGCCGCCCTGACGGAATGCATGCGGGACAAGCAGCAGGCCAAGTTCTTTCGGGACCGGCAGGAGCTGCTACAGCACTCGCTGCCCTTGGGCTCCTACCTGCTGAAGCCAGTCCAGCGCATCCTCAAGTACCACCTGCTGCTCCAGGTAGCCCCTCGGTCCTCCCAAGCACCTAGGGCCTGGGGAGGGCAGGGCCTTCGGGTCAGGGGCACCTAAGCGTCTATCTTCTGCGCAGGAAATTGCCAAGCATTTTGATGAAGAAGAGGATGGCTTTGAGGTGGTGGAGGATGCCATTGACACCATGACCTGTGTGGCCTGGTACATCAACGACATGAAGAGGAGGCATGAGCACGCGGTCCGGCTCCAGGTGCTCTGGGGCTGGGACGCTGGGGGAGGGGCAGGGCTGGGTGGGCCAGGCTTCCGCTGGGAAGAGGGACTGTGGCCACCCTGCTGGGATGAGCTGGGCAGTGGCATTGGGGGAGCCTTTGTGGCAGGGTTTGCAGAGCCTCCTAAGGCCCCAGTGGCCTGACTCTAGGGATTGGGGCCCCTCTGCTGCAGGAGATTCAGTCACTCCTCATCAACTGGAAGGGGCCCGACCTGACCACCTACGGGGAGCTTGTCCTGGAGGGCACATTCCGCGTGCATCGCGTGCGCAATGAAAGGACCTTTTTCCTCTTTGACAAAACACTGCTTATCACCAAGAAGCGGGGCGATCACTTTGTCTACAAGGGCAACATCCCGGTAACCAGGCCCTGCCCCATCTCCTCTGCCATCTTCTCTCCTTCCCAAAGGATCTGGGCTCCCCTTCTTGTCTGCTTCTTGGGGCTCCAGCACCACCCTTCTGAGATCACCCTCCCTGCTTCCCCAGGCTGTCAACCTTGTGCTTGACTGTCCTTTCCCTCTGCCCCTAGTGCTCCTCCCTGATGCTGATCGAAAGCACCAGAGACTCCCTGTGCTTCACTGTCACCCACTACAAGCACAGCAAGCAGCAGTACAGCATCCAGGTGAGGGGAAGGTGGGGCTCAGGGGCTAGGGAACAAGATGCCCAGGGGACACCTGCGTGGGACTCCTGGCTCCTCTGCTCACCTAGCTGCCCCAAGCCCCAGTGTCTCCATCTGTGAGGCAAGGATCATTGCAGGCACCTCTCAGGGTCAAAGTGAGGAGTCAGGTTAACCTCACAGAGGCCCCAGCATGGCCCCACTTTTTCTCCCTGGGTGGAAGCACTGTCCATGCTAGACAGCTTCAGGCCTGTAATGATAACCACTGGGTCCCTTTCCCTTGGGTCCTCCCAGGCCAAGACAGTGGAGGAGAAACGGAACTGGACTCACCACATCAAGAGGCTCATCCTAGAGAACCACCATGCCACCATTCCCCAGAAGGTGAGTTCCCCCAGCTCCTGACTGTGTGCAAGGAGAATGTGCTCCTCTGAGCCAGCTCTGCAAGGTCCATTGGGGGCTCACCTTCTGGATTTGGGCTCCAGTGGACAGTGAGTGTCAGTACAGCAGATGCCCCGGGCCTTGGTGCAGCACTGTGGGGTGTCCTCGTACAGCAACAGTGGGTCCTATGGGCAGGGAAGGCCGGCACATGGTAAGGTAATAACCAGGTGTGTTTCCTTCCCCTTCAGGCCAAGGAAGCCATCTTGGAAATGGATTCCTATTGTAAGTGTACCCTTTTCTGCCTGTTTTGTCCCTAATCGTGCACATTGCTAGGTCAGGCTGCATCCTGGGGAAGCTTTACCTGATAATTTTATTCCAGGAGCAGGGAGGGCGGGGGTCTCCTGTTAAGGGCTGGGGGGTGAACTACATGATTAAGGATGCTCTCCTGCTGAGCGGTGGGACTCTCAGTGCCTGAAGCTCCCAGCTGGAAGATGGAGGGAGCTCTGGAGGCTCCTGGCCCTGGAGCTGGGTGGGTATAGAGGTCTGGCTGGTTATGGACAGGGTCTAGGGTAGGCCAAGGCCAATTGGGAATCAAAAGCTTGATCGTCTCTCTCCTGGGTGCAGATCCCAATCGGTACCGCTGCAGCCCAGAGCGGCTGAAGAAGGCTTGGTCCTCCCAGGATGAGGTGTCCACCAATGTGCGCCAGGGGCGCCGGCAATCTGGTAAGAGAAGGGCTGTGGAGGCAGGAGGCCTCTCCCTCACACCCTTGCCCAGACTGGGGACCGTCTGCGGCAGTGTCCAGGGCTGTGGCTCTCACCTCTGCGGAAACCCTGGGAAAGGCTAGAGCGGGGCTGGACACACACCTGGGGCTCATCCTCTCCCTGTGCTGGTGCTCCCCACACCAGGTACCCCTGGGCCCTCGTTGCCTACCAGGTCTGGAGCCCACCTTTTTCTTACTTTTTTCTTTTCTTTTCTTTTCTTTTTCTTTTTTTTTTTTTTTTGAGAGATGGAGTCTTGCTCTGTTGCCCAGGCTGGAGTGCAGTGGCTCGATCTCGGCTCACTGCAACCTCTGCCTCCTGGGTTCAAGCGATTCTCCTGCCTCAGCTTGCCAAGTAGCTGGGACTACAAGCGTGCACCACCACACCCAACTAATTTTTGTATTTTTTAGTAGAGATGGGATTTCACTATATGTTGGCCAGGCTAGTTTCGAACTCCTGGCCTCAGGTGATCCGCCCGTCTCGGACTCCCAAAGTACTGGGATTATAGGTGTGAGCCACTGTACCCGTCCAGCCCACCTTTTTCAAGGCCCTAGGAATACTTGCTCGCTCCGGCCTTGGCACCCCTTCTTAGCCCCCTCCCTCCTTTGCCTCTCTGGAATACCAACACCAAGTCATTCAGGAGTGACACTTGGACATGGCGGATGGGCCCAGCCCAGTCCTGGAACAACCGAGCAGAAGCAGGACCCGGGGAAAACGAGTTCAGTGGCACCAAACCCAGACAGGAAATATTTATTTTGGGTCTCAGGAAAAGGTTCCATTTTCCTCCCTTGAGTTTTCTTCCATTCCTGGACTTGCTAGGGTGTTCTTGGATTATTGGAATGAATCGTCTATTTGAAAAGAGAAAACCTTGCTTTTATTCTAAACTCCGTGGTGATGGGTGTGTGTGTTTTCAAAATTGGTTTTTTCGTTGCTATTTAGTGCAAGGCCCAAGGACAGGTCTGGCTTAAGCCAGGTGTCTGCCAAACATATACCCAAGGTGGGAGTTGGGGTGAGAATTGTCTTTAAGACCCTGGGAGAGAAGGATTCTAAAGTGACTGAGAGTGGTGTCCTGGCTTGGGTCCCACAGATGTGTTGGGTTTTGATTGGTGATGACCTGTGGGTCCCCTGAATGTGTGTGTGGATTGACATGTGGGTGTTAGCCTTCGAGAAGGTGGAGCAGTGGCTTATAGAAGGCTTTTGTGGTTTTATGTTGTTGGTATTGCTCTGGGTGGATCTTGAGCCCTAGGCCACCTTGCTATGGTTGCAAAAGTTTTATGGTTTTTATAGTTAAAAGCTCCAAATAGGGGTGTTGCTTTCTTCTCTCTAGCCCTCTTTCTTTTCTCTTCTCTTCTCTTTTCTTTTCTTCTCCTGTAATTCTCTTCTTGTCCTCCTCAACTTGCCATACCTTAAAATTTGAAGCTTCTAGCACACTGATGTGTTCAGCAAGTGATAACGTTGGTGGTAGTGATAGTAGCTCTATCCTAGTGTTAGCATCGAAACTTTAGCTATGGATGTACAACTCTTTGAATATACTTAAAGCCGTTGAATTGTACACTCTAAATAGGTGAATTGTATTTGAATTATATTTCAATAAAGCTGTTACAAAAAGCCCCCAAACTTTAGGTGTCCAAGGCACTCAGGAAATGAGCCATTTTAAAGAGCTGAAGTTTCCACATGGCTGAGATTTTTAGCCTGTAAATACTAAGAGTTGGATTTTTTCAAAAAATATTTAAAAAATGTTTTAACAGTTATGAAATTCCCTCCCTCCCTCCCTCCCTTCCTTCCTTCCTTCTTTCCTTCCTTCCTTCCTTCCTTGTCTGTCACCCAGGCTGGAGTGCAGTGGCACCATCTCTACTCACTGCAACCTCTGCCTCCCGGGTTCAAGTGATTCTCCTGCCTCAGCCGCCCGAGTAGCTGGGATTACAGGCACGCGTCACCACGCCCAGCTAGTTTTTTTTTTGTATTTTTAGTAGAAACAGGGTTTCACCATGTTGGTCAGGCTGGTCTCGAACTCCTGACCTCAGGTGATCCACCCGCCTCGGCCTCACAGAGTGCTGGGATTACAGGCATGAGCCATCCCGCCTAGCTGAAATAGACATCTTTCTAAAGCATGTTTTGTACTCTTGAGCCTTTTAAAACAGAAGGTGCTGGCCACCGTTGAACCTTTCCTTTTCTGGAGTTAATGCTACAGCATCACTTAGGGTGTGTGAACTGCCAGATGCTTGAGGGGCCCCAGAGGCTGTGGGTTGCCATAGAGACAGCCTGTGTTTGGTGTGTCGTGCCCCTCTTCACGGTTCTTCTGTAACACTGAAGTATTTGTTTTCATTGGTCTAAGTATGCTTGTCTGTAGTAGCCCTTCTTCCCCTCCTGTCTGTTAGAAAGCGATCGTTCAGGCCAGGTGTGGTGGCTCACTCCTGTAATCCTAGCACCTTGGGAGGCTGAGGTGGGAGGATCACTTGAGTCCAGGAGTTCAAGACCAGCCTGGACAACACAGTGAGGCCTCATCTCTACAAAATTAAAAAGTTAGCTAGGCATGGTGGTGTGCACCTATAGTCCTAGCTACTCTGGAGGCTGAGGTGGGAGGATCACTTGAGCCTGGAAGGCAGAGGTTGCAGTGAATGGATATCGTGCCCCTGCACCCACCCAGCCTGGCTGACAGATGAGACCTTGTTGCAAAAAAACAAAACAAAACAAAACAAAAAAAGAAATCAATCTGTTGAACTTGTGGGAACTGTAGACCACAAAAAGATCAGGAAAGTCACTAGGGAGGGACTTGGGCCACATGCAGGCACTTTACTGCCTGGGCTCAGCCATCTACTCTGACTTCCTTGAGGTTTTTTCTGCTTCTGCTTCCCACTCAGAGAGCTGAGATGAGCTGACAAGTGTATTCTATTGATAATTAAGTTCTATTGTTTAATTTAAATTATGTCTCACTTATTAAATATTCTTGATAAGTTTTAAAATGAAAGAATAGAACATTTTCTACTTTTCACTTTAAAAACAATTAGGCATTTACTTACATTGATACAGATAGTGTATGTATGTTGTGTGTGTCAGCAGAAAAGAGGTTCTTCAACAGGCCTGCCTGCTGAGGAACAGCAAGATACCTTGGTAGACTTTCCTTCTGACTCCAGGTGTGTAGCAAATCATGGCGATCCCTGGGCCTCCCACTTACCGCCAGCTGGGCAAGGATATGGATAGGCGAAGGCCGAGGCTCTGTAGAACTGGACCTTGAGACAAGGTCCTCTTATTCCTGCCCTCCAGTCTCAGGTGTATCCTCAAAAAGGCTGGGGTACACGGTGATGACACCATTGGCCTAATGGATGTGTTTTGTATCCTGTCCCCAGAGCCTGGTCACTCTCCGTACAGCCGGGCAACTCTCCCCAGCGGTCAGCGAGGCTTCGTGATGCCCAGCCTTAAGGGCCGTAGAAAGTCGGGTGCGACCTCTGCTTTCCAGCTGGGATGCTGTGAGGGGCTTGGCAGTGGGTGTAGCTGATGCGCTGATATGCTCATTGCCAGGGAGGCAAGGGGCTTGAGGTGGAGCCAGGGACCTCCGGAGATGTTGCTAGTTGGTCTGAAGGGGGTAGCATGGAACTGAGTCCCCTCCCTATGGCTCCTGCGCGAGGGCCCTGGGCCAGGTGCCCTAATGCATTGCATCATGGGTGGTACTGCTCCGGCAGGGCTGGTAGTCACAGCGGGGGTCCTGGAGATGGATGGGCCCGCCTCCCTGTCCGTAGGTGCAAGGGGGCTCGCCGACACTGTGGAAGGCAGCTTCCCTGGGGCCTATGACTGCAGGGGGCCAAGCCAGAGTGGACTTTGAGCTGGTGATGGGCTGGTGGCGCTGTGAGCTTGGGACCCAGCCAGGCACAGCAGTTTCCTGGCCCGCGCTGACTCTGCTCATGCTTTCCTCCTCAGAGCCAACCAAACACCTGCTCAGGCAACTCAACGAGAAAGGTGAGTGTGTGAGGTGGCCAGCCATTCCCAGTGAGCGGGGGAGGAGGAGGGAGGAGGGGAAGCAGCCGACAACCTGGGGTGTGACCTGAGGGTGGAGGATTGTCAGAATAGTGTAGAGGGAACTCTGCCTCCATTCCCCCCAGAAGAGGGCCTCGCCCCTGGCTGGCTGAGGAGAGGGGCTGGAGCTCTCCCCCATGCACAGGCCTCATGCCCTTTCCTCCGGAAACAATGAGAGCCGAGCAACAGGCACAGACCTGCGCTGCTCTGTGGCCCCTGGGCCCCTGCTCTGTCAGTCATTCTTTTGAAAGCCCAGGAGACTAGGTGAGGGTTCTGGGAGCAGGAGCCCCCAGTGAGGACTTCCCCAGGGAGCTGTCCAGAGGTCTTTTTCCTGCTTACTGATCTCTTCCCCTCCCCTCCCCTGCCCCTCGCCCGTGTGCTGGGGGACCCGGTGGTGATGTCTGCAGCCCGAGCAGCAGGAATGAAGGTAAAGGCCAGTGGGAGGAGGGGACTGGCTGACAGAGGAGGGTGGGACTGCCCAGGTCAGCCCCCGGCCCCTTCAGCCCTCATTGTCTTCATTCATTCAACAAATGCCTACTAAGCACCCACTGTGTACCAGGCTGTGTGGCTTAGGGCCACAGAGATGAATAAGACATGGGCCTTGCCCTGGGGGCCCTTCTGCACCCTCTGCCTAGAACAGCACCCTGCTGGGGGCCTGCCCAGTGTGGACCTACTCAGATTTCCCTCTCCCTAGGGTAGACAAGTAGGCAGGCCTGTTTGGGTTCTGAAGTTTTGACCAGGTCCCAGCCTTTCCACCATGAGAATGCCCACCCCTCCCTGGACCCCAGTGGCAACCTGAGTTGGGCATCTAGGTGTGGCTTTCTGTGTGAAGGCTCCCCCCCCGCAGCTGCCTGCAGGAGGACGGGAGGTTGCCCAAGAGGCTGGTCACGAGGGGGTCTTGTGCTCTGAACAGCATGCAGGCAGTGCTGGAACCCTCCTGGACTTTGGGCAGCCCTCCCGTACTCGGGGCCTGCAGCCAGAGGCTGAAGGGGCTACCCAGGAGGAGGAAGAGGAAGAGGAGGAGGTGGTGGAGGAGGAGGAGGAGGAGGAGGAGGAAGAGCAGGCCTTTCAGGTCTCTCTGGAGGACCTGACAGGGCATGAAGGCAACGAGAAGGGGGCTGGGCCGGAGCCCCCAGGCTCAGAGGAGGAGGAGGAGGAGCAGGAGGAGAGCCTGGCGGTGGCGGAGCAGGTAGCCGACTTTGCCAGCTCCCTGCTGGCCGCCCTCCACTGCTGGCACTATCGGGCCAACGCTTTACTTTTCTCCCGGGGCGCTATGGTGAGGTGTCTCTTCGATCTCCCCTCCTCCTTGCATGCTCCCTGGGATGTGCATGCCCACCCGAGGGCCCCCTCTGCTGCCCTCCTCACCCCACCCTGCCCTGGTTTTACTCCTCCCCTCAGCACTTAACACCATCGCTCGCTGTCACACCCTGGTGAGCCCCTGGCATGCTCTGTTCCAGTACTGGGCACTAATCAATATAACGCCCAACAAGCATGACAAGTGGGGTGGGGTGGTGGGGGCAGGGAGAAGCTAGCACACAGTGGGGCTGGAAAGGTCAAGTCCACTTTGGAGGGACAGAAAGGTGGGCTGAGGTTTTTTGAAGCTGCATGCCTGACAAGGCTTTCCGCAGCCCCAGGCCTGGCAGTTCAGGTTGGCTCTGGAATGGCTCAGGTCCAAGACTGGCTCTCAGCTCAGCCCAGCCCCTTGGGGCGTGGGAGGCACTGCCCGTGTTGGGATGCAGAAGGGATCAGCTTCCAGTTGTCTTGGAGTTGATGACTGACCTCTACCTCTGCAGGGAAAGGGGCGCAGGGAGTCTGAAAGCTCCAGGAGCAGCAGAAGGCCCAGTGGCCGGTCTCCAACCAGTACTGAGAAGCGCATGAGCTTCGAGTCCATTTCTTCCCTGCCAGAGGTGAGCGACCAGCAGGTGGGATGGGGATAGTAGGAAGAACTTGGAGTCCAGATTTTCAAGTCTGCAAATAGGGCTTTCAGGCACAGGCTCTCCCACTGGGCCCATGGGAACAGAGATTCCCCACCTCCCAGGACTCTCAGCCCTGCATGAAGCCTGTTTGGCCTAGAGTATATGGTTTGGTGAGCAGACCACCCCTTTCTATGAAGTAGAGAAAGGCTCCCCTTTGGGCAGATGCAGTCCCATGTCAAGGGCACGCAGCTAGTGGAAATGAACCAGGTATTAGGCTCCTTTCGTTAGGCCACCTTGTATGGGTTATAAGGCCCTGTCCCTGCCAGCATGCCAGACATTGAAATCACACCTGTGGTCACCTGGGCAAAGGGTAGAGAACTGATATCTGTTGGACACCTCCTCTGTAACTGATGTGTTATTTCTTCCTACTCTTCCCCACAATGGCTCTAGAAGGAAAAGGGCACTGAGTGGTTGATGGCGTGCCTAACACTGAGCAGCTTCTGAGGCGCGGGGCTGAGATCAGACCTGGGGCTGGGACTCAGAGGCCCACTCTCCTCCTCCTGCTGCCCTATGCTGTCTGTGGGTTGTAGGAAGCAGCATCCTTTACTTTCCCAAAGTTATAAGGGAAAGATCGTGAGCTACAGCCTGGACCCCATGTTGGACCCCACAGCCAGGACTGAGAAGCCTGGATGATACTGGACAGGAATGTAGCATGATGTCTTAGCTTGAGCTGCTGTAACAAAATCCCTTACTGCTACGTGGGTAGCTTAGTTATTGCTCACAGTTTTGGAGGCTGGAAATTCTAAGGTCAAGATGCCAGCAGACCCTGGGGAGGGCTTGCCCTCTGCTTCGTAGATGGTGGCTTCTTGCTGTGTCCTCACATGGCAAAGGGGCAAGGAAGCTCCCTTGATCCTCATTTGTAAGGGATCTGACCCCACTCATGAGGATGGAGCCCTTGTGACCTAATTTCCCAAAGGCCCCCCCTCTCATTCCCATCACACTGGGTGTTAGCCTCCACATGGCAATTTTAGAGATACACAGACATTCAGAGCAGAGCAAATTGGGGTGTCAAATAATAATACAATGAGAACCACCCATTACAAAGTTTAAAAGAAGCAGATGAAATTAATTTTAGTAGTATATTTTATTTAACCCAATGTATACAGAGTATTATTCTAACATGTAATCAACATAAAAAGTTACTGATATGTTTTATCCCTTTTTTTATACAGAGTCTTTGCAATCTGGTGTGTATTTTATCCCAAGAGCAGGTTTCCATCTGGCCTAACCCCATTTCGGGTGCTCAGAAAGCCACAGTGGCTGGTGGCTCCCATGTTGAACAGTGCAAGTCTAGATCATGGGTCTTGCTCTGCAGATTCTGAACTAGAACAGAAGGAATTATGTCCGATCTTATAATTAGTGTTTGCTCTTATCTCCTTAAAGACTGCTCTGGAAAGCCGCGTATGTCATCAGTTCTGTGGTTCAAATTACTTTCAAGGTGGTCAAGAGGGAATTCTCAAGTTTGCTTTCTTCCTTGCCCATTTCCTGGGCATATGCAGTTGTGCTGGGCCCACAGGTACTGGGAGGAGCCACATTCCTGGTCCTCATCCTCTGACGAGATTCCAGCATGTGGCTGTGTTGCTCTCTAGACCCTAATCCACATGGGAGGCCCTGTCCCCTGAGGAAAATGAAATGGCCTCTCATGTTGTGCAGGTCTGGGTTTGAACCCTAGAACCTCCAAGTGAGGAGCCTCTAGGGCTTTGGGGAGCTGCCTCACCATCAGCCATGCTGGTTCCATGACACTGTGAGAACCAGCCCCTGGGAACCTGGGGCCATGCCCAACCCACTGTTGTGTGTTCCCACCTTGTCCCTGTAGCTCCTAGGCTGGCTGCCATCAAGGTGTTGCCATCCTGACCCATCTGCATTCTTACTGTTTTCCTTGGTTTTGAGGACATGGGCCCAGCACCCCCACTGTACGGTGACTAAAGGACACAGTCATGTTCCTCTAAGGACCCATCACCTACTCCTAAGTCGTGCTCATTCTGATTGCCTTGAGTCCTAAACTACAGGTCCCTGTCATTGGGCCTTGAGCAGGCCATGCTGTCCCCTTGTTCCCCGGATCCCATGAAGGAGGCTTTTTACTCATGTGAGCCTTTTCTGCTATGTTTCAGGTTGAGCCGGACCCTGAGGCTGGGAGTGAGCAAGAGGTATTTTCTGCTGTGGAAGGGCCCAGTGCCGAGGAGACGCCTTCAGACACAGAATCTCCAGAAGTCCTGGAGACACAGCTTGATGCCCACCAGGGCCTTCTGGGGATGGACCCCCCAGGTGACATGGTGGACTTCGTGGCAGCTGAGAGCACTGAGGACCTTAAGGCCCTGAGCAGCGAGGAGGAAGAAGAAATGGGAGGTGCCGCCCAGGAGCCTGAGAGCCTTCTGCCACCCTCTGTGCTGGACCAGGCCAGCGTCATTGCGGAGCGATTTGTCAGCAGCTTCTCTCGGCGGAGCAGCGTGGCACAGGAGGACAGCAAGTCCAGTGGCTTTGGGAGCCCGCGGCTGGTCAGCCGGAGCAGCAGCGTGCTCAGCCTGGAGGGCAGCGAGAAGGGCCTGGCCCGGCATGGCAGTGCCACAGACTCCCTCAGCTGTCAGCTCTCCCCAGAAGTGGACATCAGTGTGGGGGTGGCCACAGAGGACAGCCCTTCTGTCAATGGGATGGAGCCCCCAAGCCCAGGCTGCCCAGTGGAGCCTGACCGGTCTTCCTGCAAGAAGAAGGAATCAGCACTCTCCACCCGAGACCGGCTGTTGCTAGACAAGATTAAGAGCTATTATGAAAATGCAGAACACCATGATGCAGGCTTCAGCGTCCGTCGCCGGGAGAGCCTCTCCTACATCCCCAAAGGACTGGTAAGAAACTCCATCTCCAGGTTCAACAGCCTTCCCCGGCCAGACCCAGAGCCAGTACCTCCAGTGGGGAGCAAGAGACAGGTGGGCTCCCGGCCGACTTCGTGGGCCCTGTTTGAGCTCCCAGGACCAAGCCAGGCAGTCAAAGGGGACCCACCTCCCATCTCAGATGCTGAGTTCCGCCCATCTTCAGAAATTGTGAAGATCTGGGAGGGAATGGAGTCTTCCGGAGGGAGCCCTGGGAAGGGGCCAGGCCAGGGCCAGGCCAATGGCTTTGACCTGCATGAGCCACTCTTCATCCTGGAGGAGCATGAGCTGGGAGCCATCACAGAGGAGTCGGCCACTGCCTCCCCGGAAAGCTCCTCTCCCACTGAGGGGCGCAGCCCGGCCCACCTGGCCCGGGAGCTGAAAGAGCTGGTGAAGGAGCTGAGCAGCAGTACCCAGGGGGAGCTGGTGGCCCCACTGCACCCCCGCATCGTGCAGCTCTCCCACGTAATGGACAGCCACGTGAGCGAGCGCGTCAAGAACAAGGTCTACCAGCTGGCCCGCCAGTACAGCCTCCGGATCAAGAGCAACAAGCCAGTGATGGCCAGGCCACCACTGCAGTGGGAAAAGGTGGCCCCTGAGAGGGATGGGAAGAGCCCCACTGTGCCCTGTCTACAGGAAGAGGCTGGAGAGCCATTAGGTGGCAAAGGTATGACAGAAGCGGCAAGTGGGCCCTTCCCCAAGTCTAGGGACTGAAGAGTCAATAAGGAGCCACTTGGCTCCTCGGGGAAAGTGACCTCTAAGGAGGCTCTACCAAAGGGAGAAGCTGGACCCTGGGCACTAAGGGCACAGGGTGAGCCCTGGCAGCCAGTCCAGTGCTCTGAGGCCAAGCTTGCTCTCTTGGTTAAGCCCTTTTGATGCCCTCTGCTCTGGCCCTTCCCATCCAGCAGAGGCTTCTGGAGGAAGCATGGCCCCAGGCCCCTCCTTTAGCAGGATGGGAGCAGAAGCTCTCCCCCTCTGCCTTTGACTCCTGACCCCTTTCCACTGCCTTTTCTTCATTCTTCCTATGGCCCTTCATGAAAGAGGCTGTGGATGGTAAGTGAGATTTCTCCCATCACACCCAAAACCCCAACAACCAGCCTTGCCTGGAAAGTGAGTTGGGGCCTGCTCAGAGCACCCCCTTGCAGCTCTGCCCTCCCGCCCCATGCTTCAGGCAGCTTGCTCTCTCCTCATAGGTAAGAGGAAGCCGGTGCTGTCTCTATTTGACTATGAGCAGCTGATGGCCCAGGAGCACAGCCCTCCCAAGCCCTCCTCGGCTGGGGAGATGTCACCACAGCGTTTCTTCTTCAACCCGTCTGCTGTCAGCCAGAGGACCACCTCGCCTGGGGGCCGGCCCTCCGCCCGGAGCCCCCTCAGCCCCACAGAGACCTTCAGCTGGCCCGACGTCCGTGAGCTCTGCTCCAAGTATGCCTCCCGCGATGAGGCACGCCGAGCAGGGGGCGGCCGGCCCCGCGGCCCACCCGTCAACAGGAGCCACTCGGTGCCGGAGAACATGGTAGAGCCACCTCTGTCGGGCAGGGTGGGCCGCTGCCGCAGCCTGAGCACCAAGAGGGGCCGGGGAGGCGGAGAGGCTGCCCAATCCCCTGGGCCTCTGCCCCAGAGCAAGCCGGATGGAGGCGAGACCCTGTATGTCACTGCAGACCTCACCCTGGAGGACAACCGGCGGGTGATTGTCATGGAGAAGGGACCCCTTCCCAGCCCCACTGCAGGGCTGGAGGAGAGCAGTGGCCAGGGACCAAGCTCACCGGTGGCCCTGCTGGGGCAGGTTCAGGACTTCCAGCAGTCTGCAGAGTGCCAGCCGAAGGAAGAGGGTTCCAGGGACCCGGCAGACCCGAGCCAGCAGGGCAGAGTGAGAAACCTTAGAGAGAAGTTCCAGGCCTTGAACTCTGTCGGTTGATGCTGACTCCTGGGGGAGGGAGGAGTCATGTTGGAGGTTGGGGAAGAACCTGGGCATCCTTCCCCTCAAGCCTGGGCTCATGGAGCCCCTGCCCAGGGCCCTCAGGTGGGCGGAAAGTCCATCCCCTCCGCCCTTCAGGAAGGATGCTCCCGTGTGCAGGGGTCTCCTGCCTGTGCCATCCACTGGGGCTCGAGACAATTTCCCACTCACCTGTGAGGCCGGTGTGGCTGCTTCCCTTGTAAATAGTTGTTCTCTGGTAAGAAGCCAAATATTTAAGCTCACTTCTTCCCAGAGAGAGGAAGCTCTGCTCAGGCCTCCAGCGTTGGCTGGCCATGGCCACAGCCAGATGGAGGAGCCCATCCCCAGGAGACTCAGGCAGTGGCCTGGAGAGGCTTTGTTCTGTAACGGTGCCTTTTCTTAGGGTCCAGGCAGGAATGAAGCCAATAATTTATTGCTTTCCATTCTGTGGTATGATGTGCGTGTGCGTGAGTGTGTGGCCCCTGTTTATTCCCCTCCTGTCAAGAATGAAGTGGATTCAGTTCAGGTACTTTTGAGGGTTGTTGTGCTGACCCTGTGGTTGTCGCTGATGTACACACATTTCATTATTTGCCAATGGTGCAATAACCACTGCTGACCAACCCACTATGTGTGAACTCCTTCCTAGGCTTGGCTGGGGTAGGGAAGGTTATTCATGGGCCAGGGATGTCTTAGGGAGATGGAGACATGGAGGTTGTTCCTTCCACACTCAATTGTCACTTGGGCTTATGAAACATAAGGCACCCGGGTACTGGTGGGGGAGGTGGGGCAGGAGGATGTGAGGGCGGGCTTTTTCTTTCTGCTGCCTAGACTCCCATGGGCTTCTCTGTCTAGCAGCAGCCTGCTGTCCTGTCTAGGGTAGGGGGTCCCGCATGCCAGCCTTTTGCTCTTTTCCCCAAGGGCCAGAGTTGGACCAAGAAAAAGGGAGGTGGTGAGGTGGATAGACTGTTTTTCTCATAAGCAGATGCTCCCAGTATCTGGTGCCTTTTGCGTTTCTCTCCGGTCCCCAGGAAACATCCTAGAAGACAAGGATTTTTTTTTTTTTTTTTTTTGAGACAGAGTCTTATTCTGTCACCCAGGCTGGAGTGCAATGGCGTGATCTTGGCTTACTGCAACCTCCGCCTCCCAGGTTCAAGCAATTCTCGTTGTCTCAGCCTCCCAGGTCGCTGGGACTACAGGCATGAGCCACCACACCCAGCTAATTTTTTGTATTTTTAGTAGAGACGGGGTTTCGCCGTGTTGACCAGGCTGGTCTCGAACTTCTGACCTCAGGTGATCCACCCACCTCGGCCTCCCAAAGTGCTGGGATTACAGGGGTGAGCCACTGCATGCGGCTGAAGGTAAGGATTCTAAACTCGGAGACTAGAAATGTCCTAAAGGTGTCTGCAACATTGGATGAGGAGTACAAGTGCATTTTTCTGGGATGATTCCTCCCTTTTTATCACATTCTCAGAAGTATCTTTGATTCAGAAGAGTTAGGAATGCCTCCCTATTTCAGTTGGGTTTTCTGCCCTTTCTCCACAGAGGTCCAGACTCATTTTGCTTAATTTTTTTTCTAGCTGGGGCCTGGGAGGTAGAGGCTTCAGGGCCTGGGTGGTAGAGCTGCCTGACAAGTGTTCAGCAGGGCTGCTGGGTCAGGGCCCTGTGGGCCTTCTGACCCAACCTGAAGATGGGTCTGCTAAGTCTAACAAGGTCAAGGGAAGATCAGAGGGACCCAGATTCTTTTTTATCCCCCACTTGAAACGGAGTCTTGCTCTGTCGCCCAGGCTGGAGCGCAGTGGTGCAATCTTGGCTCACTGCAACCTCCGCCTCCCTGACCCTCACACTGTCCAGTGCCCTTGTGGTTACTCAGCATCATATCTTGAGACTGGCCTGGCAGGAGCCAGTGACTGTGGAATGACCACAGAAGATTCAGGGCAGCTGCCAGACCAGGGGCTATCTCTGCCCTGCGCTGCTTCTGCTCAAGAGAGGTTGTCACTAGCCTCTGATCTTCCCTTGAAGAACCCGACTGGGGCTCTTCAGAGGGTGGGGCCCAGGAAGTTGTAGTTAACCCCTTCCCCAGGCAGTCCTTACACGGCCATCTAGGTATGCCTGGGAACCTTGCACCAGGTCGGTGGTTCTCACTGGCTGCCCATTGGAATTATCTGGGGAGCCTTCTGGAAACGCAGTGCTTACATTCCATCTCCCTAGACCAACAGAAACTGCCCTCTGGAGGTGAATCCCAGGCTTAGAGATTCTGATGATTCTGCGGTCCAGTGAGTGCTGAGATCTGTCCTGAGCTCTGTGGGGAGGGGCCTGGACTGATCACTGCTTGGAAATGATTTTGCCCTACAGTAGGCCTTCAAGTTGATCAAATGCATGAATGAGCAAGCTTTTCTTGGAGTTTGTGATGAAGCCCAGGAACCGGGTGCTTGCAGTCGTCCCATAAGGCTCCCAGGGACAAGCTAGAGAATCTGGCTGTCCCTCTGTCTCCATGGTGCCAGCCCTCTTAGGCTCAGTTCAAAGGGAGAGGAGGCTAGTTAAATAAGAAACTGAGAGAAACATGGAGCATTATTGATTTATTAGAAAAACTAGTAAATGGGTTTCCTCTGGTTGGTGGAAGCACGGTTGAGCAGGTGGAGGACAGGACCCAGCTGGCCCCAGGGCCAGCCCCAGATTGCATGGTCTGTGCCCAACAGGGTTGCATTCCTCTGCAGCCGCCGCCTCCTCATTTCCTCCCTGAGCTTGTTTGTCCAAGCCACCAAGCCATGTGGTCCCGCTGGCTTCATCCTCCTCTGGATTCCTGCCCCCCTCCCATGAAGGGAGGAAGAGGATTCAGGGTCAGCCTAGGGGACCCTGGCTCCCTCCGATAGGCAGGAAGGAGGAGGGATGCGGAGGAGAGGCTGAGCCTTCCACGGGCCTCCTGTTAGGGGTGTTGGTGGAGGCCAGGTTGGGGAGGGAAGCCTAAGGACCCTCCACACCTCCCACAGCCAGAGTCAGTTGAGGCTGGGACAAAGGGGAAGGAGAGAGGGAAGGAGGACCGCCTGACCTTGCCCAGAAGGAGCTTCCTCTAAACTGCCCTGGGAAGGAAGCCTGGTATGCTGGTGTGGACTGGAGCTGTGTCAACCTCGTTTGGGAATACTGTCAAAAGACTGTAGAGTAGAATAAGGAGAGAAAAAAAAAAAAAGACCTTGCTAGGGCACTGGGAGAGCTTAGCCCTGGTGTGGCACACACAGGGTCTCCCAAAGCTGGATGCCTGCATTTTCAGTCTAGTTGGTCGAATGTCTTGGAGCCTGGGTGACAGGAGGGATGTGTGGGGAGCTGGCAACAGAATGGTCACATGCAGCTGGCTGCCCTGGACCAGGCCAGGGGACCTGGGGTGGTGAGATGCTAGCTCTTCCACTAGAGCCCTTCCTTTCTCGGGTCTGTGGAGTTGCTTGCTGGAAATGCCTCACTTCAGGTGCTGATTTGGCACACGTGGAAGGGGGAGGGTGGGCCCTTGTCCCTAGGCTCCCTAAAGACTGGCCCAGGGAAACAGTTGAGGGAGATGTTTGCCACCATCTGCCCTTCAGCAAGGAACCTGCTCTCTGCCCCAGAGGAGGACATGCCTGCAAGTGCACCAAAGGCCTACTTTATTGCTAGGTGAGTGCAGTCACCTCACTGCCTTGGTTTCCCCAGATACAGAAAGAGGCTGGTGAGTGATACACACTAGGTTCCCTGTATAGGGTCATATGTACCAAAGCCAAATGAAGACCTTGCTCACCAGGGCGGGAACCTGGGGATGTCAGGCTCCATCGGATGACGTCTTCCTTCCTGTGGCTCCTGCCTGCTGCAGTTGGTGTCACCCTGACATATAGTGTCAGGGCCACAGGGTGGAACTGATTTCTGCCGGCACTGGTCAGCACTCAGGGTTCCTCAGGGGGCCTCATTCTGGATGCCTGCCCCTGTGGCTTCTACCTGAACCTCACCCACTTCATCTCCATGGAACTAAGGTCCTTCTCACGGGGAAGGTGATAGAAACTTGACTGCAGGCCCTGGGGACTTTCATGGTTTCCTTGGGGGAAAATGCCTGCTGCCCTCCGCCCTCCCCCCCACCCCCGACCCGCTTGACTGCTCTCTTGGACCTAACCCTAGTTTGATACTGGGCCAGAACTGTGTTGCTTTCGGAGTAGAGTGGTGGGGAAAATATGGAATGAGCTTTCTCTTCCTCCAGAAGTATGACCTGAGCAGCAAGGGGAAGGCCATTCCTGGGGACGTTGGTTGCAGAGCTTCTGGTGCTCAGGGCTGGAGGGTGGTAGATATTTGACCTCTGTACTCATGTGACCCCCTCCCCGCCAAGACCTGGGGCCAGGACGTGGAGAAGCTGATCAAGGGGTACCACACCTTCATGGCTCTGGCCCTGACATTTGTCCCAGTTGTGCAGGAGTAGCTGTCACATGGGTGGTGATACCAAGACATGGCTGCGTCTGCCACCCCGAGAAAACAGATGATCAACTTTACTGTCTGCCCAGCCATTACCCTCCAAAGTCCCAGCTGCAGACAGGATGCAATTGAGCATTTGGCTTTGGGATGCTTTACTGCAGGTGCGGGGGGTATCCATCTTATATCTGGGGGCCCACACTGTCCCGTAGGGGGCCTATGTCTGTTGGATATTGCTGGTTTGGCTGCCACTGGGAGTGGGGCGAGGGTCCCAGCATTGAGAGGGAGAGCCTTAGGCAGTGTTGTGACGCACCTGTCACTCCTTCAGATCAGAGCCCTGTGCCCTAGCCACGGTTTTCAATGAGGAATGGTCTGACCTTGCTGCCCTTCCTGGGACCGCCTGTGGTGGCACAAAGGGTGCTAGAGGCACTCAGCCAGGCCCTGCCAACCGTGGGAGGGTACCCTTTGATCTGGGGGGAGAAGCAGAGAGGAGGGATGTGGTGGCCCCTGAAGTGAGAGTCCCAGTTCTGCGGAAGCCCAGTGGGAAGGAGGCTGGCAGCTCCCAAGGCCCTGCACCCAGTCTGGTCCCCTCAGCCCCCCAGAGCCCCTGGCCCAGAGCTAGGGCTTTGTGGGCCACCTGAAGGCTCCTTCCTCATGCCCCTAGGGGGCTGGCCATGCATTTCCAGTGTCTTCTTCCTTTCCCCTTTCCCTGGCTGCCACCAGGTGGGAGGTGACCCGAAGCAAGACTTGCTTTAGGAACGGGCAGCGTTTGAAGAACCCCATCAGCCTTCTCCAGCTCTTTTTTTTTTTTTTTTTTGGTTGGGGGTAAGGGGCCTGTGCCCCCTCGGCTCAGGAGGAGGGTGGGAGAGGAGGGCGTGTGCCTCAGAGAACCGTTTCCTGCCCCCAGGCCTGGAGGCCCCAAAGGCGCCAGAGGAGCTGGGAGCCCCTGTCCCTGGAGCGGAGCCAGCGCGGGCGAGGGCATGGAGGGGGCGTCGGCCCAGGACACGCGGGCGAAGGCAGCTTTTGCAGTGCAGCGTGGGGCCCGGGGGCCCGGCCCGCGACTCGACTCATCTCGATTCGACCGGCGGGCGGCGGCGAGAGGAGGCCAAGGCCTGGGCTGCCCGGTCTCTGCGCGTCCCGACTCCGCCGCGCCCGCCAGCCCCACCTGCTACTTCTTTTTGGGGAAGAAGCTGAATCTCTTCTCCTTGTCTTTCTTGCCGAGGCTGGCGTCGGGGCCGGAGAGGGAAGGCAGGGGCAGGCTCTGCGCCTTGACGCGGATGCTCTGGGACTCGTTGATGGCGGTGCTCACGCCCTGCAGCCAGGACAGCATCTCCTCCTGCGGGGCGGAGGGTCACGGTGGAGTCTGGAGGCCCACAGCCCCCCACCTCCCGGGCCAGGCAACAATGGTGGGGGCTCTTGGGACTGCCCCTTCTGAGGGGGCCTCCAGGGCAAGCGGCCTGGGGTCCTCCACCTACCCCCTTCTTAGCCAGGTCTGGGCTAGGCTGCCCGCGCTTACCTCATCCTTGCCATGGAAGAGCCACTCGCTGCCATTACTCAGCCTAGGAGGACAAAGGGTTTCCTGTCATGGAGACACCTCTGGAGGGGGCGCTGGGCAGAGGGCTGGCTCTGATCCCACAATACCCTGAGCCGAACATCCAGACCCCTCTCAGGCAGCCCAGCACTTTCTGAGAGGTCAAAGTCTGGACCATCAGCCTCTTTGATTTGAAAAACCCCTGAGGAGCAGCTCAGGCCTGGCACTGGTCCCCTACAGAGGGCCTCTGCCCTGCCACTAATGCCAAATCAAGCCATCAACCCGAGCTTTCAAAGGCCAGGAAGGCCTCACCTCAGCTTAAAGACGTGCTTCTTCTTCTTGTAGTTGGCAGCAATCTCACAGATGGCATGTCTCAGGGCCAGGGGTTCCTCCCCATGGTAGGGCATCCCCAGGGCCAGGTTCTTGGCATCCTTGTAGAAGGTTAGCTCACTGTTCCTGAGCACACAGTACAGGTTGTTCCAGGACCTGCAAAGATGCAGACAGGCAGGTCACCCACATCCTGATATGGTATCTCTAGAGTCAATTCCTATAGCTTCACCATTAAAAAAAATTACACCATGTTTGTTCTGATACATAGTAACATGTTTTATTGTTAAAAAATCATCTGCATGTAATTTCATTACAAAAAATTAGCTATTATTAACATTTTATGTATTCCTTCTAGTCTTCACATTTTCGCATTTTTTTTTTTACTAGTCACAGATAGCTAAAACTGGGTTATGGATATATTCAATTTTATATCGTGTTTCTAAGCATAACACTAAATCATGAGTATTTCTCCATATCCTCAAATATTTCTTTTTTTGCCAGGCAAGATGGCTAACACTTGTAATCCCAGCACTTTGGGAGGCCGAGGCGGGCGGACCGCCTGAGGTCAGGAGTTCAAGACCAGCCTGGCAAACGTGGTAAAACCCCATCTCTACTAAAAATACAAAAATTAGCCGGGCTTGGTGGCGCATGCCTGCAGTCTCAGCTACTCAGGAGGCTGAGACAGGAGAATCGCTTGAACCCGGGAGGCGAAGCTTGTAGTGAGCCGAGATTGAGCCACTGCACTTCAGCCTGGGTGACAGAGACGAGACTTAGTCTCAAAAAAAAAGTATATATGTAATATATATTTATATATACTTTTATTATATAATTTATATAATATTTACATATTTATTATATAACATATATACCTATTATGTATAATATATATTTATATGAAATATATAAATATATAAAATATGTATATTACATTATATATCATATACTATATAATACATATTTTATACATCATATAATGTATATTTTATACATTATATATAATACATTATATATTATACATTATGTTATATATTATATATGTAGCAATTATATATTATATAATATATAACATTTATAGTATATAACATTTATATATTATACATAATATATATAATATATAATATTTATATATAATATACATATTTTTAGACAGAGCCTCTGTCACTCAGGCTAGAATGCAGTGGTGCAGTCTCAGCTCACTGCAACCTCCGCCTCCCAGGTTCAAGCGATTTTCTTGCCTCAGCCTCCCGAGTAGCTGGGACTACAGGCGCAAGCCACCACACCCAGCTAATTTTTGTATTTTTAGTAGGGACAGGGTTTCACCACGTTGGCCAGGCTGGTCTCAAACTCCTGACCTCAGGCGATCCACCCACCTCAGCCTCCCAAGGTGCTGGGATTACAGTCCTGAGCCACCACGCCCGGCCCCTATCCTCAAATATTTCTTAAAATAATTTTGAATAGCTATGTGGAAGACTTTCACAATCCCTTTATTGATGAACCTTATAATACTGGAAAATGTGCCCATAATTTAAATAGCAATGTGATGAACATTCTTACACATAAATCTGTGCCTATAATTCTGATCTTACCTTGAAGTACACTTATAGAACTATTACGTCTTAAGACCAACAGTAAAAAATTAACTTTTTACAATATTTCTACATCCATCAGTGTATTTGATTCTCACTAAAGAACTGTGAAGGAATGAACAGGGTTTTGTTTCAGTGATTGTTTTCTGTTTTGATGAGATGTGCCAAGTATACTAAACTTTTTAAAGGAACAAATTTTACAAATAGGGCTCATGTCGGCCGGGCGTGGTGGCTCACACCTGTAATCCCAGCACTTTGGGAGGCTGAGGCAGGCGGATCATGCGGTCAGGAGTTCGAGACCAGCCTGACCAACAAGGTGAAACCCCATTTCTACTAAAAATGCAAAAAAAAAAAAAAAAATTAGCCAGGCGTGGTGGCACGTGCCTGTAATCCCAGCTACTCAGGAGGCTGAGGCAGGAGAATCACTTGAATCTGGGAGGCGGAGGTTGCAGTGAGCCAAAATTGAGCCAGTTCACTCCAGCCGGGGTGACAGAGTGAGACTCTGTCTAAACAAAACAAAACAAAACAAAACACAAAAAAAGACAAATAGGGCTCATGTCAACTGGCATGTTTGGTGAGGGAATCAAACTGATAACAGGTGGGCTAGCCCGAGCCGCTTCACTCACACGTGGGAAGCATGTTGCTGCATTTCTACAGCAACAGACTCTGTTTCCTCCTCCTCTTCATCCTCCTCTTCTGTCTCCCTCCTCTCCTCTCCCTCTTCTCCCTTACTTTTGAGGGCAGGAAGGTGGAGAAACTAGTAGGGCACATAGGGAGGAAGTTCTGGAAGGTCAGAGAGAGAAACTGACCCATACAAAGCTGGCTGCAAAGCCATTTTACGAAGCCCCATTTCTGACTCCGCGCTCAGGGATCTTTCCTCTGGCAGAAAGGCAGTTACTAAGAAGGAGCTGGGTCTTTGGAGAAAGAGCTTGCCTTGAACAAATGACTTAACCTTTCCGAGACTCTGTTATCCCCTTGGAAAATAGAAACATCAATGTCACAGGATTGTTGGGAAGATTTTATCAGTCCTAATATAATGCCTGGCACATAGTAGATGCTCAGTAAATGTTAGTTTCCCCTTTCTGGGTAGACTCTCCATTTAAGCAATAAATAAACCTCTTCAGGGCAATTGGGCCCCCAAATGGTTCCTTTTTGGAATTTGGAATCCCTTTCGTGAGTCCCCCAGACACATCCTGCATGCTCATGCTGCCAGCTGTCCCTGGGAATATGGCTGGCTTCAACCTCCTGGTGCTGCCCTATTTTCTTGGGACCCTGGACTGCTGCTAGAAAGAGGAGGCCCCTGGGGGCCCCAGGCAGAGACAGCCCTAGATAGACCAAACCCAAGGACATGACTGTTTCAGGGTCAGGAAAGGACGCAGCCTTTGAGTCAGTTCTCGGGGTCATAGAGTCACCAGATGACAGCATTAGAAGGGACCTCTGGGGGGCAACTAGGCCATGCCCCATCCCCATCACTCCCATTTTACAGCTGAGGACACCGAGGCCTAGACTGGTAAAAAGCGGGGCTCGAACAAGGATGTTGTTAGTGCCAAGACCTACCTAACCTTTAGAGCTACCTATCCCTAGCCCTGGGATAATAGGATAATAACAGCTAGTGTTCACCAAGTGCCTACTGTGTGCCAGGAACAGTATCTGTAGTGAAAAGACATACTGTTCTCATCCTCTCCTTCCAAATGGGGAAACCGATTTAAAGAGGTTGAGTAACTTGCATGAAGACACAGGATTTGAATTCAGGACCAGAACTGGAGATAGGCTTTCCCATCATGCCAAGTAGCCCTCGGGGCTGGCCCAGAGGGGTGTCTAGGAGCTCTCACAGGCCAAGGCAGAAGGCACCCCTCCCCCAGCACATGCCCATGTCACCAAGGCTCTGCTAGCAGAGAGATCCCTGAGAGCTGCCCAACCTACCCTCAGCCAGCAGCCTCTCCCGCACTCACCTGTTGGAAGCCTTCTTGTTGGGCCCCTCCAGGTCATGCTTGCGGCCCAGGTAGCCTTCCATCTGCACACTCTGCCCATGGTCCCGCGGGGCCGGCAGCGTTGCGGGCTCATCACCCTCGCTCAGAGGCGTATCTAGGACCTTAAAGAGGGGCTCCGTGGTGGGCCTCTCATCCCCAGTGGATTTCTGCCCATCCTTGTGCTGACCCGGCGGTGGTGGCTGCTGCAGGTTCTGAGGCCACGTTCCCTCTTCTTCCCCCTGCTCAGGGCATAGGGAGGAGCACACCTTTCTGGGTACTCTGGCTTAGAGATGGCTGTTCTCAGCAAAATTGGGAGGTCAGCAGCCACCCTCTCCACACCCCCAAGCCTACTTCCTTTCTACTCCCACCTCCTGGCCCACCCTGGCTCTCCCACAACCTGCTATGGGTGCCCCCTTGCTTCTCTACTCTGCCTGTGCTTCTGGCTCCATTTCCACCCCATTCTCCCTTCAGAGAGCTGCAGGGTGGCCCCCTCTCTCCAATGTAACATAGCAACGGAAGGTTCTCAGAGTGAGCCAAAGGGGCCTGAGTGATTATTTCATTAAAGGGGTGTGAGGGGGGGCAGGTTCCAATGCTGCTGGCAAAGCTCTGGCCCCTCCCCTTGCTGCAGCCAGACACTCGTATGAGGAAAGTTCTGCTGCTAAGACAAGTTCGGCAACCACTTATAGTAGAATGTTGAATGGGAACTCTTCTGGTACTTTCAAATTGTGCCTAAAGCCCTAAAACTAAGGGTACCAGGTCCTAAGTCTGCCCGCCCCTGCCACCTTACAAAGGGAGAACCCAGACCCTCCCTGGCCATCAGCAGGTCTAACAGGTCCTTTCTCCATCATTTGATGGGAACTTTTTGGACAGGGCAGTGGTTCCTAACCCTGGCTGCCTTCCGCAATCACCTCAGGTGCTTTCAAAAGAAACATTCTCAGGCTCCATCTCAAGATGCTGAGTTAACTGGCCCCGGGGGTCGGCACATTGGTATCTCTTACTGAGCATTTCATGGGATCTAATGTTCAGCAGGAGTTGAGAATCCCCCTCGTAAGGAGGCACAGCCTTGGGGAACTGCTGTGGTCTTTACCTCCCTGCACCTCCCTGTGGAGACCTGGGGATGCCTGGCCCCTGCCCAAGTCAAGGGAGGGGCCTCCAATGGTGCCACTCACTGTATGACATACAGGTGCCCACGAGAAGGGGAAGCTGACCTGCCATTCCCTGGCTGGGCATCTCCTTATGCTAGACCTTGCTGATCTGCCCTTTTGCCTGTTGGGGCAGAAGAAAGAGAGGGCAGGACAGATTGGGGCAGCAGCGGGCGGCCTCCCATTGCCAGGTGGGGCAAGAATGGGTGGGTCTCCTCCGTGCCAAGTGAGCACCAAGGAAGGCAGCCTCACTGGAGCCATCTGGCCAGGACCCGGTCCCAAAGACCTGACTGCTAAACACCTTTCAGCAAGAGGTAGGAAGGCCCCCAAGCAGCTGGATGCCTGAAGCACCAAGGACATCTTCAGCCAGGAGGTCAGAAAAGGTTCTTTTTCTGCTCCCTCCTCCCTGCCCCAACAGCTGAAGACAGAGGTCCAGAAGAGTGCTGGGGAGGAGAGGGAAGGAGCCAGGAGAGAGCAGACCATGTTCTCCTCCCTGGTCTGAATCCTTTAGACTATGGGGCAAACCCGAAACAGAGGATGGAGGATGGGAGGATGTGGGCCCCATGTTGGACATCAGATCGAAGCTTTAAACTGAAACAACTGGGCAGACTTTTTATCCACTGAAAGTGACCAGGGTCTGCCTGAGGTGGCCTTAGGAATGGGAAGGGGGGCTCAATGGAGACGTTGGAAGGCAGTGGTTGCAAGAAAGATAAAACTGGTCATGTTTGTATCTCATCAAATTAGGACTGTTCAGTAAACAGGTTACATGGTAGGGATCCAGTAAGATTTCATTTAAAGAAAGGGTTATGTGGCTGGGAAAGTTTGGAAACCACTGACTTAGTCTAATGCTTTCGATCTATAATGAGAAAACCAGTGCTCAGAGAGGTCAAGTGACTTGCCCAAGGTTATACTGTCGGAGTAGGCAGATAAATATGAGCAGGTGGGAAAGCCTCTGAGAAAGGGAGGTCTGGAAAGTCTCACACCCCAGAGACCATCCAAAACATTCACCCTAGATATGAGCAGAGAGGAGGGGAAATATCTATGCAGGAAGGAACACCCCAAGACACCCCTTAAGATGCCCAGTCATCACTCTGCAGTTAACCTGTGGGAATGTAGCCAGCTGCATGCTAAGGAGGGAAAGAAAGCAAAGGAGAAATTCCTACGAGATATGCACGTGCAATAAATACCAATATACACCCTTCCTGGAGTGGCAGTAATTAGCAACATCACCATTCGATAGGATTCATATCCGACACCCGCCCCTGCAGGTTCATCAGCTGACAGTAAGGGAGAGTCCCACAAACCTGGGGCGGGAACTAGGTGGGGCGAAAAGATGGAGACATAAGATAGAGGCAGGAAATTAGACAAAGGTGGAGACTTGAGACAGAGGCAGGAACCTAAATAGAGTGTGACCTAATAAAAACCGCAAGGCAGAACTCTCTAGTTGCTGGCTCATCTTTCGAGCAGCCTGCTCTGCCTCATCTTTCAGAGTGTATTGTCTCTGCTGCTACCTCACTCTTGCTGTGAATACTGCTGCTTCCCAGGCGGACCTGCTGGCTCCTCTCTTGGAGTCTACTTCAATAAACTCCCAGGCCGGGCATGGTAGCTCACGCCTGTAATCCCAACACTTTGGGAGGCCGAGGCAGGTGGATCACGAGATCAGGAGATTGAGACCATCCTGGCTAACACAGTGAAACCCCGTCTCTACTAAAAATACAAAAAATTAGCTGGGCGTGGTGGCACGTGCCTGTAGTCCCAGCTACTTGGGAGGCTGAGGCAGGAGAATCGCTTGAACCCGGGAGGTGGAGGTTGCAGTGAGCCGAGATCACACCACTGCACTCCAGCCTAGGAGACAGAGTGAGACTCTGTCACAAAATAAATAAATAAATACAATCCCTGCTCTTTATTTTCCTTCAGTAAACCTTTTGCTTACATTACTACTTGGTCTCTTGGCCGAATTCTCCCAAGACAGACTAAGAATTGAGGACTCTGCATTTCCTGGTGACAACAAAGCTAATAGGTATAGGAGGCAGTTCGGAATATGCACTCCCAAAATGGACAGACCTGAGCTTTTATCCCATCTTTATGGTGTTCATCTTTTCCCACCTTAGCGCCCCTGAGGGTTGTGGCCAGGCCACTCCTCTCTATGCATCTGGCAGCCTTTGGACCCTAGAGTGTCTGCAATGAGCCAGCATTGGCCACAAGGATCTGGAGGCCCCAAAGCCCTGCCTGGATCACCGTAGCAGGGAGGAAGAGCAGGAGAGGCAGGGATGGGACTGGAAGCCTGGGCTTGGGGTCTTTCTGTGGATCCTGCGCTCTGACTTGGGTATACATCTGGGGAGGCCCTGCTTTTCCTCCAAGAGGGGCGGGAGTAGGTTCCAGAGGAGGGGACATGGGCTGCACTGCTGCTCCTGCTACCATCAGTGCTCTCCCTGCCCTTGGGTCTCAGAGAAGCAGCCATGGCAGATATAGGGAGGGAAGCTTGCCAGACCCTCTCAGCCATGTTTGCCCCTCTTACCCAGCCTCTGCTCTCCTGGGATTGGTTTTACTAGAGACCTCCATGTCTACATTTTCTTCCTATACTTCCATTCCATTTTCCTTCCTTTAGAAAACTGTCCTCTGAAAATAGAGATGGATTTTGCCAGGACTGACTCCCAACTTAATCCCACCTTTCTTCTGTTTCCTCTTAATGGGTGCCTGGCCCACATTCCTTGGCAGGGACATTCAGAGGCTATGCCAGTGCGATCAAAAATTATGTGGCCAGGTCACAGGTTGGCTTTGGAAAATGGGGGTTTTCCAATGTATGCAAAGATTTCTTTGGCGTTCCTGACTGCTCCTGTAGAGACAATTTAAAATGCATCTTGTACTCTCCACCCTGAAGGCCAAGGCCAAGAATGAGGGTGAGAGATGAAGGAACTGGGCTTTGGCAGGGCTTCCCTTCCTCTCTGGGAGGGGGGAGCGGACACAGGTGAGAAAGGTGAGGTGTAATGAAGGTGGGTACAGGAGAGGGGGAAGGGGCTTTGGGGACAATCCTTTCTTCCCCTCCTCAGCTCCCAGGAGGCTGGCCAACTCCCTGGAGGGGGACAAGGAGGAAGAACCAAGAGGCACTGGGGTGAGGGAGTAAGGAGGACAGGGATTTCTAGAAGGCCCTGTGAGCAGAGACACCGATGAGCTCTCAGACGGAGCTGGCCCCTTCCCTCAGCCCTCTTCCTGCTCTCCCATCCAGGACCAACAGCAGAGGGCCTCCTGAGAAGCCCACCCCTTCCCAGGTGTTGGGTCAGACAGGCCTGGAGTGAGAGTCCCTGGAATTCCATCTGGGGGAAGGGAGAGAACCTTCCTGACTCAGTTAGTGGGAGTGAGCCCATGACCTACTTCACAGGTGGTTTGCAGCCTTTTAAAGTGAGATCATGTCTGTAAATGTTGGCTTTCTTATGATCCTTCACCCCTCCCTATCCACCCCTGCCTCCCTGGGGCTTTGCCGAGCAATTATTGTGGCCAGTGTCCTGTGGGGCTGGTGTAAGGATCTCAAAAACCCTCTTGTTCCTGGAGTAGCAGATGCTCAGGACTGAGAAATGGGGAATGGGAATCTCAGCCACTGGCAGGCAAGGCCTCAGCCCCTCCTTTCTCGGCCAGTTTCAGTTGGAACATTCTGAGGCTTGAGACAGGAAGGGAGAAGCCATGTGAACAGGTAAGCAGTGCAGGAGGGCCTGAGGCCCCACCCCTTTAGGGTAGTGCAGAAGTGGCCTGAGGCCCTGCCTCAAGGCTTGGAGTGGGGCACTGAGGTGGAGGGGCCCCAGAAGCCAAAGGCAGAGGCCCCAGGTCCGGCCAAAGACAACGGCGTGCTGCTGAGTGGAGGGCTCTGGTAATTCACAAGTGGATTTTACAAACAGCTCACAACTTTGTCAAGAAAAGACTTCGAGGAAGATTGTGTCTAGATATATATCCAAGAGGTCAAATCCTTTTCTGAAGCAGAACCATTTTTTAAATAGTTACTCTTGGGGTTCCCATCTGCCCAGGGAAAGTGCACAAACAGCAGAGAGCAAGCTGGAGGGATGGCCAGATGCTGCTGGCAGGCTCCTTGCTCACGGGGGAGGAGGGGTGTGGGAGCCTGACACAGCCCTGCAAGTATGTGAGTGTGTATGTGTATGTAAAGATCTTTTGCAATTCATAAGAGATAAGGAATTTCTCTGGGGCCTTTTATTTCTAGCCATGCCTCTGGGAGGGGTATGTAGGTAGAATCAACAATGGGGGCCTTATCAGGGAAGGGGGTGGGGGAGGCTGGAGATGGGGTAGATGAAGCTGATGTGAGAAAAGAGATTCTCAGAATTCTAGAGCTGGAAAGAGGCCTTGGGGTCATGGGACTCAGCCTCTCCTATCTCAGATGAGAAAACTGGGTTCCGGAAAAGCTCAGTGACGGGCTGAGATTAGAGCACACAGCAAGTCAGTAGCAGAGCTGAGGCAAGAATCCATGGCCCTGCTTCCTATCCACACAATGCCTCTGAAATCGGAAAGGGCACCACAGGTGGTGTGGGAAGGCAGGGAGCCAAGTAGCTAGGCAGGGAGCCAAGTAGCTGGGCAGGGACCCACCCATGACCCCCTGGCTGCGAACCTGCAGTGGGAGGCCTGTGGCCCTGTTGGATCAGTCCTGCCTCTTTCTAGGCCAGATCCATCAAGGACCTCCCAGCTCACCAGCTGAACCATCCACCCATGCCAACCGTGGGCCCTGGGTCAGGCTAGCAGCATGGTTTGGCAGGAGGACCCACCTCCCCTGAGCCTCAAGGCTAATAAGAGGGGATGAGGGGAGGCTGCCCCCCTGTAAGCAGGCCATGGTCTGAGGTGGGGACTGCCTTACCCGACAGGAGGCGAGATCTATGGACAGAGAGCACCAGGAGGGGCGATGCTGGCTACTCATGTGGCTGAGATGTGACTAAGGGACCGGCAGGTTCTGCCCAAAGGCAGCATATGGAGGAGCTGATCTGAGGTTCCCTTCCACCTTTGTGCTGTAAGGCAGGGGCTGCTGCTGGAGTCCTCAGGTCATCAGGAAGATGCAGATTCCACCTGTACCACTGAGGGCTGCCACCCACCGGAGCAGGGGACACTCTGAAGGAAGAGAGTCCCGCTGCTTGGAAGAAATTCTGGGTGTCCAGTTGCGGGCAGCAAGGGAGTCTAGACCATAAATGGAGGTGAAGGAGAATTGCAGAGTGGGCTGAATAAGGGAAGGCACTGCCTTTAGTCCTCTGGTTTGGGGAAGAGGCAGGGGGAGGTGTCTGAGGAGCTGTGTGTACTGGCTGTGGGATCATGACATCAGAGGAGGGCAGGGGACAAGCAGCATTGGTTGCTGGTTGACAGGGATCAGTGGAGAAGAGGGCACAGCCCTTTTGGGGTCTCACAGGATTGTAGTCAAACCAACAGGGAGAGGCCACAGGCTCCCAATGGGTGCGGGATGGCCATCTCTGGGTCTTTGCAGTCTTGCAAAGTCAAGCAGGAGTCTGTGTAAGCTTGACTTTTTAGGGTCCTGCCTTGCTAGGAAACTGGCTTGGGTGGGGGAGGCAGGGGTTGGGGTCTTCACAGAGGATGTGCACAACAGGCCAGGGACATGGCCAGGTGGGTAAATGTCTTCTCCGGGCCAAAGGAGGTGAAGGTGTATGTCCAGGCTCAACCAGCAGGTGGCGCGGGGGACTGCACACAGACAACAAACTCCTCAGGCTCCCAGGAGAAACACAACCTGGCTCCGGACCACAGGGTGTTTCAGAGGTTCTGAAGATGCTCAGAGAACCCGGATGCATTTACAAGCAAAGAACACAGGCGACAAGGTCTTCTCTCTAAAGGTAACACCAGTGAGAACCAGGGCCTGAGGATGCACCCCAGAAACAGGCTGACTGCAGCAACGGGATGCATCGTGCCACAACTGAATTCATGTTAGAATTCACATGGAGGATGCTACTTTTAAGAGATGAAGGACTGAGGTGGGGGATGGAGAAAAATGAAGGGACTTAAATGATCACCTACTCAGTGCCAGCTGCTCTACCTACATTGTCTCTTCCAATCCTCCCAGCCTCTCTGTAAGGCAGGTACTGTTATTACACCTGTGTTACAAATGAGGGAAACTGGGGGTCGTACAGAATGAGTGACCTGTCCATAGTCACACATTAGTGAGGAATGTTGAGGTCGCAGGTCTGTCTGGCACCAAACTCTGTGTTCTTACTAATTCTCCTGCAAGAGAGGAGACCTGTATCCTCACTCCAGAGGAAAGCACCTGCCCGATGGGGTTCACAGTCTAAATGAGATGATCCTGGCTTATGCAAAACACATGGCTGATTGACAGAGGCAGCATAATCATGCCAGAGCTGGAAGACGGGCTTGGGGCCAAACAAGACCCCCTGCTAGATGCCTTAGGCAACCAAAGAGTGCTGGTGACTGTGGGATGTGGGGAGCCAGCAGCCAAGAAGTGACTCTGGCCGCCAAGAAGTGTTGCCCTCGCCCGGTGTCTGATATCTCAGCTCTTGTCCTTTGGGTGAGAAGGGCTGTCACTGGGTGGGTTGGAAAGGCTGTTCAGAAGACAGTTGTTTGCAAGAGAAGAAAAAGAAATGGTTTGTTGAGCTGAGGGCAGCCAAAGAGATGAAGAGATGGCAACTTAAGGTGGGCAGAGACAGACGCCTTAAAGGAGAAAGCAGAAGCTGTTGCTGAACAGGGGGAAAGAGCCAGGGCGGGGAGCTGAGGCTGGGATACATGGTGAGGAGTCCCCTGGATTGCAGGCCAAGGGATGGGGAAAGGCTCTTATGAGAAGTGGGTTAGGGGAGCAGTCCAGTGCAACACTGCACCCCAGAGTCCAGATGTCTGTCTGAGATGGCAACTGGGGGGCCTGGCCAAGATGACAGGTAGGGATGCAGGGCAGAAGGGCACCTGGTAAAGTGAATGGAGGGGAAGGGGAATGGCAGTGTGCAGGGGAGGAGAAACCTGGTCCACTGTCACCAGGGCGTGAGAAGAGAATGAGGCTTCCTCGGGAGCTGTCTTCACCATGCCCACCACCTGTGTGGCCTCTTCAGGTCCCTGCCCTGAAGGAGCTGCTGGCTGCTTAGTCGCTCAGTGGCCCTGAGCCAGCCACTCAGCATTTGAAAGATTAGAGAGAGTTAGAAGACACTGACTCCCCCATCCAGATCTGCCACCCAGTGGTCACATCGTCCACTTCAAACCCATTTCTGAGATGCCTCCAATGTTAACTGAGTCTCATCCTGAGGCCATCAGTATCTAGGATGTTCTGAAACACAGCTGGAAAGGAAGAACTTAGGAAGAGTCGTCAGAACAGAGGGGCCAGGAATATTAAATCTGACCACAGCAAGGAGAAAGGGACATGCCCAGCAGCGGGCAGGTGTCCAGAAAGAGCCTACGGCAGGTTTCTCCAGGGAGCCAGGCGCAGTGCCAGAGTATAGGCAGACACACCCCTGCCACACTGACTCAGGCATACTGGGTAGACAGGAACATGCCCAGGTTTTGGGGAAAACTGATGTTGTTTCCAGCTGGGTCTGCCTATTACCAACAAACATAGGATTTGCATTCACTGCAAAATGTCTGAAAGAGTAGCAGGAGGAGAAGGAAAGACTGGGAGAGCTTGTTCAGGCGAGAAGAAACACAGCTGCTGTCTCCACACCCACATCTCTTCCATCCAAGGACGTCAGAGCCCCACCACTGGCTGCTGATTAAAGCTCCTGGCTGCCTGCCAGGGAGGCTGCTGCTGGGGGAGGTGCTCAGGTTGCCAAGGGGCAGCAGCAGCTGGAGCCAGCCAGACACCGGCCAAGAGGTGGTCTTGGCTACAAGTCCAGTGCCTGCTCAGCGCCTCACGTTCGTAAGTGCTGGTTACTTCCCTGAAGCCACATAAACCTTTAATCCTATGGGAATGGAGACGCAAGGGACCTAGGAGTCTCAGCTCCTACGTTCAGCCCTAGCGAGATACTCAGTCCCTTTCTCCAGGGCTGCTGGCTGCACAGGCAGTGCTGGAAGGCCACGCGGAAGAATGGCATCTGTGAGCTGCCCTTGGGGAAGAGAGCTTTCCCTGACTTCCTGACGAGAAGGCTGATAACGAGGGGGCACCCAGCAGCTGCTTTCTGGAGTGACCTGGCATCCCAGGGTCCCGTCTGCACTACAGCCTGGATCTAGCCTTGGGGCTTGGAGGCAGGCAGGGTATGTTTATCCCACACAGTGAGCCCTAGCAAAGGTGATTAGGAGCACCAATCCCTTTCAGGGACGTCACACATGGCATCACCGCAGCCCTGCTGAGGGAGTTCTCAGAGCAGTTCACACTTCACTTCCCAAAACCAGAATCAGGCACAGTGGACAGGAAGATGCGCAGGGCTGTGCACTAGGGACCTTTAGCCTGGGGGGACTTGCAGCATCATCAACACCATTTCTTCTCCATGCAATCCACCTCCTTCTCTCCCAGGAGAAAACAGCCTCTCACCACACATTACACTGGGGCTTCTGAGGCACCCAGAGCCTGGGAGGTGGGGGATGCTCAGCAGGACCCCCAAGTGCTTC